>NC_000006.12:23999393-24302424 GCF_000001405.40 Homo sapiens
CTCACTCCTGCCACTAACATGGAAACAAGGTGAAAGCATCTGACATTCCATCCAAGGTAGACACACCTGGCTGTGGCCACTCAGGAGTCTGCTGATGCTGAACAGATGCTGAATGAGCATCTGTTCATTTCTGTGGCCTGAAAGCTGATGCCAGCAAGCTATCTGCAGAAGGCGAATGGGAGATTTGATTGCCACCGAGTTGGGTTAAATTTTGCAAAATTCCCTATGGCACTGAGTGGAGAGAAAATAGAGATTCCTCTCCATTGCAATGCACTCCTTGGAAATTTAAGAAGGTAGGGGAAATACATGGAGGATATGTGATTTTCCATGGAGACCATGCAGGTGTAGGGACAATGGCCACATGTCTTAAGCTTTATTATTTCCTTCAGTAAAAATCAGTGCCAAAGAGTAGACAAAGCAATTGCCACTGAGCTCTGAGAGAGCATCCCCTGTGAGCTGCCATGAGCAGGAAATGAAGATTGTAAATGATTCCATTAGATAAACAAGTGTACCCCAGTTTAAGAGCATAAATTGTGCAGAAGGTACATTTCGAAAAGAGTGATCAGGCTGCCCCATTAGAGATGCTGTGTTCTCAGACTGCACTTTGTCCCTCAGAAGGAAGAGATGCAGGCAAAAAAAAAAAGGAAGGAGCACTTAAGCCACTGGTGTTCCAGGATTAACAATAGAATGTGCTCAGAAATGGTGAGCGGTAATTGGCTTGGGTCCTTGGAGTGCACTCAAGCCATGAGCATCATTTCTATAAGAGAGCCCCTCAGGTTATATGTCACCGAGTGTCCCACCTATGACCACAGACTCTGCTTGCCACATCTCTAGGCATTCTGAAAAGGACAAAAAGAGACCCAGCTGAAAGAAGCTACAATTATTCTTGACATTTTAGAACGCACCTTTGCCATGTTCAGAATATTCTGTCACAGGCTTTAAATAAGAACTATTACAGGAGAAAGTCTGGGCAGAAGTCTCCTTTTGAAAGAGAGCTCACCTGTTTCCAGCCTTGCCTCAAATTGAAACAGATTTAACAACTGATTGAAAGGTTTTTATTTCACCCTAGTGAAATACATTAGTAACTCCTTCTAGCTTTATGCTGATTAACTTATGATGAAGAAATGAAATGGGGAAATACAAATTTTTTGTTAAGAGACTAGAAAGAAACAGGTCACTCAGGCTAGTATTAGGTGCAAGCTTATTAATGATATATTTTCTTCTTTATACGGCTCTGCTTTCTTCAGTTTTTCTTCAATGGGCATATGTTACTTTTATATTCAAAAAAGTTGTCAAAAAAAGAAAAAGAAAGAAAAATATTACTATTAGTCTTTAACTTGCAAAAGTAATTTTAAAAAGGCAAAATACAGTTACTGGTTATTGTTGGCTTTTTTCTTTTTTCTTTTTTTTTTTGGTTTATGAATGTTCAATTGCTCCAGCACCACCTGTTTATCTATTTTATTTTATTTTATTTTATTTTATTTTATTTTATTTTATTTTATTTTAAACAGGGCCTCATTCTATCACCAAAGCTGGAGTGCAATGGCACAATCATACCTCACTGCAGCCTCAAATTCCTGGGCTCAGCCTCCTGCCCCAGCCCCCCAGGTAGCTGAGACTCTAGGCACATGCTTCCATGCCTGACAAATTTTTAAATTTTTTGTAGAGATGTAGTCTCATTATGTTGCCCAGGCTGGTCTTGAACTTCTGGCCTCAAGCAATCCTTCTGCCTCTGCTTCTCAAAGTGTTTGGGATTACAGGCATGAGCCACCGTGCCTAGCCATGGTGATTTGCTTTGACAGGTATGTGGGTGATGTCTTTTTGTTTTTTCTTTCAACTCTTACGTAATTTTCAAATTTTCTCCAAAGAACAAGTATTTTAGTTAACAAAACTTGGAGGAGCAATGGAAATTTAGAAAGAAAATGTTGCCTTACTCAATTTTAATTGTCTGGAAAGTAAGGTACAAGATTGTCATTTTAATCAGAAGAAGAATGAGCGAACTGGTCCCAAGGTGCTTCTTGAGGACAAATGGCAAGGACTAGGGAGCTTCTACCTGTGGCCAGCGGTGGGTCAGGAAGATCTTACAGTCACCAAGCAGTATGGATTTGAAGGCCTCCAAAAGCCTGTACTCCAAAACCTCTTTTCTTTCCTAAAAGAACACCCATACAAGCTTCTTGATGCCTCTGATGTTACTGCCATTCCAGTCATTATTTCTTCATCGTCTATGAATGTGTTCTCTGGAATTGCCCCTCTTAAAATGTAAATGTCCTTGAGAAAGGGATTAGCAGCCACTGGCAATTCAGGAAGATTAAAGGTGCTGTGAGAACATAGGCTAGACCCAGGCTCCAGCTCCGAGGCTTTCTCTATGTAGTAGTGAAGTCTTGTACACATTAACTTCTATTGAAATCAATTTCTCTTCTATAAAATGATCACCTAAGAGATTGTTTTGAACACTATGGAAAAATTGAAGTGATTGAAATCATGACTGACTGAAGCAGTGGCAAGAAAAGGGGCTTTGCCTTTGTAACCTTTGGGGACCATGACTCCATGGACAGGACTGTCATTCAGAAATACCACACTGTGAATGGCCACAGCTGTGAAGTTAGGAAAGCCCTGTCAAAGCAAGAGATGGTTAGTGCTTCATCCAGCCAAAGAGGTCGAAGTGGTTCTGGAAACTTTGCTGGTGGTCTTAGAAGTGGTTTCAGTGGGAATAACAACTTTGGTCGTGGAGGAAACTTCCGTGGTCGTGGGGCCTTTGGTGGCAGCCGTGGTGGTGGTGGATATGATGGCAGTGGGGATGGCTATAATGGATATGGTAACGATTGAAGCAATTTTGGAGGCAGTGGAAGCTACAATGATTTTGGCAATTACAACAATCAGCCTTTAAATTTTGGACCCATGAAGGGAGGAAACTTTGGAGGCAGAAACTCTGGCCCCTATGGTGGTGGAGGCCAATACTTTGCCAAACCACATAACCAAGGTGGCTATGGCAGTTCCAGTAGCAGCAGTAGCTATGGCAGTAGCTGCAGATTTTAATTAGGAAACAAAGCTTTGCAGGAGAGGAGAGCAAGAGAAGTGACAGGGAAGCTACAGGTTACAACAGATTTGCGAACTCAGCCAAGCACAGTGGTGGCAGGGCCTAGCTGCTACAAAGAAGACAAGTTTTAGACAAATACTCATGTATATGGGCAAAAAATTCGAGGACTGTATTTGTGACTATTTGTATAACAGGTTATTTTGGTTTCTGTTCTATGAAAAATGTAAAGCGTTCCAACAAAGGGTTTTAATGTAGATTTTTTTTTTTGCACCCATGCTGTTGATTGCTAAATGTAATAGTCTCATCATGACGCTGAATAAATGTCTTTTTTTTTTAATGTGCTGTGTAAAGTTAGTCTACTCTGAAGCCATCTTGGAAAATTTCCCCCAACAGTGTGAAATTAGAATTCCTTTAGGGTGATGCCAGATTCTATTTGGAATTTATATACAATCTGCTTGGGTGGAGAAGCCATTGTCTTCAGAAACCTTGGTGTAGTTGAATTGATAGTTACTACTGTGACCTGAAGTTCACCATTAAAAGGGATTACCCAAGCAAAATCATGGAATTATTGGTTATAAAAATGATTGTTGACACATTCTATGCAATATATCTAAATCGAATCATGGTACCAGATAAAATTATAGATGGGAATGAAGCTTGTGTATCATCCATTATCATGTGTAATAAATAAACGATTTAATTCTCTTGAAAGTAAATAAATAAATAAAATGAAGGAGTGGCTCCTTATGAGCCTCCTTGCATCTGAATTCCATCAGCATAAGTTCTCAGTTTAAACGGCTGCCTCCTTGAAACAGTGCCGAGGGAATGGACAACAAGATGGACAAGTATTCATGCGGGCAACAAGGGGAAAGGAAAAATTCAGGAGGCTGAGATATTTCAGAGGAGCCAAATTAGCCCAAGTGAACTGGGCACTGTCATGTGCCCCAAGAGCAGATCATCTCCCCAAAGAAAAATTCTCTCCACTTCACAGCTTTTCCTAAATTGGTCTTAATTCTGAATCAAGAGCCTCAGTTCAATTTTTTATCTCAGGACACCATCATATTATGTGTGGATTTTTTAAATGACATTTTCCAGAGGAATGACCGAGAGTGATAACTCTGTTAATATTCTTGCAAAATGAGGGTCTTAAAAATCCATGGTCATTCTCCCATATGTTTACACAAACGGGGCAATGGGAGCTTCTTTCTCATCGCAAATTCATCACAAATGAGAGGGGAGAACACATACATCAATAGTATGCTTTTCTGTAATGATAAAGGAAAGGTTTGTTTTTTCTCCTCCACCGGAAACAAGGAGACTTATTAATGAGGAAGCAGGAAGGCAGCACCAGTTTAAACAGGAATGAATCAAAGACAGAAGAAAGAAACCAGGTGTTTTCCTCCCAAATGATGTTATTTTCTTAGAAGAAAAGTATTTTCATAATTTGAATGCATTTTCTGCTGCTACTCAATTATCCTTCTATTTTTTATTTCTATGAATGAAACAGCCATCTATGGATCAATATGACATAATTAATCCTGCAGCTTTTCATTATGGATCCCCCTGTGTTGGACCTAGATTCGGCCTATTACTGCTTGAATGGCAACGTGCTTAGCCCATCCATAAAGAGGATCTTGTTCTAAAATTAAAAGTTTGCTTTTACCAACTCTCTCTTAACATTATCAAGTTTCCTACACTGATTTGTCACAGCCCCACTGGCTAGACTTCTCTCAAACTAGATGAACTGAATCATAAGATTACTCTGTGGGAACTGAAAGCCTAAAATAAATTGAGATGATTCATTCTGGAGCCCTTTGCTATTTTAGGATTTTCGGACAAGCTTCCTGGCATTCAGAAGTAAAAAAACGAGCCCAACTTGGCACCTTGATTTGTTAACTCAGAGAGATCCCGTCAGTCCTGCCCTGAATTCATGTGGAACTCAATGATGCCAAGGTGATTAAGAGGGAAAATGTTGCCACATCACTGCTGAAGTTTTGTATGTCAATTCATCATTTGTTTTTTTGAGATAGCTAGCATGCCAATATGATTAAAGGATACCCAAAATAGATTACATTAAGATTACCTTAACAGAATCAATTAAGAGTAATAAGATTATAACTCATGGAACCAGAAATAAAATTATTTTTACCATAAGTAAGCCAACCATTCCTCTGGACATGAAGTCTAAACAATAGATCAGTAAACACTATAAGGTCAAGTCATAGCCAATCTTTAAAAAGTAAACAAACTAACCAACCACTTAAAGCATGTGCCTTCTGAGTAGTTTTTCCAGCAGTTGATGAATTTAGACTGTTTTATCCACACTCTCATCAATTTCTTCTCCTGACCAATGCTACATATTTGTAAGATGGTAAAACAAACCTAGTATAAGACATTAGCTACTGAGAACTGACCAACACAGGCACTGACCCAGAGACGTGGGCTGTGCCTCCATCTTGTGGGAAAACACACATTTGACAGACCACAGGCATGACAGTAAGCTACTAAACCTGGGAGCCCACACCTCAAAGTAAACAGCATAATTTAAGTGGTATATTATGACAATGGAACAAAAATCTGAACATAACCAGTACTAAAATTTTTTTTAATCTTTGTCTTTTTGCAAGCAATCTCTATGTGTCGGTCTGTTTTACATTGCTATAAAAAAAATACCTGAAGCTGGGTAATTTATAAAGAAAAGAGGTTTATTTCGCCTACTGCTCTGGAGGTGGTACAAGAAGCATGGTGTCAGTATGTGGGCTTCAGGGAGCTTCCATTCATGGCAGAAGGTGAAGGGGAGTAGGCATCACATGACAAGAGAGGAGGAAGACTGAGGGGAAGAAGGTGCTAGGCTCTTTTTAACAATCAGATTTCGCAGGAACTAATAGAGAGAGAACTCACTCATTACCGCAAGGATGGCACCAAGGTGGTCATGAGATCTGCCCCCATAACCCAAACACCTCCCACTAGCTCCAACAGGGGGATCAAATTTCAACATGAGATTTGGAGGGGGCAAATATCCAAACCATCACATTCTGTTTTTGCAAAGTATATTCAAAATATCCCATAAGCCAAAACCTAGGTTGGTTTTCTCAACACTAATAACAGTATAGCTAACGCCTATACAGTACCTACACGTGCCAGATACCATTCTTAATGATTTATGTAAATTAAGTCATTTAACTCAAACTAACTCCACCTGTATTATTTCAACCAAATTCTGGTGCTTGGTTGATTGTCAAGAATACTGTCTTTGAGCAAACGGGTTCCTTATTCTAGGCCCTGCCCTTTAAAAGGCCTTAGTCTACTCCTTCTCCAGCCATGCCCTTCCCATATCCATAGTCTGTAAAGAACCAGGAGAACATGCCCACCGGAGCCAATACTTCTAGATACAATCCTAGTACCTGAGACCTGAGACTCTACGTACACATCATAGAGCCTGCTTCCCAGACCTGAGCAGGCCTGTTCCCTTGGAGCTGATAGTTGTTGAATGGATGTACTGAAAAGGATGTGAATAAATTATTTAATTAATTGATTAGCACACAAACATTAGTGTGTGATTTTTTAAGAATCTCTTGTGATTGCCAGGAGAATTTTTTTTTATTTTGCCTCCTGATTTCTTATCTCTTTTCTGGAAAAGCGAGGCTGTCCATTTAGGCAACGTGTCCTACAAATTACAATACAAAAAGCAGCACTCAGTGGAAACAAATTTGTGACAGTGGCATTTTGTCTGAGAATTTAAAATTCTTTAAAATATTGATTTAAAAAAATTAATTCTTAAATACTTGACTCTTTACAGATAAGGGATCCTCTTCCAATAACATTTCATTATGCTTTTCAAAAAATACTCCCAGTATTTTCAGTTAGCAGACAGAATAATTAACCAAATTTCTAAATACCTTTCTGTTCTTTGGCCTCCTGTAGTAGATGCAATATTTCATCTCTTAGTCATTTTAGCCAGGGTCCTTTCTGATTGTTTTATGACTTAATTACAATGATTACATCATGTTTATAGACTATGCCTGCCCAGCACAGTGCAAGCTTTCATATCACACCCTTAACAGAGAAGAATCAATGGGTATGCTTGCTGGATACAAAATCAACTAATGGGCTACAACTGTGAAGCAGGAAGCTTTTCCAAGAAAACATACAACATCATTAGTTGAGGAGACTGTATCTCATACAGCAAGACTTGGTGTCTGCTTTTCAACCCAGAGACTTCAAACAGACCTAATAGATCTTTTAGTCTTCATTTAAGGAAAGCTCAGGGTGCAGA
Source organism: Homo sapiens (assembly GCF_000001405.40). Taxonomy (NCBI): domain Eukaryota; kingdom Metazoa; phylum Chordata; class Mammalia; order Primates; family Hominidae; genus Homo; species Homo sapiens. The sequence continues at coordinate 24,006,707 of NC_000006.12, forward strand.
ATCCAGCATCCCTTGTTTTTTCTCATCACTATGACAAGTAGTAGCAATCTTGTGGGAAAAAAAAAATGCCAGGAGAGTATCATGAAACTAGCTGCACTCAAATATAAAAACGGTATTTTTTTTCTTTCTTGGATTTGCTTCATACCCTGGAAGCAACCAGCTAATTTATATACGCCCAAGCCTAGACCCAGATTCAAGACTTCCCTGTCCCAAGTTGCTGGGAAGACTATCACAGCACATTTTAGAGCAGAGCTTCTGAACTAGGAGAGATTCTGCACACGCAGAGGACATGTGGCCACGTCTGGAGACATTTTTGCTGGTCATAACTCCAGGTAGGAGGAGAGGGTCAAACTGGTATCTAGTTAACAGCCCACAATGCACAAGACAGCCCCCCACAGCAAAGAATTGTTCATCTCAAAATGCCAATAGTGCCAAAGTTAAGAAACGCTGTTTTAGAAGGACAAAGGCGGGTGAAAACAATGCAGAATGCTGCTAGTGTTGAGACATGAATGGTTTCCCCTCTCAGGTGTTCCTACCCACATACCCCAAGAAAAACTTAGATTGTTTATGGAGTCAGGTTGGGACCACACAAATTGAACTTGTGGGTGGTGCAGAATCAAATATAATTCTGTGTTGCCATAGAACACCTTTCCCTATGGAGATCAAAATGCTTTTCAGAGAGAGTTATTCCATGGGGAGAGGGAACTGAGAGTCGCAGGGATCCATATTTCACAGGTGAGAAAACAGGAGGCCAGGAGAGGTTATCATTTGCTCAAGGTTATTCCATGAATCACATTCAGAGCTCAGCAAATGAAGAGAGGCCAGACACAGGAGAGAATTCTGAAAGAATGTAAAAGGACAGAAAATGATCTTGGCTGTATGTCATTTTGGTGGCACAAATCTTTTCTATATCCTGAGCTCCTGGTGTCAAGAAAAGCAAGGTCTCCCGTACGGGACAGCTTGTGGGTTTCTCCCCAGAAGTAGCAGCCCCTGAGGAATCCCTCATCTCCTCCCTGCTAACCAAAGTGTCCTCACCTGACAAACCCAATTCCCAGGGCTATTTTGCAGATGTTTATACTGTCAGCTGATTTAATGGACTGCAGAAATGAGCAGGTCTGTTCGTTAAAATAGTCATCATAATGAAAAAGATGGGCGACATCTGCCCTTATTCTCTGTCAGTCTGTCACATCTCTGTAGCTCCTTCTGATCAATCACTGTGGTATGCATTATGTAAACGCCAAAGATGAAATGTCAGCCTACGTATTTAATTGTTCTTATAAGTCTTATGGGAAGATGACTGGTGGGCCCTGCTGTTTCCCTTTAAAACCAGCATTAATTGGCACCTTTGTTATCTAGCCATGGAGATCCTAATTGGAATGGTTTTAAGGCTCCAGTAATGCTTTTAATGGGAAACATGATTCAGGATGATTCTTACTAGATGGAAAAGTGCAGGGAAATCTCAGAAACTCTATGATCCCAGTAATATTTGATCAAGAATATTCACGGACACTAGGTCTCGTATATTTGTTCACAAGGTAAAGAGGAATCCAAAAAAGCCTGGAGGTGAACACTTTCTATTTTCACCTAAGAAACAAAGGAACCCTGTAGAAAGAGGGGAAGCATATTCCCAGATAACTGGGGCATACAAAGTGAAGGGGTCATTTTCTCCCACCAATTCCTGGGCTACGTTGGGTAGCATGCATTTGTCCATCTTCAGGGGCAGGATCATGATATAAGAATGGACTTTGTCATCAAATACCCTACTGGGCCATGAATCTTCCTTAAGATATCTCCAATAACAAAATTTATGTTTCTGCTTTAATATTTTCAATGAGGAGGCATTCACTGCTTTCTAGGATTCCATTTAGATGGGAGTCATTTAAAAGGATAAAAGATGCAAACCCTGAAATATCTCAGTGCATTCAGCATAACATAAACAGTATTACTAAGAATTTTCTATCTATAAATACAAACTCTCTTGTTCAACTTACTTAAAGTGAAAAAAAATTTGAAGCTGCCTTCAAGTCTCTATAATCAAATTTTTGTCTTATTTGCAAATATACACAGTATATGAATTAACTTATTTTCATCCCGGAGGACAAGTAATTTTTAACCTACCCTGTGCTAAGAGAAAAGATTTTCCCTACCCTCAAATTAGGTTCTGTCCCATCCTACACACAAGAAAGCTGGGAATGCAATGGCAGTGCAAAGCCTACTACCAAGATAAAACTCAATACTGAAAATTCCAAACTTCCACTTAGTTCCATATTCAATATGATCCATGTATGATTATTGGAAATAAATGGCTACATAAAGCTGCTGAAACAAATACAATGAGGTAAATGGCAAATGAGACCACCTATGATATTTGAAATAAAAGTTTATTTTCTCATGCAAGATAAACTATAATTATTACATGAGACAGCTGGAGGTTCTCTTGTGTTCCACTTAAATGGGACTTCAGACATGAATAGAGCTGTGTCTCTTCGTTCTGTATTTACTTAAAGATGGATAACAAGAAGCTACCATATTGCCCCTAGGTTTTCTCTCCTTGTTTATTTGAAAAAGTGCAAGCAATCCATTAAGGTTAAAGAGATAACATTAAGGAATGCAGCTGCGATGGTTGTACAGTAGATTACTCTGGTCTGAGCTTAATCTAGGGACTTGTTTAAAAAAGCTTTTCAATTTTAATTAAAATGAAATGGGCCCTGGAAGAAAATGCATCTCCTCCAGCGAGGATTGTATTCAGCTTGTTCTCTGTAATTTTGCCCATCACACTGTTGGTTGTTGCTTTTTCCACAGCTCTTAAATGGTGTCTAAATTGACCGGCTCTGTTGCCAAGGAAACGGACAGGACAATGCTAATAGAAGCTACTTAGGACACACTGTGAAAGGCTTAGAAATAAAATTGTTTGACATGAAAGGCACCATGTCAGCAGCCAGGCAACTCTGTTAAAGGCTGTACTAAGCAGAAGATAGGTACATGTCTCCCCTCCTCTTTTCCCTCAAAATCTCTTCTAGAAAATGGATTCTGTCCTAGGAGCTTGGACAGCTTTTCCTATCACAATCACTTTATCTTTCTAACTCAAAGTAGAGAAAAATCTTTATGTTGTGGTGTTGAAGCACCCAGAATAGACTTCAATTTATACCCATGGAAATGAGCTGCTTTTTTTTTTCTTTCTAGCAACAAAGTCCTTTCGTCTCATGAATAAATTGCAAATATTCTTCTGAATTTTCTAAGATTGTTAATTAAAATCCACTTGATTTAAGCTGCTTCTCCCATTTTGCACTGACAAACCATAAATTATGGAGGAGGTCAAAGAATGAATGGCAATTTGACATGAAGAGGTTGATTTATTGCTTCAGAAGGATTTTTATACCAGATGTGGCAGAAGTCATAAATTAAATGCTAAATGTTATGTATTATTACGCTTTCAGGAATATAAATGTGTCTAAAATACTATGCAGGTGGAATGATAAAAATATGAATCTACTCTCCTGGCAATTTTAAAAGGCCCTTTAAAGCTGTCAAAAAGAAAATAAGCTGAAAAACAATCTAGATAGACCCCTTAGATGCCTTTTACAGCCTGCCCCTGGTTTATAAAAGCAACCTCCTCCTGTAATACGCTGGACATTGGCTTGTGGTGGCTTGGATGGAAAAGAGCTAAAGAATTCTTTCATCTGGAAAAAAAAAAAAAGAGGAAGTGAGATAGAAAAAAAAAGGTCCAGAGAGATCTGTGCTTCTGTGACATTATGACATGCGTCCAGATAATTATTTCTCATCCATCCCTCTATAGATGACCATAATTTAATTTATCAACCATCATTTGAAAGCCAATTTGGACACAATAAAGCTTGCCTAGCTTCACCTAGCAGCTGCAGTGGCTATAGTTATTGAATTTTAAAATATAAAAACAGGAAAAGCTTCTGGTATGTGAAAGCTTGGAGCTGGAAATAACAGCAGTAGAAAAATTCACTGGGTGGCAGAAGTTGTGAATGCAAGGACTCAGTTTGAGGTGGAAACCCATTTTGATCTTGCAATTGAGTGGTAGAACTCAAAGCAAAGGCCGATAGACGGCTGAAGCCCAGGGTTACAGTCCTTCTGGGCACAAATGTGGAAGAGGTGGTTTGTCTGACTCCAGCATCCTTTTTCCCACCACTATATCCCCATCTCCTAATTCCCCACCCCTCCAAGGCCCAGATAAACAGTCTCCACTTGTTCAGGACTTCAACGGAGATATTCCACTCAGTCCTGCTTATGCCAGGTTTGAAAATCACCTCCCTGTCTAGCGTGCGCCCCAGTCCCATGAGGAGTAGACAGGCAACTGCATCCTTGACATCCATGTGGAACATTAGCCCCACTGGCAGGAGCTCCACATGGTGCCTGTGCACCATGCCCATCTAATGTTCACCTGGTCCCTGGTGAGAAAAGCCTCCTGATATGATTTGGCTCTGTGTCCCCACTCAAATCTCTCCTTGAAATGTAATAATCCCCACATGTCAAGGGCAGGACCAGGTGGAGATAAATGAATCATGGGGATGGTTCCCCCATGCTGTTCTTGTGATAATGAGTGAGTTCTCATGAGATCTGATCATTTGATCATTTCCCCATTTTGCTCTGCGCTACTCTCTCCTGCCACCATGTGAGGAAGAACATGTTTGCTTTCCCTTCCACCATGATTGTAAGTTTCCTGAGGTCTCCCCAGCTATGTGGAACTGTGAGTCAATTAAACTTCTTTCCTTTATAAATTACCCAGTCTCGGGTATGTCATTATAGCAGCGTGAGAACAAACTAATACACTCCCTGAGCAAAACAGGTAACAAAACATGGCCATTTTCCTGAGTCATCTCAGAGTTCTCTGCCATGGCTCCTCACTGGATACACTTGCTGCCTCCACCCTGCTAGAGAATGGCCTCATGGAAGACATGGGCCAGTTGCACCATGCACAAGGGACAAAGCCACAGAGATTGAGAGTGCATGTGTTAAGAACACTCCGAAGGAAAGTAAGGGTCTCCAAGGCATTTGGTGCTTTCAGGATGGTTGCCAGATTTAACAAATTTAAATACAGGACACCCAGGTGAATTTGATTTTCAGATAAATGAGGAATAATTTGTTAGTATAACTACATCCCATGCAATACTATGGACATATTTATACTATTTTCAAAAAGTTTAAAAGACAGTGTCATTGTTTAAATACAAATTTAGCCAGGTATCTTGTATTTTATCTAGCAACTCTAGGTCTGAGGCAATGCCAGTTAACTTAAGATGATCACTACCTCATATCAGCAACGGTTGGCAGCATCTTGATAAAGAACATCTCCATTTCACAGCCACCATGCAGCCATCACTCTAGCATCAAGCTTCTGCTCCAAGCAAAATCATATTTCTAGTAATTCCCACCACCAAATCAACAGGATCATGGTTCAGGTATAGTGTGGGAAAACTAAATCAGGAAATTAGGACAATGCTCAAAAAGTGTAGGAAAAAAAGAAGCGCTGCTTATACCACAAGCTTTTCAGAGAGCCATCAAGCTTTCCTCTCTTTGAACAACGTGGTAATAAATGACCAGGCACAAAAGGCAAATGCTAGGTTGGGCCAGGAAACACAATAGTAGCCCCCTCAGCCTGTGTTCCCAGCATCATTTCTCCCCAGCTCCAATGAAGGTCATTATGACAGACCTTGGTCAGTGCTGACTTTCTTTTGGATCCCAAGAATAAAAGCAGGGGAGACATTCTATTCTACACATATACACAATCTTATCAACACCCAACAAGAATTATGTGTTCAAAAAGAAATTCCCTAAAAGGACACCTGTCAAAACAACTTCAGAAAAATCTCTTTTTCATGTCCCTGTAAGAAAAAAGTAAACTTCCCTTTGAAAGGCCCTTCTCCATTCCTCAAAATATTTAACATAGAATTTCCATATGATCCAACAAGTCCACTCCCAGTTACATATTCAAAAAAACTGAAAACAGGAACTCAAACATATTTGTACACCAGTGTTCATTGAAGCATTATTATCAAATATCCCAATATGGGAAACAACCAAGATGTTCATCAATAGATCGATGGATAAACAAAATGTGATATATCCATAGACTGGAATATTATTTAGCCCTAAAAAGTTATAAAGGTCTGATATGTGCTACAACATGAATAACCTTAAAAATATCACACTAAGTGAAAGAAGCCGGACACAAAGGGATAAGTATCATATGACTCCATTTACATGAGGTACCTAGGATCAGCAAATTCATAGAGACAGAAAGTAGAATAGCAGTTACCAGAGAGTGGGAGAAGGGTATGAGAGGGTTATTGTTTAAGGGTACAGAGTATCTGGAATGATTTTTAAAAGTTTTGGAAAAAGTTTGCTTCCATTTTATGAGACTGCTTTCAAATTAGCACCCACATTCTATAGAAATGGAAAGAGAATCCTGGAAGATTGTAATTTCCCTCTCAAGAAAGGAAGAAGGACAACAGATCACATGTCCATAAAGAGTACTTATTAGGTTCAAGCCATTTATAGTACATGTTATTCGGCACAACATACTTGTCAAATTTGGATAAAAGGCTAAAAGCGAGTAGCAGTTCCAATCAATTATTTTCAGGTCCTCAAGCAAACATGATAGAAGAGTGTAGGCAAAGCATGAGAAGAGAAATAGCATGGTGCCCAACACCATGATTTTTCAGGCCATGACCTTGGCTGGCCTTCCGTATTGAAGAAAAAAAACAAAGAAGCTCTACCGGGACCAGAGAATGGTTCCAGAAATCAAGGATTCAAAAGTGCATCATAGCCTCTAAAGTTAGGCAAAGTTAACATTAGCTATGTTAGACCACAGAGAAAATATGCCTCATCCAGAGATGCCTACAACATAAAAATTGCTCAATAAGGAACCATTATCGCCATCACAGTTTCAGAACTCTGCTAAGTATATGTGGCTTAAAGAACAGTGGGGGAAAAAAACAAAGAGAATTATGACACTGCAGGAGGTGAGTGGAGGTAAGCAAAGTGAGGCACATGTCAAAGTAAAGATAAATAATAGTTCTGACATGACATGTTGATATGGTTTGGCTGTGTGTCCCCACCCAGATCTCATCTTGTAGCTCCCATAATTCCCACATGTTGTGGGAGAGACGTGGTGGGAGATGACTGAAACATGGGGGCGGGTCTTTCCTGTGCTGTTCTTATGATAGTAAATGGGTCTCAAGAGGTCTGACGGTTTTTTAAAACAGGAGTTTCTCTGCACAAGCTCTCTCTTTGCCTGCTGCCATCCCTGTGAGATGTGACTTGCTCCTCCTTGCTTTCCACCATGATTGTGAGGCCTCCCCAGCCACATGGAACTGTAAGGGTAATAAGCCTCTTTGTTTTGTAAATTGCCCAGTCTCAGGTATGCCTTTATCAGCAGTGTGAAAATGGACTAATACACAAGTTATGTTTGAAAAATAATAACTGTATTTTGTTTTACCAAGTGCTATCTACATGCCAGGCACTGTGCTCAAAGTTTATATGTGTTATCTTTAACAATTACAGCACTTCTAAAAGGATGGTATGATTAGCCCCAGTGAGGTTCTTGAGGCTTAGGGTGAGGCAATAATTTCTGCAAGACCTCAGGATGATAAGTGGTGAAGACTAGGTTACACCCTCTGCCTGGGTCCAAAGCCCTTCTTACCTTGCCATTCTGCCACTCTTCCACTTGGATAGGTATTACAAATAATTTCTCCTGTGAACTTTTACAAATATCATTGTATTTATCCACAAAGTCCTATAATATTGGAAAAACATAGTACTCTCAATTTGCAATGAAGGAAATCTTGACTTGGAGAGACTGAGCAATTAGCTCAAGGCCACCTGGCTAATAAGGAGCAGAATGGGGACCTCACTCCAGATGGTGGGCTTCTAATTCCATTACTCTTCTCAGCCCATAACACAACCTTGGAAAGAGGAGGCCCAATACCTGCCCGTTGGACAGAAGTTCTAAAATGCATCCCCTTTTAGGTTTAAAATAGGGTGACCATTTATAATTTGTCATCCAAACACAGAAAGCATGAAAGGGGGTGCTATTAGTTGTAATGCTAAGCAAGGGGTATAAAGTGGATTTTCTGGGCAAGCTGAAGACTCCTCATCAATCCCTTTAGAGGAAACAGCCCTGGCCATTGCTCTCATGAAATTATTCTTCCTGACACAGGTGTAAAAATAATTTATATTGTTTCCTGGCTTTTTTTTTTTTTTTTTTTTTTTGGAGATGGAGTCTCACTCTGTCGCCCAGGGTGGAGTACAGTGGTGCAATCTCAGCTCACTGCAAGCTCCACCTCCCGGGTTCATGCTATTCTCCTGCCTCAGCCTCCCAAGTAGCTGGGACTACAGGTGCCCACCATCACTCCTGGCTAATTTTTTTTTTATTTTTAGTAGAGACGGGGTCTCACCGTGTTAGTCGGGATGGTCTCAATCTCCAGGCCTCGTGATCTGCCCGCCTCAGCCTCCCGAAGTGCTGCGATTACAGGCATGAGCCACCATGCCTGGCCTGTTTCCTGACTTTTTAATGATCACCATTGGAACTGGAGTGAGATGGTATCTCATTGTGGTTTTGATTTTCAGTTCTTTAATGACCAGTGATGATGAGCTTTTTTCATATGTTTGTTAGCCACATAAATGTCTTCTTTTAAGAAGTGTCTGTTCATATCCTTTGCCCACTTTTTGATGGAAGACAGTGTGGCAATTCCTCAAGGATCTAGAACCAGAAATACCATTTGACACAGCAATCTCATTACTAGGCATATACCCAAGGGATTATAAATCTACTATAAAGACATATGCACACGTATGTTTATTGTAGCACTATTTACAATAGCAAAGACTTGGAACCAACCCAAATGCCCATCAATGATAGACTGGATGAAGAAAATGTGGCATATATACACGTGGAATACTATGCAGCCATTAAAAAGGATGAGTTCATGTCCTTTGCAGGGACACGGATGAAGCTGGAAACCATCATCCTCTGCAAACAAACACAGGAACAGAAAACCAAACACTGCATGTTCTCACTCAGAAGTGGGAGTTGAACAATGAGAATACATAGACACAGGGAGGGGAACATCACACACCAGGGCCTGTTTGGGGGTGGGGGGTAAGGGAAGGGATAGCATTAGGAGAAATACCTAAGCTAGATGACGCGTTGATGGGTGCAGCAAACCACCATGGCATATGTATACCTATGTAACAAACCTGCATGTTCTGCACACGTATCCCAGAACTTAAAGTATAATAAAAAATAATAACAATAATTTATATTAGACTCAATTTAACTGTTTTGACATCAGGTGGAGAAAATCTTTTTGAAGCGGCCATGTATGCCTCATGCTCCATTTGCCTTTAACTGTGAGAAGTTCACTCTTTCCTAGAATAGTGGTCAGCAAACAACAGCCTATAGTCTAAATTCTGCTTACTTGCTGACCAGTTTTTTGTTTGCTTTTTGTTTTGTTTTGTTTTTAAAAACAGAGTCTCACTGTGTTGCCCAGGCTGGAGTGCAGTGGTGCAATCTCCGCTCACTGTAGTGTCAACTTCCCGGGCTCAAGAAATCCTCTCACCTCAGTCTCCCAAGTAGCTGGAAACACAGGTGTGCACCACCACACCCAGCTAATTTTATTTGTATTTTTTGTAGAGATAGAATTTTGCCCTGTCACCCAGGCTGGTCTCAAACACCTGGGCTCAAGCAATCCTTCCGCCTCAGCCTCCCAAAGTGCTGGAATTCCAGGCATGAGCCACCAAACCTGGCCTGCTTCTTTTGTAAATAAAGTTTTATTGGAACCGGTTGTGCCCATCTGCTTACACATTGTCTGTGGCTGCTTCTGTGCTACAACATAGCTGAGTAGTTCTGACAGAGTCCATGTGGCCCACAAAGCCTAAATAATTCACTGTCTCTCTTTTTACAGAGTGTGCCTACCTTTGTGAAATTGAAATCCAAACTCCTCAGCAAAGTATCTGAGGCCCTCCATGATCTTGCCGTGCCTCTGATTCAGGCTTTCAGCTTCATCTCTCCACAAACACCCACTTTGAACACTTTTCTCATTCCAAGCACCTGCCAACATTTTAAACAGTTCTTTGCATCCCCTTCTCCCTTTACTTAGAGTGCTCAGATTCCCACCTATTCCTTCTGAAGAGCTCTCTTCCAGGCTGTGGTGAGGTAAGTATTGTGAAGATTGAGTACTTAGAAAGATGTCTGACACACAGGAAGCACTCAGTCAGTGTTAAATACTATCATTATTACTGTCGTTACTGTTATTGTTATGTTACATGCAATATAAACAAGCTAGTCACCCACTTTTCCCATTTTTCATGTTGTCATCCATGAAACGATAAATCTAATATTGCATCATACAGAAAGACTGTGTTCGTAAACATTAGCACTAACTCAACACATAAAGTACCAAACACGTGAAGTTTTAATATTAAAAGATTTAGCTGTGCAAGATCTTCCCTCATTGTTGGTTCACCCAACCCAAGCCCTAACTACCCATATAAAAGAAGATAAATCAGCTGAAACCAGTCTGAAGACCAATTTGGGATCATTTCTGATGGTGGTATTGACAGTCTGAAATAGAGTACAGCTGAGTGCAATAGTAGCATAAAAGATGGTACCTTGAAACACCAGAGTAAGCTTTATAAACTGTTGCAGGATCTTCATTGTTTATTGAATCTATAGATTTATGATTTTTTTACCATCTTGTTTTACAGCAATTTCAACTTTTCCTTCTATATTTGTACCATTGAACAGAATATTAGTCGTGGAGTTTACTGATAGCAGGGGAAGAAAACACATGTTAAAAATACACACACCATGCACACCAAACGGATCTTTAATTTTAGGCTGTCATTTCTTTCAGTGAGTTCGTCTCAGGGTTTCCTGCAGTGTGAGTAATAACAGAGTGCCTGGCCTGCTTTTTTCTTATAGATGCACTGACACTGGAAACGTTCATCAGAGGGAAAGTTTCTCCCAAAGGCCTCACTGAGTAAAGAGCTATGAAAATCTGCACAGGAAGTCATATCACACAAATGTTTATGCCAAACTTGTCTTAGGCATCAAACACCTAATGCTTAATTTTGTAATTGATGACACTAAGACCTAATTATAAACAGATATTTGTTCAAAACCAGAATCGAAATTTGATGCTGAGATTAGTTGTTCAATTGCAAATCCGACTCTGCTGATCAATACGTGTTTTGGAGTTGATAGGGAAGGAAACACCTTCTCACTCCCCAAATTCCAGAATGTTGGAAAAAGTGTTTTAAAAGAAAATAAATTTTATGAGATATTGCCGAACTGAAAATGAGGAAAAGGAAATCCCCTAGTGCCAGAAGGAAGGAAGGAATTGCAAGACAAATGGAAAACTAATGTGCAGATGCCTCTCTGGGGCATCAAATGGGTATAGTGCCTAACAGCTTGAGTTGGGTCTCTAATATCTCTACCAGGAGGAACTGGCTGCCAAGATCACAGATTCTACTGAGTGAAAGTACCAGTAGTAATAATATCTCTGAAACAAGATCCAGAAAAACAGTCCCTAACAGCCCACATCAGGCAGGGAAGTTGCTACATATATAATTATTATTGTTATTCCTATTTTGCAAATGAAGGAAGTAAATTTTTCCCTAAAAGATTAACTGTGCAACACAGCTCAGGAATTGAGAAAGCACTGGGTCTTCATCAAAGAAGCAAATAAAGAATACATCTCAAGAAATAAGAGAAGCCTCTGCAATGGACAGACAGAGGACTGCTAATGCAAAACGGAGCAAATAGCCTAAGAAGGAAAGGTAACAATAATAGAAGTGGTAATAATAGCTAGTACCTGTGCTTACCAAGAACCAATTTCTACATTAGATGTTTAAATACATTATCAGATCATCCTTTTAAAAGCTCTGTGAAGTTATGTTCCTATTTAAAGGTTTGACAAATCAAAATATAGAGGCTTAGAGATGTTAACTGGTTACAAATTTCTATGGTTAGGAAGTGATAGAGTCAAGATTAGAATCCAGATGAGTCTGGTTCCAGAGCTTGAGCACGTAACTATCATGCAATACTGCCACAAACAGTAACAAACTCTCATGTCACCAGAGAACCATCAAGGGACATTCCTATGTTCCAGAGTTAAGCAGAAAGAGTGATGTATCAGAATATATAATATGCTTGTCTTCACTAGTTTTGAAGTCAGGCTGATTAACCATTCCTGTTTGTTAAATGCATTGATTGGAGTACTCACAGTCAAGCCTTACTTGGGCTAATTCAAAGCAACTCTGCTATTTGAGAGGGTCAAAATTCCAGGGATTGCTTTCGCTTATGACAGTTTCAATCTTATGGTCACTGGATGGGGCATTATTGTCTTTTTATAGCTGACAATACAGAGATTCAGAGAAATTGGATAATTCATTCAAAATTACAAAGTTGACCGGTATTTAAACTCAGGTCTTTTATAAGATACATGTATTCTGGATTAGCAAGCACCCACCCAGAGGTACATGACCACCATGAAAGGTCAAAACAAGCAACCCTTACCTTGCTTAACTTCAAAAATACAACATAAACTTGTCACTTATCTGTTTAAAAACGGAATTCTTTTTTGTTATCTTGACATGATGAACTGGTTGTTGACCAAATTAACATAAAGCCAAATTAAAACCAAAAGCAGTTAAATTAAATGTCTGGAGATCATACCAGCAAACCAGGCTTTCTAACTCAAGCCCAGTATTCTCCCACCCAGATCACACACCCTTGTGTTGTAGCATCTATTCTTCTTGGCATTCAGAGACAGAGATAAGTAGATGGTCTCATTTGTTTAATTGTACTGGTTTCATCTTGTATTTTCCAGCTTAGTATATTTCAAGAATTAGAGCCTCTAGGATTACATAAATCTCAGCAGGGAGAGGAAGGTCATCTTGCTGATGAGTAGTTATGATTTCTCCCCTTGTTTTTTATAATGTGCCTCATGATCTTTTGCAAAAGCCACAGTTTGAATCACATTTATAAAAATACCACTGAATTACACCCTCTAGGCAGGAAAATTGGTTTAGTGATTCATGATCTCAGTCTCTCTTTTCAGTATCCTGTTAATTCTATAATTTCATCATTTTTTCTTTTCCCTGCATTAGGAGGAGGTAAGGAAAGAAACAAGCAGAGAAAGAAAACACAAACCATATCATGATTTCCTGAGTGAATCAAACAAAAGCGATGTCACAAAACTGGGTTATATCCCATTAAAGAGACTATCCAGAACAATAGCATAGCCCATCAAGAAGCTTAACAGCTACTCCATCGTTGGCAAAAGAAAAAAAAAAAATGGTGTTGAGCCTAATGGGATTTTATCTCTGTAGTGGATGCACAGCTACAAGCAGCCAAAGAGTGGCGGAACAATGTAAGTGCTGATTCTTGAGATGCGGAAAACATAAGACCATCCTTCCATTTCTGAGTGGCAAGCTTTATATCTATAGTCCAGACCTCTCTCACACACACATATGTGCACACACACGTGCCCACACACACAAGCAAACCCAAATGGAAATGTTACATCATCAACTTCCAGAGTCATCTGGTTACTATTTTGTTGATTGCTTTACAATATTGAAAAGTATGTAGAAATCAGTTTGGAGTATCATATTTACCACTCTTGATGAATGACTGGAAAAGGAACCTGGAAGGTAACAAACACAAGCCCTATCATTCTTTTTGTACTCTGGGTTTACTCCATCCCCCAAATCAATTTGCTTTAGTCAAAAATTGAAGACAATTTGTGCTCACCCTTATTATAAATAGCAAACAATATAATGAATTTTGCTGAACATTACTGGGCTATATCACACTTCTCTAGCTTAGGAAAGGGAATCATGAGTAGGAAAGTGAGAAAGAGAGGAATTGTGAGCCTCTTTTAATCAACAACTAAAAGTGGATACACAGGGGAAAAGCCTCCACTACAGAAATACCAGAGTTTTTTCTCAAATTGTGTTCTGCCAATAGGGATTTTACAGTTCTAAGCTAATGGACTACCCCCACAACTGACCCCCTCTACAATTTACTCACATTTATTCTGAATCCTCTGTCTATTAGCCATATATAAAATCTCTTCACAGCAGGACTACTCTGGAAGGTCTCAGGTGATTATCAGTCTGTTGTAATCCACTCATTAATTTATTTAACAAGTATTTCTTGACCATGTGCTTTATTCCAGGAACTCTAAGATGCACTGGAAATACAAAAACCTGTAAATATTCTATTTTAGGAACACATGCAGTTAACTAGACAAAATTCCGTATGGTTCAATATTTTAAAATTAGACGTTATCCTACTTTGGAGAGATTGAAATTTGCATTTTCAGGAATATTCTTAACATCTAATAAAATTGAAGCAAGTGATATTTATATAGACTAAATTAGAAAAACAATCTCAAACACAATGTAACTGTTTCCTCCTCTTTGGCAGGGTCTGGTCTGTTCTGTTTAAAATATAAACCTCAAGTTTTATGTTTTGGGGTATAAAGCAAGCATCAAAAATTAGCATCCTCTTTGAATAAGGTCATCATTTAAAAATTAACAAACCTACCTTTATTCCTTTCTTCCCAAAATATTTCCTAAAATGAAAGGAACACACACTTTATATATTTTTTCTATTGTTTTTCAGATTATTTCACAGCTTGAACAATGGACCATTATTTTAATTATGCCTAGTATAGAAAAATGCTAAGAAAAACAGACAAGAGATGTCTGTTCTCTACTCCTTCTGGCCTCTCTTCCCCTTTCTTATAAAATCAAGTGTCCCATCTTAATGTAGGGAATGAGATTAGAAGGTGGTCCTCAACACCTATCCTGTGCCCATTTTGTTATCTATTAATTAGCCCTAAATCACACTGGTTGATAAGGTTTGACAACTCTTAGGACTGTAAACATTTTAGCTGGAGGTGAAGAAATATTGCCCCACCCAAATAAACCACCAGACACTCTAATGCGTGAGCACTGAAAAACTAAGTGAAAATCTCCAATGGGTTGAGTTCTTTCTCTTTTCCTTTCCTTCTTTCCTTCTTTTCTCTCTCTCTTTTGCTTATCTTTCTTTTTATCTTTCTCACTTTCTTTCAGCATGTATTTATTAATCTTTTAGTGCCTACACACTGCTGGGCATTGAGTATATAAAGTTGAAGAAATCAACATTGAAGAACTTCTGGAAGGCATCACTGGAGGATTTTTGTTTAAGTGAGATAGCTCCCCTACTCAAATGGCTAGTCATTCTGATACCCTCAAACTGATATTAAAAATAAACTATTAAGTTTTATCAACCAACTCTTGAAAACAACAGACTAATATCCACTGGCTAGAAAAACTGGCTGCTTGGTTTTGAAAATAAATTTATTTGAAACTCTTCTGCTTTTCCCCTGAAAAAGTTTGTGTTACAGGTTACAGATTTATCATCCTAACAATATACCATTTTTATCAGCAGGTATCTAATTTTCTTCCTTTTTGTTGGCAAAAAAAAAAGGCAGTTTGTGGTCCTATTATTCTTTTTGAATGATGTGGCAAGCAAAGCCCTTCAAATTTGTCTCCAGCTTCCATTCCAGCCTCATCTCTCATCACCTCCTGTTTCCCCAGGCCTCCCCACTTTGCCACTCCACTCTCAATTATGTGTGTTAAAGTCATCGAAGATTAAATGTGCAAACATCTCAAGCATTTTAATGCCTTCATAATTTTGATCCAGGAAACTTTTGCTTTAAAGGGGTTTCCCTGCCACTTTCTTGTTTACTCTGAAAACACCCAGCTTACCCTAATTTAAGTATGAAGTCAAGCGTTACCTTCTGTGTGAGACCCAGGGTTCTCTGATAACCCCACCATGCACACTCACACCCACTAGCAGAGTTTATCACACAGTTAGGGTGGTACAGTGTTCCATACAGCATCAGCCTTAACTGGCATACATAGGTTTCTGGTTATTTCTAATGAACTGGTAGGCAAGATCTATTGAATCTGATTTACCCATGGGTTTCAAACTAGAGATATGTCTTTAATTATTGTTGTTATCTGCTTTGTTATGCTTTGATTGTAAATTTTGGTGTGATTTCTTTGTCTGAAGATTATAAAGGAAGTGAGTTTGTACATATTTCTGAAAGGAGATGATGGAGAAAGCAAATGCAACATTTAGAATTTCAGTAATCTCTCTAGTTTTATAAACAGAGTTCAAGAAAATTATATCAGAGCCTACAGTAAGAGGAACTACAGGTTAAATCCAAAGGATCAACATTAATGAGGGACATAGTTAAGATTGCTGGCTCTGAAAATCCAAGGTAATCACAGCTGCCTAAATAGAAATCTCACCACGTTCTCCAAAACACTATACAGATCAACAAGTACAAATAAACTCACACAAATAGCATACTTTCAGCCTAAACTACAATTTTTAATTACTTGTATCTGGAAAAGTAAATACTGATTTCCAGCAAAGCTTTCTCTAAAACTCCCACCACAAGACTATTCAGAAAGCTGGGGTTGGAGAAGTGGGAGAAGGGGAGAAAGGGCAGGGGGTAGGGGATCCAGAAAAATTGTGCAGAAGACAGAAGGGAGGTTAATGAAGCTGAAATCATCCTAAGTGATGAAATGCATAGAGTCCTGGAAGATCCGAGAACTGACTCCAGGGAAAAGACTTTAAATTGGGTACAATACTTAAGGAGATGGTCATGAAAAGAAAAATCTTGGAGGAAAAGAGAATAAAAGGGAAGGAAGGAGATGCCCATTGGAGATTGGTCAAAGAAAAAAGTGAAAAAGGTTACTACAGAATCCTTCCATACAATATTTTTAAAATATGAAAAATGAAAGACAATCAACCCTATGACCAATCGCCCCTCCCTGCCCCACTCCCATGTCGTCTATTAAAGAAATTGCAATCTTCTACTCTGACAGAAGACGACAACCTTGGAGAACAGAGCTGGAAAACCACTGGCTATGGCTTGGCTGTGTCCCCACCCAAATCTTATTTTGAATTGTAGCTCCTATAATTCCCACGTGTTGTGGGAGGGACCCAGTGGGAGATCACTGAATCATGGGGGCGGTTTCCCCCACACTGTTCTCGTGGTAGTGAATAAGTCTCACCAGATCTGATGGTTTTATCAGGGGTTTCTGCTTTTGCATCTTCTCATTCTCTCTTTGCTTGCTGCCATCCATGTAAGACAAGACTTGCTCCTGCTTGCGTTCTGCCATGATTGTGAGGCTTCCCAGGCCCATGGAACTATAAGTCCAATTAAACCTCTTTCTTTTGTAAATTGTGCAGTCTCGGGTATGTCTTTATCAGCAGTGTGAAAACCGACTAATAACACCACCCCAATCTGCCAAGCCAGTCAATCAAATATATAGGTATGAGCAACTTTCTTCTATACAAAGCTACTATAAAAAAATGAAAAATTCTTCCAAATGAATAATTAATAAAACAAATAATTACGAAGTCAATGAAAATTGTAACACAATTGAAACCACTATTTATTGTCAATCTATTGGAGACATAAAAAGACACATAAAAGTAAAACTTCAAAGTTTAAGAACCCAAATGAGGGCTAAAACAAGAATTGATTTAAAAAAAAAGAGTTAGTTGATCTCAGGGAAGAAATATAGGGTGATAGCATATCCTAAAATCCAATTATATGGTGCCTATATCACATTCAAAATATGAATATTTAATGAGAAGCATTGAAGAAGAGTAGAAAAACAGTAAATATACCCAGCGAGGTGGCTCATGCCTGTAATCCCAGTACTTTGGGAGGCCAAGGCGGGCGGATCACCTGAGGTCAGGAGTTCCAGACCAGCCTGGCCAACATGATGAAACCCTGTCTCTACTAAAAATACAGAAAATTAACCAGGCATGGTGGTGGATGCCTGTAACTCCAGCTACTCAGGAGGCTGAGGCAGGAGAATCGCTTGAACCCCAGAGGCAGAGGTTGCCTCTGTCACTGCACTCCAGCCTGGGTAACAAGAGTGAAACTCCATCTCTAAATAAATAAATAAATAAAACTTAAAGAAGTAAAAAGGATCAGAGAGAAATTGGTTGAAAGGAGAAATAGGCAAAGAACAGTCAACATAGGAATAAGTAGAGTCCCTGAAGAATAAATCAATGCAATAAAATAAAACTAATATTTTAAACTGTAATTCAGGAAAGCTTTCCAGAAATACAAGATAATCTGAATCTACATATTAATATAGCCAACCAAGTACTAGGGAAAATTGATCTGGAAAAGAGAACTTAACTAATATTTCTCAAAAGCAACATGCAAAGTAAGGCAAGAATGAACTAGCATTTATACAAAAATCAAGAAAAGGTATAAATCAATTTTATATTCAACCATGCTTTAAGTAACACGACTATAGAATTAGAGTTTTAAAAATACAAGAATAGGCTAAGTGTGGTGGCTCATGCCTGCAATCCCAACACTTTGGGAGGCTGAGGAGGACAGATCACTTGAGGTCAGGAGTTCGAGACTGCCTGGTGAAACCCCATCTCTACTGAAAATACAAAAATTAGCCAGGCATGGTGGTGCTTGTAATCCCAGCTACTTGGGAAGCTGAGGTAGGAAGATCGCTTGAACCCAGGAGGCAGAGGTTGCAGTGAGACGAGATCGCACCACTACACTCCAGCCTGGAGAGAGCAAGACTCTGTCTCAAAATAAATAAATAAATAAAAATACAAGAAATCAGGGGATACCATATCCATGAGCTCCACTTACAGATAAGTTTCATTTAACCAATAAATGACTGATGAGACCTTGCCTGATATTTCTAAATTTCTAAAAATAATAATAATCAATATACTACATATTAGGATCTGATTACATTTAAAGCAGTGATCAAAGGAAAATTAATAGCCTACAATACTTTCAGTAAAAGTGATAGAATGAATATAAGTTAATTATGTTGGTTAATTATGTGGATTTAATAGTAGATGTAATAATAAAGTTAGAAACAAGGATGCAAGAGTCATATATACATAACACACGTTCTGATAAAATAGAAGTAATGCAATTTTTGTAAAGTAAAAGTAGAGGGACATGGAAAAGTAACATAAACTCATTGATCTCATCAATACGTGGGAGTCAAAGGATACCACTAAAAACTGACACACTATACAGTAAAAGAGTAAATTAAAAAGTGGACTGGGGAACAGGGGCTTTTTTCAAAAGTATGACTAGAAAGATAACCACTAGAGATAGGTACAAAGTTTACTACAAAAAAAAATGTTTTAATGAGTACAGAAATAGGTCTAAGAACATTAGGAAATTCAGCATATGATATAGATACCATCGCAAATGAACTTTTTAAAATGATGCTAGCATGACTGAATAGCCATTTAGAAAAAGAATGGTAAATTTGTGGCCCCACCATACAAAAGAATAAGCTCCAAATGGATCTGAGATATTATTATGAAGATATAAAAAGTAAGTCTAAACTACTAGAAGTCACAGGTGAATTCTTTTACAGCAGGAGGGCAAGGAAAGACTTTGTGATTTAAAACATCACATAATAGAATGGAAAGAATCCAGCCTAGAGCTCCCTACCTTGATGGAGAGTTAAGAACGTTCTTCTGTTGTGTCAATGTGAGCTATTTTCTACACAAACATACTAGCATGACTTCATCTATTTCAAGAGAAACTTCAATGTTGTAAATTTTCTTACATGTGAAGTAACTCTTGATCTTATTGAACTTATACAACTACTAATTAGAGACTAATTCATACTCATATAAAGCCTAATAAGTATTCATACGAATATGTAATAAGGGGTTCCCAGAATCCCCAGATTAAAAAGTTATTTTAATTTATAAGGCTTTTAAGAGCATTGGCCCTTTAAGAAAGGGCCTGGTTGGGGAGGAACAGGTGGGATGCTTAATTATGAACCAATTAATAGCATAGTTTGATAACCTACAAGATCAAATAGCCAAGAAATGGAAGCCAATCTCACGCTAGCAAAAAGGAATGAGTAAATACCAAGGGAATGTATGTACTTTTCAAATATGAAAAATTTTAAAGAGTTGCTATATAGACATAATTATAAAATAAAACATCTGATCACATTCTAAATCAAGGTAAATTAATCTTCCTAATCAATGTGAATCTTGAATAAATTAGACTGGTATAATAATTTTGTTTAAAAACAGCCACACATTTTCTCCCTGATTTTATCCCAGTGAGGATAAAACAAATCGTTCAGGCAGTTGTCTCCCCTCTCCCTATTTCCTGCTCCTTCCCCTTCCCTCAGGCTGCTTTTGCCCAGTGCTAGCCTGCCTCTCACCCACTCTTTCTTCCTCCCTCTCTCGGGGTTCTTCACTCTCCTGATGGGTCTCTTTTTCCACTCACCCTCAGACACCTTGCACGAGCCTCTCCCAAGATAGCTAGGACTCAGGGAACATGCAGGCTGGTAAGGACCCTTCACTCCCTCCCTGCTTGCTACCTGCTCTTCCTCTGTCCTCCACCTCCTCTGGCCTCCTATTCCTTCTCAGCCCCTCCTGTTCCTCTTCCTGCTGCCACTCAAACAGCTTGGCCCCAGCATGATGCCAAAGAAGAGATCCAGATTCTACTAAAAATAGTGGTAGCAAAATTTTGTCAGAGAGGATCAATCGGTGACCGAATCTCACATCATCTATTATTAGTACTATAACCCAAGAAAAACTATAAAGTTATGACAAGGATCAAAACCTCTACCTCTAGGACTATTTGAACATTTACAAATGGGTTTCATTCATTTGCTGAAATCACAAAGCTTTAAATATGTTTTAGTAGTAGCTTAAAATAATCTGGTGAGATTAGCTAACATTCCACTGCCAAATGATTATAAATTATGTTTTTATCAACTGGGAAAACTTCCAATATTAACCAGTGATAGAGAAAGTCAACTTACAAGTAAAATACATAAGAAGTTAAGAAAAGAATATTAAAATAAATATAATTCCCATATAACTGGAAGGAAAGAATAAACTAATGGTATTTTAAATCAAAATAATCGAAATCAACAGATGTTTAATTTACTTAGCCTAAATTCTACCCATAGCCCTAAAGACATACAATCTATATTTCAAAAATTCTCATAAATTCTCATATGAGTTCTCATAAAATTGTTGCAAGAAGACATATGGGCTTGAATTGACTCCTCCACTGACGGACTGGAGCTTGTCCCATTGTGGTTGTAGCAGGTATTGCCAAAATTAATGTCATATACACAGATACATAATCAGCAAGTACAAATTACATTTCCAAAAAACATAAGTTTAAATGAACATCTACATGATGTATACCTGTTTTGGAAAAGACATCTATAAAGAGAAGTCTTAGCATCATTTAAGAAAAGACCATATAAAGTACTTCTAAACACAAATGCTGCTCTTGAATTCCAGGGCACACACCCACAGAATCATGTTTTCCTGTGTAAATGTGCTCAGAATCCCTCAACCTGGAAATACAAGTATACCTATGTTCTAACATTGTAATTCAATGGGAGGCCAACAGAAACAAATGACTTCTGGCGGTAGACATCTGACCAAAGAACAGAGAGACCTTGAAGATGCTATCAAGTTTAGATTGCTTCCTTCTAACACTTTTGGACCAAGAGCCATGAAAGGACAATGAACATACTTTCTAATATTTGTCTCCTCTTTCTGTCACTCATTGCCATGATTTTTTCATTGGGTTTCTTCAAGGTACCAAACTATTAAAATGGTTAAACCTTTTGCTCTTCCTTAGAATCTTTTTTCTGTAAACTTTTCAAACTCCTTAATTTGCCATTACCAAAAAATTGCAATGGCTGACATTTTTTCCAAGTGTTGAGTTTGTCATTTAGTTATAGATCCCACTGTTGGAATGAACCTCAATACGTCAATCTGTCTTCAATGGACCTAGGCCTCAACAATTATCTGCTTCTGTTTGTTTGTCAGGGCTTCAAAGAAACACAAAGGACATCAAGAACAGAAAGGGACATGATACAGGACTAATAACACAAACTATAGTCCAATTATTTTATCTTGAAGCTAAATGTACAAAAACAATTGTATTATGTGTTTAATTACAGTAGAGTGAAAACAATTAAATTTTAATAGCAATTCCTAACAACATTTGTGTTTGCTCAATGTACACCCTTATTGACTATTCTTGTATAATCAGAAGGCCTTTCCACACTTACCTATATCAAAATAGGGCCAAGTTTTGATATATTTATCCAGCCTTTCCAAGCATTCAAAGTGAATTATTAGAAGTCTGATGTACTCAACTCAGGATCCAAGACACTAAATATTATCAGTTCATATTAGGATTTCTACCCTACACTAAAATATATACTCTGCAATTAATCCCTGACTATGCCCAAATAACAGTTCAAATTTTAGAATCAAAAAATATCCAGTATAAACTCATGAGCTAGAATATTTTTAGATAATAAAATTGCCTTCAACTATGTAGTCATCAACCAAAATAGAGTCTGGAAGATAAATGATACCTGGAAAAACACTTCAGGGAAAGTGGAATCATCAAATAATCAGGTTACTTGTTTGCCCAAATTGAACCATGAGGCTTATTCTTTTAATGAGATGTACCCCATCCTTGGCCTCCGGAGCTCAAAGGATCCTCCTGCCTCAGCCTCATAAGTAGCTAAGATTATAGACATGCACCACCATGCCTGGCTGTTTTGTTTTTTTTTTCTTCTTTTTCTTCTTCTTCTTCTTCTTCTTCTTCTTCTTCTTCTTCTTCTTCTTCTTCTTCTTCTTCTTCTCCTCCTCCTCTTCTTCTTCTTTCTTCTTCTTCTTCTTCTTTCTTCTTCTTCTTCTTTCTTCTTCTCCTCCTCTTCTTCTTCTTCTTTCTTCTTCTTCTTCTTCTTTCTTCTTCTTCTTTTCTTCTTCTTCTTTTCTTCTTATTCTTTTCTTCTTCTTTTCTTCTTCTTCTTCTTCCTTCTTCTTCTTCTTTTCTTCTTCTTCTTCTTTCTTCTTCTTTTCTTCTTCTTCTTCTTCTTTCTTCTTCTTCTTCTTCTTCTTTCTTCTTCTTCTTCTTCTTCTTCTTCTTCTCTTCTTCTTCTTCTTCTTCTTCTTCTTCTTCTTCTTCTTCTTCTTCTTCTTCTTCTTCTTCTTCTTCTCCTCCTCCTCCTCCTTCTCCTTCTCCTTCTCCTTCTTCTTCTTCTTTTTGGAGAGATGGAATCTCAGTTTGTTGCCCAGGGTGGTCTCAAACTCCTGGCCTCAAGCGATCCTCCCACCTTGGCCTCCCAAAATGCTGGGATTACAGTCTCAGCCACCACATCAGCCTTTCTTTCCTATCTTACATCTTGGTGTTTATATATCACTACACTGCCATTATCCTAAACCACCCTAGGAGCAAAACTGTGGGGTTGAAATACCAGAAACTCATCCAAAGTGACTTTCCCAGTTTGTTCTCCCACCTGCATTGATGAGCCTGACGCTTGCTCCACATTTTTTCCCATATTTGGAAGTCACAGTATTAAATTTTAGCCATTCTGGTGGCTCCTGCATACCACATAGTGGTATTGCACTGTGGCTTGAATTCACATTCCCTTGATGAAAAACATAGTTCAACAAGGCTGCCCTTCAGATAGCCTATTTTGTAAAGTGCCTGTTCAAATCCCTAAACATATTTTTCCTTATCTTTTCTTATAGATTTGTAGGAATTCTTGATGTATTCTGATATAAGCCCACTGCAGTTGTTTGTATCATAAATATCTTCTCCAAGTCTATAACTTGCCTTTTCTCTCCCTTCATGATGTCTTTTGGTGAATTGAAGCTCTTAATTTTAATGGATCTTTCTCTTGGCAATTTTGTGTTCCACTTAAGAAATCCTCATCTATCCCAAAGTAATCAAGATGATTTCCTATGCTTTCTTCTAAGTGATTTATCATTTCATATTTTGCATTTAGATATACCTTCCGGTGGTATTAAATTTTTATAGGATATAAGTGAAAGTCAAGTTTCATTTCTTTTCCTTGTGAATTTTCAAATGGACCCGGCACCATTCATTGAAGAGCTCATCTTCTAGGCACTTCTCTGAAGGGCTGCTTTTAGAATAAATCAAGTATCCACTATGTATGAGTCTCTCTGTAAAAACACCATACAATAATAAATATTTTAATCTTGTCATACATTTTGCTGTCTGGTAAAAGTGTCCTCCAAAATTTTCCTGGCTACTCATGGTCTTTTCCATTTCCATAAACATTTTAAAACTAGCTTGTCAATTTCCACAAAGAAAACCTCCTAAGATTTACATTGAATATATCCTACATTTCACTAATCTTATCTTCTGTGGTTGCCAGTCTGTTCTTATACCCATCAGATGAATTCTTAATTACAAATATTGTATTTTTCAGTTCCAGGATATTCATTGGTATCTTTTAAATTATTCCCCATTCTCATTTAAATTCTCCATACTTTTATCTATTTTTTCTATCTTTTTCTCTATTTTTTGAACATGTAACTCACTTGTTTTTAGCTGTGATACCTCCAATAACAAAATCACCCATGTATCTTTTCTGCTAGCTGAGTTTTTACTTTCTGCTTTTTTTCCCTGTTCCTCTAGCATGCCTCAGAAATTTGCATTGGCTGCCTGGCACTTTGAATAAAATAGTGTGCAGGCTGTGTAAGATGTTATAGATTCCTCCAAAAAGGTTTAAGATTTCGTTTTCGTTTGTTGGGGTTCTGTTCATTAATTTTTTGGTTGTCGTTTTGCTTTAGTTGTTTGTTTCATTTTGTTTTACAGGCAGGCAGAGGACCAGCAGATCACTTGATCCTGCCAAGCCTTTGTTTTAGGTTTTATTAGAGCTGGGCTTCTTTAGTTTCCCTTTACAACTGGAGTGTATCACTCACTCCTAAAACATACCCTTTACTTTTGGAGTGTGGCCATTATTCCTAGAGCCTCTGGGGTCCCAAAATAAAGCCCAGAGTATTTACAAAGGTTTTGATCTTGGGAGACATAAACTTGAATTTATTTCTTCCCAGAATCTCATTATTGCTGAAATCTCTACTCAGCTCTTTTGCTTCCCAGCTGCTGTTTTCTGCTGGGTTTCTAAAGACTTAACTTGCGCATGAGCAGCCAAGGAATTGGTCAACAACTTGAGAGGAAGCCATATGTGAATTTTGGAATTCTGAATTAGTCCGTTTTCATACTGCTATAAAGAACTGCCTGAGATTAGGTAATTCATAAAGGAAAGAGTTTTAATTGACTCAGAGTTCAGCATGGCTGGGAGTCCTCAGGAAACTTACAATCATGGTGGAAGACAAAGGGGAAGCAAGGCAACTTCTTCATAAGATGGCAGGAAGGAGAAGTGCTGAGCAAAGAGGGAAGAGCCCCTTGTAAAACCATCAGCTCTCATGAGAACTCACTCACTATCATGAGAGCAGCATGGGGGAAACTGCCTCCATGATTCAATTTTCTCCATCAGGTCACTCCCTTGACACGTGGGGATTATGGGGATTACAATTCAAGATGAAACTTGGGTGGGGACACAACACCTAACCATATCTGGCTCCTTTTCTGTAATTCCCTACTCACAGAGATTTTTCCTCTCTCTAGGATATTGTCCAGTTGCTTTGTGGCTGACCTGAACTCTGACCTCTGTGCCAACATAGTAAACCTGCCACACTCTGATTCATTTCCAAAGAGAGGGTTTGCAGATGTAGCAAGTTATCATCCTCAATCATAAAGCCTTAATAAAGAAACACTGACACCCCATGTTATTTTGTGCTTCCAGTCACTTTATTAACTAGAACATTGACCTATGCTAAAATAAAATAACACCTAGAATCACTGAGTGATAAAACCAAAAAGAATCACATATATTTTCCATTTCAACACCTTAATTTCAAATATAAGAAAAATAAACCACATCCAAAGGTTAAATGATGGATCCAAAATCCCGAGTACATTATTAAACAAACAGATCTCTACTTCCAAAGCTTTAGATGAATCCTCTTTCATTGTGCTACATCTTACTATTTTCTTCTTTCTTCCCCATCCTAATAAAGCTTTTTAAATTGCTCATGAATTGTTTTAGTTATTACCACAAAGTGGTAATTCTACATTCTTATTGCTCAATGTGGTTATTTTTGAAAAACTTATCTCCATAACTACGATGGTTGCTTCAGCAAATTTTGATAATGTTATCCTCACTGCTCTCCCTACCCTTGAAGTGACAGTAACAAGGATTTCTCCTCCAGCTGAATCCAAGAGAATGTTTGCCTCATTAGCTCAGGAAACACTATCACAAGCTAATTAATTCAATAGTAAAGGCAAGAATAGATAGCATATGGCTTCACTCTGCAAATGTGGTCTCAATCCATTAAAAAAACAAAAGAAACACAGCAACACATTTATCTGTGTGTTTGCCACTGTGGAATTAATGTCCAACAAACAAAATCTATACACGATAAATACCACACAGGAGTAGCTTTCACCTCTTTCTGAAATAGACAGCTTAGCTAACATATTCATTCTCCTCCTCATGAAAACTTAGCTATTGTTAGAATGGGAACCATAAATCTTCTTATAAAGCTAAAGGAAAGTTTCTATTTCTTCTAAACTTAAAGAATAATCATTTTCCCCCTGATATCCACAGTGAATTCATCTCATGAAGAAATTTTAAACAGAAGTTATAGTAAAAACTGCTATGTGTAGATAAAACCCAATTCCATTTTCTCCTGGCCAAACAACAAGGCAAAATTCACCAGACTGTCTTACAGTTGGGTGTCACTGTGCTCTAGTGGGTGGAATGTGACCAATCCAGGCCTGGCCCATAAGTACCTCCCTGCCACTCATGACCCTGCATTCTTTCGTCCCCAGCTGTCAGTTGCACGCTGAGAGAGAAAAGGCCCTGCAAAGTAATGGATCCCTGTGCTGGAAGATGTCGACAACTCAAGGTAATTTGTGGAGAAGAGTTCCCCAGCCTCTGCCATTGCCAACCCCCAATGGACTATGCTATTTTAAATGTTTTATGTAATATTTGATTTGTTTGTTGTATAGAAATGGAATTGAATTTTACTGTTCTTGAATCTTAACAACTTGCTAAATTATTAATTCTAATGATTTATCTGTAGAGTAGGGTTTTCTGTTCACAATTATATTCACAAATAATGACAGTTGTATTTCTTTCTAAATCTGGTAACTTTTTTTTCTTGATTCATACACTGGTAATGTTCTCCAGTAAGATGTTCAATAGATGTGGTGATAGCTGGCATCTTTTTTTTTTTTTTTTTTTTTTTTTTGAGATGGAGTCTCACTCTGTCTCCAGGCTGCAGTGCAGTGGCGCCATCTCAGCTCACTGCAACCTCTACCTCACCGGTTCAAGCGATTCTCCTGCCTCAGCCTCCCGAGTAGCTGGGACTACAGGCACTCGCCACCACGCCCAGATAAGTTTTTGTATTTTTAACGGAGACGGGGTTTCACCATGTTAGCCAGGATGGTCTCCTCCTGACCTCATGATCCGCCCACCTCGGCCTCCCAAAGTGCAGGGAGTACAGGCGTGAGCCATGGTGCCCGGCTGATAGCTGGCATCTTTCTTATGCTCAATATCCAAAGGAAAGTTTTCAACAGCTTGCCACTAAGTATGATGTTTGCTATAGGCCTTTTAAGGAGTGCTTCATTAGATTAAGAAAGTTTCTCTTTATTCATACCTTGATACGAGTTTTTTTAATCAGGAAGAGATGCTGGATTTAGTCATACACTTATCTGTATCTATTTAGTTGACTATTATTTTCTTCATTTTACTAATGTGGTGAATTACATTGACTGAGCTTATAATATTAAATGAGCCTTATATTCCTGAAATAAAACAAGCTTAGTCTAATGTATTATCATTTTTATTTTGTTACAGTATATTTCTTATTTATATTTTATTTTTAATTGACAAATTAATAAGTGTATATATTTATGGGTGCAATATGTTTTGATAAATGTTTACATTGTGGAATGAATAAATCAAGCTAATTAATAAATATATCACGTCACATATAATTTTTTATGGTGAAAACATTAAAATTTACTCTTTTAGCAATTTTTATGTTAAGTTCGCGACTATGCCAATGGCCTGCTTGAGGTCAGGTTCCAGCCCCAGCCAAGGTCCCAGGGGAGTGAGTGGATGGGCGGATAGCTGAAAGAACACTCAGGGCGCCGTAGGCAGGTGAAATGTAGTTTTATTCAGCAGCTCTCTCTTACTAGCTCTCTCACACCGTCCGCTATTTTTTATTTTTATTTTGTGTGTGTGTGTGTGGAGGGGACGGAGTTTCGCTCTTGTTGCCCAGGCTGGAGTGCAATGGCGAGATCTTGGCTCACTGCAACCTCCGCCTCCCGGGTTCAAGCGATTCTCCTGCTTCAGCCTTCCTAAGTAGCTGGGATTACAAGCATCACCGTCCGCCTTTATCTCGGCTGTTTGCTCCGGCTTTGCGGCTCCTCTGAGCAGCCAGCTCCCACGCACAGCTGCGCGGCCAGCCTGCAAGGCCAGCTCTCCCTTACAGTGTTAGCAGCTTAACTGTTTCCCTCTGGGCACAAGCCAGTTCCTGACTTCCCCCTGCCTGCCTTCAAGGAGACCAGATCTTCCTTACAGTGGTCAGTACCATTACTCTCTCTCTGGGCACCAGCACGCATACAATGTCAAGCCATGCTGAAGAGCGCCTGTACAGCGTCAGCAGGGCAGTTACACCTTCTACAGACAACAGTGGCGTACAGCCAAGTATGAGCTTACACCAACAGGTTATATAACAAGTGGAGGTGTAAGCACCAATCCCACTGAGTCATGCAGGCCTGGATGTCTGCCTTGGCCTATTCTGGACCAAAGCACATCCATGTACTTTACATTTTAAATATGCAATACATTATTATTTATTATAGTCAACATTCTGTATAACATACCACTAAAACTTATTCTAACTGAAATTTTGTACATTTTGATCAACATCTCTTTTCCCCACCCATTCCCCTCCCCTAGCCTCTGGTAACCACCATTCTACTCTTCTACAAGTTTGACTTTGATACCACGTGTAACTGAGATCCCACAGTGACTGTTTTTCTGTGCCTGCCATATTCCTTTTAGCGTAATGTCCTCCAAGTTTATCCATGTTGTTGCAAATAACAAAATTTCCTTCTTTTTAAAGGCTAAATAGTATTCCATTGCGTATGTATACCACATTTTCTTTATCCATTCATCCAGTGAGGAACACTTCCATATCTTAGCTATTGTGAATAATGCTGCAATGAACATGAGAGTGCAGATATCTCTTTGGCATACCATATGATCCATCAATCCTACTTCTGATTATATATCCAAAGGAACCGATTTCAACTGATTCCAATTCCTTCGCATATATATCCAGAAGTAGGATTGCTGGATCATATGGTAATTCTATTTTTAGTTTTCTGAGGACCCATTATACTGTTTTCCATAACAGCTGTATTAATTGACATTTCTATCAACAGTGCACAAAGGTTCCCCTTCATCTACACCCTCACCAATACTTGTTCTCTTTCATCTTTTCGATAGAAGCCATCCTAACAGGTGTGAGGTAGTTTATCCTTGTGATTTTAATTTGCATGTCCCTGATGATTAGTAATGATGAACGTTTTTCATGTATCTATTTGTATGTCTTCTTTTGAATTTGTATGTCTTCATTTGTATGTCTTCTTTTGAAGACATATCTTTTGTATGTTTTCTTTTGAAAAGTATCTATTTAGGTTCTTTGTCCATTTTAATTGAGTCCTATGTTTTCTTGAAATGTTTGAGTTCCTTCTATATTTTGGATATTAATCCTTTATTAGGTGTATGACTGTAAATATTTTCTTCCTTTCCATGGGTTGTCTCTTCACTCTATTGATTTTCCTTTGCTGTGCAGAAGCTTTTTAGTTCAATCCAATCCCATTTGTTAATTTTTGCTTTCGTTGCCTGTTCTTTTGAAGTCATATCCAGCAAATCTTTGCCCATATCACTATTGTGGAGAATTTTTTAGTAGTTTTATCATTTCAGGTCTTATGTGTAAGTTTTTACTCCATTTCAAGTTGGTTTTTGTATATGGCATGAGACAAAGGTCCAATTTAATTCTTCCACATGTGGATAACCAGTTTTCTCAACTGTATTTATTAAAAAGATTGTCTTTTTCTCATTCTGTGTTCTTGGCACCGTCATTGAAAGTCAGTTCACCATAAATGCATGAGTTTATTTCTGGGTTCTCTGTCCTATTCCACTGGTCAATTTGTCTGTTTTGATTACTATAGCTTTATATTCAATTTTAAAGTCAGGTAATGTGATGTCTTAGCTTTGTTCTTTTTGCTCAACATTGTTTTGGCTATTCAGTGTATTTTGTGGCTCCATACAAATTTTAGGATTTTTTTTATATTTCTGTGAAAAATAATATTGGAGTTTTGATAGCATGTATTCATGCTGTTTTGATTATCATAGCTTTCTGTAAGATTTTGAAGTCAGGTAGTGTGATGCCTCCAGCTTTGTTCTTTTTGCTCAACATTGCTTTGGCTATTCAGTGTGTTTTATGGTTCCATACAAAGTTTAGGATTACATTTTCTTTATTCACTCATTGCTCATTGGTTGATGGGCATTTAGGCTGGTTCCATATTTTTGCAATTGCAAATTGTGTTGCTGTAAACATGTGTGTGCAAGTGTCTTTTTCATATAATGACTTATTTTCCTTGAGTAGATACCCAGTAGTGGGAATGCTAGATCAAATAATAGTTCTACTTTTTTTTAAGAAATCTCCATATTGTTTTCCATAGCGGTTGTACTAGTTTACATTCCCAGCAGCAGTGTAAAAGTGTTCCCTTTTCACCACATCCATGCCAACATCTATTTTTTTTTGTTTTTAAATTATGGCCATTCTTGCAGGAGTAAGGTGACATCTCATTGTGGTTTTAATTTGCATTTTCCTGATAATTAGCAACGTTGAGTATTTTTTCATGTTTGTTGGCCATTTGTATGTCTTCTTTTGAGAGTTGTCTATTCATGTCCCTTGCCCACTTTTTGAAGGGATTATTTGTTTTTCTCTTGCTGATTTGTTTGAGCTCCTTGTAAATGCTGGCTATCAGTCCTTTGTCAGATGCACAGTTTGTGAGTATTTTCTCTCACTCTGGGGGTTGTCTGTTTACTCTGCTGATTATTTCTTTTGCTGAGCAGAGGTTTTTTGGTTTAATTAGGTCCCATCTATTTATTTTGGGTTTTGTGGCATTTGCTTTTGGGTTCTTGGACATCAACTCTTTGTCAAAGCGAATGTATAGAAGAGTTTTTTTCATGTTATCTTCTAGAAATTTTATGGGCCCAGGTCTTAGATTTAAGTCTTTAGTCCATCTTGAGTTGAGTTTTGTATAAGGTGAGAGAAGAAGATCCAGTTTCATTCTTCTACAAGTGGCTTGGCAATTATCCAGCACCATTTATTGGATAGGGCATCCTTTCCCTTACTTTATGTTTTGGTTTGCTTTGTCAAAGATCAGTTGGCTGTAAGTATTTGGGTTTATTTCTGTGTTCTCTATTCTGGTCCATTGGTCTACGTGTCTATTTTTATACCAATACCATGCTGTTTTGATTACTATAGACTTGTGGTATAGTTTGAAGTCAGGTAATGTGATGCCTCCAGATTTGCTCTTTTTGCTTAGTCTTGCTTTGGCTATGTGGGTTATTTTTTGGTTTCATATAGATTTTAGGATTGTTTTTTCTAGTTCTGTAAAGAATGATAATGGTACTTTGATGGAAATTGCATTGAATCTGCAAATTGCTTTTGGCAGTATGGTCATTTCCACAATATTGATTCTACCCATCCATGAGAATGGGATATGTTTTCATTTGTTTGTGTCACTGATTATTTCTTTCAGCAGTGATTTGTAGTTTTCCTTGTAGAGATTTTTCACCTCCTTGATTAGGTATATTCTTAAGTATTTTATTTTTTTGCAGCTGTTGTAAAAGGAATTGAGTTCTTGATTTGATTCTCAGCTTGGTTGTTGTTGGTGTATAGCAGTGCATCCTGAAACTTTACTGAATTCATCAATCAGATCTAGGAGATTTTTAGACTAGTCTTTAGGGTTTTCTGGTATACAATCATATTATTGGTGAACAGCCACAGTTTGACACCCTTTTTACCAATTTGGATGCATTTTATTTCTTGCTCTTGTCTGATTGCTCTGGCTAGTATTTCCAGTACTATGTTGAATAGAAGTGGTGAAGGTTGGCATCCTTTTCTTGTTCCAGTTCTTAGAGATAATGCTTTCAACTTTTCTCTGTTCAGTATAATGTTAACTGTGGGTTTGTCATAGATGGTTTTTATGACTTTGAGGTATGTTTCTTCTATGCCAATTTTGCTAAGGATTTTAATCATACAGGGATGCTGGATTTGGTCAAATGCTTTTCTGCATCCATTGAGATGATCATATGATTTTTGTTTTTAATTCTGTTTATGTGGCATATCACATTTATTGACTCACATATGTTAAACCATCCCTGCATCCCTGGGATGAAACCCACTTGATCATGGTGAATTATCTTCTTGACATGTTGTTGGATTCAAGGTTAGCTAGCATTTTGATGAGGATTTTTGCATCTGTATTCATCAGGGATATTGGTCTGTAGTTTTCTTTTTTTGTTGTGTCCTTTCTTGGTGTGGGAATTAGGGAAACACTGGTTTCATAGAATGATTTAGGGAGGAGTCCCTCTTTCTCTATCTTTTGGAATAGTAGTAAGATTCATACCACTACTTATTTGAATGTCTGATAGATGTGAATCCATCTGGTCCTGGACTTTTTTTGTCGGCAGTTTTTTTATTATTATTATTATTACTGTTTCAATCTCACTATTTGTTATTGGTCTGTTCAGTTTCTATTTCATCCTGATTTAATCTAGGATAGTTGCATATTTCCAGGAATTTATCCGTCTCCTCTAGATTTCCTAGTTTATGGACATAAAAATGTTTGTAGTAGCCTTGAATGATCTTTTGTATTTCCGTAGTATCAGTTGTAATATCTCTCATTTCATTTCTAATTAAGTTTACTTGGATCTTCTCTTTTTTTTCTTGGTTAATCTTGCTAATGGTCTATCATTTTTGCTTATTTTTTCAAATAAACAGCTTTTTGTTTCATTTATCTTTTGTATTTTTTGTTTGTTTCAATTCCATTTATTTATACTCCGATATTTCTTATTTCTTTTCTTCTGCTGCGTTTGGGTTTGGTTTGTTCTTAGTTATCTAGTTCCTTGAGGTGTGAGCTTAGATCGTCTATTTGTGCTCTTTCAGACTTTTTGCTGTAGGCATTTAATGCTATGGACTTTCCTCTTAGCACCGCTTTCTCTGTATCCCAAAGGTTTTGATAGGTTATGTCATTACCATTCTTCAGTTCAAAGAATATCTTAATTTCCTTGTTGACTTCATTGTTAACCCAAAGATCATTCAAGAGAAGATTATTTAATTTCCATGTATTTGTATAGTTTTGAGGGTTCCTTTTGGAGTTAATTTTCAGCTTTACTTCACTGGGGCCTGAGAGGATATTTGATATAATTTTGATTTTCTTAAACTTATTGGAACTTGTTTTGTGGCCTATGATATGATCTATCTTGGAGAATGTTCCCTGTGCTGCTGAAAAGAATGTATACTCTGCAGTTGTTGGGTAGAATGTTCTGTAAATATCTGTTAAGTCCATTTGCTCTAGGGTACAGTTTAAGTCCATTGTTTCTTTGTTGACTTTCTGTCTCAATGACCTGTCTAGTGCTGTCAGTAGAGTACTGAAGTTCCCCACTATTATTGTGTTGCTGTCTATCTCATTTCTTAGGTCTAATAGTAATTGTTTTCTAAATCTGGGAGCTACAGCATTAAACACATATATATTTAGGATTGTGATATTTTCCTATTGGACTAATCTTTTTATCATTATATAATGTCCCTCTTTGTCTTTTTTTTTTTTTTTTTTTTTTACTGGTGTTGCTTTTAAGTCTGATTTGTCTGCTATAAAAATGGCTACTCCTGCTCACTTTTGGTGTCTATTTGTATGGAATATCTTTTTCCATTCCTTTATCTTAAGTTTATATGAGTCATTAGGTGAGTCTCTTGAAACCAGTAGATACATGGTTGGTGGATTTTTATGCATTTTGACATTCTGTATCTTTTAAGTGAAGCATTTAGGCCATTTACATTCAACATTAGTATTGGGATGTGAGGTACTGTTCTGTTCATCATGCTAGTTGTTACCCTAATATCCTGGTTTTTTTCATTGTGTTATTGTTTTTTAGGCCCTGTGAAATTCATGCTTTAAGGAGGTTCTATTCTGATGTATTTCAAGTTCTTGTTTCAAGATTTAGAACTCCTTTCAGCATTTCTTGTAGTGCTGGCTTGGTAGTGGCAAATTCTCTCAGCATTTGTTTGTCTGAAAAAGACTTTATCTCTCCTTGATTTATGAAGCTCAGTTTTGCTGGATACAAAATTCCTGGCTGATAATTACTTTGTTTCAGGAGGCTAAAAATAGGACCCCAATCCCTTCTAGCTTGTAGGGTTTCTGCTTAGAAATCTGCTGTTAATCTGACAGGTTTTCCTTTATAGTTACCCAATGCTTTTGCCTTATAGCTTGTAAGATTCTTTCCTTTCTCTTGACTTTAGATAACCTGATCACTGTGTGTCTAGGTGATGATCTTTTTGCAATGAAATTCCCAGGTGTTCTTTGAGCTTCTTGTATTTGGAAGTCTAGATCTCTACCAGGGTTGGGGAAGTTTTCCTCAATTATTCCCTCAAGTATGTTTTCCAAACTTTTAGCCTTTTCTTTCTTGGGAACACAAATTATTCTTAGATTTGGACATTTAATATAGTCCCAAACTTCTTGGAGGCTTTATTCATTTTTTTTAAATTCTTTTTTCTTTGTCTTTGTCAGATTGGGTTATTTTGAAAGCCTTGTTTTCGTTCTCTGAAGTTCTTTTTTCTACTTGTTCTATTGTTGAAACTTTCCCATGCATTTTGTATTTCTCTAAGTGTGTCTTTCATTTCCAGAAGCTGTAATTGTTTTTTATTTATGATATCTATTTCTCTGGAGAATTATTCATCCATATCCTGTATTTTTTAATTTCTTTAAGCTGGTTTTCACTTTTCTCAGATGTTGCCTTGAGTAGTTTAATAATCAACATTCTAAACTCTTTATCTGGCAATTCAGAGATTTATTCTTCGTTTGGATTCATCATTGGGGAGCTATTATGATCTTCTGGGGGTGTTATAGAACCGTGTTTTGTCATATTACCAAAATTACTTTCCTGGTTCCTTCTCATTTGGGTAGATTATTTCAATGGAAAGGTCTGGAACTCAAGGCCTGCTGTTCAGATTCTTTTGTCCCACAGGGTGATCCCTTGATGTGGTGCTCTCCCACTTCCCCTAAAGATGGGGCTTCCTGAGAGCTGGACTGCAGTGATTGTTACGAACAATTGTGAAGCTAGCAGGCCTCAGGTTGGTACTGAGGAATGTCTGCAGAGTCCTGTGATGTGATTTGTCTTCAGGTCTCCCAGCTGTGGATACCAGCACCTGCTCTGGTGGTGGTGGCAGGGGAGTGAAGTAGACTCTGTGAGAGTCCTTGTTGTAGATAGGTTTAGCTTGCTGGCTTTCTTGAATGCTGATTATGCTAGCAGTGAAGTTATCACATGGACAGACTCAGGACCTCTGGTTAGCTAGGATGTTGCAGGCAGTGGAATTAGCTTCTTCCCGGAAGCAGGGTTATTCTGGAAGCAGGGTTATTCTGTCATGAGTTGCTGTAATAGCCTGAGTTAGTTGGTCTCCAGCCAGGAGGTGGTGCTTTCAAGAGAGCACCAGCTACAGTAGCAGTAGTGGGATTTGAATTTGTCCTAAATTGGCCAGGGGAAGTATTCTGATTTCTCAGGTGGCGGGCAGAGCCATAAAGCTCCAAAGGGTTTCTATCTTTTGCAGGAAGAGAAATACCATCAGATTAGGGCAGGGTTCGGTGGGTCTGGGCTCAGACTCTCCTTGGTCAGGGCTTGCTGCAGCCACTGTGGGGGCTGGGAGTTTGGTTCTCAGGCCGATGAGTTATATTCCAGAGGGGATTATGGCTGCCTCTGCTGTGTCATATAGTTCACCAGGAAAATGGGGGGATAGTTGATAGTGAAAGGCTTCATCTAGCTCCCACATACTTGGTGAGGCCATTCTTGGTGAGGCCATTCTTGCTCCCACAATGCCCTGCTCAGACCTTGCCCCAGGCTGTAAGCTGCCCTGCTGAGAAAGCAAGCATGGCCTTCAGGCCTCACTCCTCCCTATCTGCCCACACTGTTGGCAGTGGTTCCTGTGCTTATATCTGCAGCAGTTACCATTCACCCCCTAGATTCTATTCAAGCAAATTTGTACCCAGTCAAAATTCTTACAAATTTCAGGTGGGAGCTTCTTTCACCCTGTGACCCCTCTCTAATTCCACTGGCTGCCTTCCCTGAGGGTGAGATATCATCAGGGATGGCTTCCCTGGGCTTGAGCTGGAGACTGGGAGTGCCTACAAGGCTCTACCCACTGCTGCTTCTACTTTTATATTTTGCACAGCTCCCTAATCCATTTCAGCTCTAGGTTAGGTTAAACCCTTCTTCTGTGATCTGTATTTTCATATTCCCCAGTGGGGATGTGTATTTGGAGGCAGCTTTTTCCCCTTCACACTTTGAGAACTCACAATTTTTTCCTGTCTCACAGAGTTTGCAGTGGTATGCCACTTCTTTCAAAGGATCTGTGAATTCTTTCAGTTTTCCTGGTACATTCCTCCAGTGCTTCTTGGACGAAAAGTTCATGGTGTGAATCTCCACACACTGTTCTGTCCATCCAACTGGGAGCTGCACATTAGCCCTATCTCCTATCCGCCATCTTCCTTAGACTCCCACCTCACATACTTATTTCTGGAGGGTGGAAAACATTCAAAATCTACTCTTTTCACAATTTAAAGTTATTTTTTGTTTCATAAATGAGTTGAAGAGTGTTCTCCGTTTCCTTTTCTGAAAGATTTTCTGTTAATGTTTGATAGAATTCATATTTAAAGCCATAAGGACCTAGAGTTTTTCTTATAGGAATTTTTTAAATTACAGAGTCAATATCTTTAATAGATAGAAGACTATTCAAATTTTCTATTTCTTCTTGTATCCATTTCATAAACTTAAATCTCCCTAGGTATTTGTCCATCTCATCTAAATTGGCACAAATAATGTGTTTCTCATTATATTCTTGCATTATCATTTCTGCAAGAGTCATAGTAATGTCTCCTTGCTATTTGTATTATATTTTCAGCCTTCTCTCTTCTTTTTTCAGTCAGTCTCACCAGAAGTTTTTCAATTTTGTTAATGTCATCAAAAAACCGATGTTTGTTTTTGGTAATTGTTATCGTTTGTTCCTTTACATTCTAATGTTACCAATTTTATTTCTTTCCCTCAACTTTTATTGGATTTTTCTATATTTTCTAACTTTTTGAAAAAATGCTTAGCTCACCAATTCTTAGCCCTTTATCTTTTCTCATATAAGTTTATACTAAAAGTATCTACCTAAAAATTGCCTTAATTTTATCTCACAGGTTTGATATATATTTTCTTAAATGTAAATATGACAATACAAATATTTGCAACATCTCTGTGTCTGCTTCTTCAGTTTTTTGTTTCTGCAAAGGACTTAGAAATAAGACAACTTAATTAAGTTGTCTTATTTCCTTGTGGATCTATTTATTTTTTATCGAGTGCTGGCCATTATGATTTAAAATTTACCTGTAGAAACAACTTTGGCTTGGGGTAATTAGGATGATATAAAATTTTTCCCAAAGAAGCTTTACATCTCTTACCAGATTCCCTTATTCAAATTAGAGCCTATGTTTTTTCTTACGTCATATATACAACCCTTAGTTTGCAAAACTCAAAGAGCAGAAGGTGCAAAGGCTGTTTACCTCTGTGTGTGTTTGTTTAATCCTAGGAACAGCCCATCAGGCTTCCAGTCTATAGGAACTTTATTAAGGTGACATTTGTGAGCCCTAATCTACAACTTAGGTTGTAGTAGCACCATGAAACTGTGAAAGCCTTTCTCAGCCTTTCAGCTGAGTCTTCTAATTTAATAAATATCCCCAAAATTTAAAAAAAAAAAAGCCTCAAATGTTAGGATCCCTTCTCTAAATTTCTGTCTTCTGCAAGACATTGCCTTGATATCTCTCTGCCTCTGTTCATCCTTTTCAGCAGACATTGTTTTACATCTTACCCAGCTTTTCTAATTGTTGCCAATAAAAGCATTATTCTTATTTACCTGGCCTACTCCAGCTAACATTATTTACCTTCACTGATCAAAAAAACCGTACATTTAAAATTAAGGAGTTACTCACATGTATACAAATTTAAGACTTCTCAAATAAGTTCTATTTTTTCCCCCAACTAAACAGTATACTAAGTTGAAGAATACAGTCATTTGAAGAGATCTTCAAAATCAATGTAAAGAAATCAAATAGCAAATGGCAGTAGATTAGGTTTTGGGGGTATCTCTTGTTTCTCAGGCTAGATGATAAAAATAGTCTAAGTAAGAAAATAAAGCCTGGTGGTTCTGCATCCCAATGTTCCATTTATCCTTTTGGTAAGAACATTTTACATGCTTGTTGCTTTTAGCATTTAAGCTGTATTATGGATAACTTAGGATCTTGAATGTCTTATTCTCTTTGTATAGTTAAAATACATGTTCTTCTATGGGCAGCCAGTAAGTTCATCTGACCCTTTGCAGGAGTAGAGACAAAGGGTTACTGAGCTGGTGGCTGTAGTTTACGTTTATAATAGCTGTCAGCTCTCCACGTGTCACCCTCAGTCATCCTAAAGATGACTGCAAAAGATCTCAGTGCAAAAATATTATGCTTTCTATGTAAATGTAACTTTAAAACAAGTCCCCTAGCCCTCAATTTTACCACATTATTATTCCGAAATCTCTTAATGATAAAATTCCAGAGCCATAGCTATATCAATTCTATGTGGGAACATTTCTGTTGTCCATTTATACTAAATGCATTCAGAACAGATATCTCCTGTCATTAAATTTATGTCTGACTGAAGTGGAACTTTTCATGAGAAAAACAAAATTTCTGCAAATCTTGTGAAACACCTAAACCTGGTCTGGATATAGTAAAGGGAATAGCGTAAGAAATGTGTTGACTACAGTACTCCAAGATCCTATCATCTACTCCTGGCCCCAATGTCAAGGGATATTTTCACGTAACTTTCTTTTTTAAATTGCATCATAAAAATAAACATATAAGTCATCTACAACCCTGTAGATAAAAATTTACAGACAAGGTCATCTTTGTCCAACTAGTTTGTGTCCAAGGAGAAATAAAGGAAAAAGAGTTTGTAGCAATAGCTGATATTAGCACTGTGCTAAACATCTCATATATGCTATCTCTACCCTGGAAACAACCTCTCAAAGTAACCATCATCATCCTCAGATATGGAAGCTGGGGTTCAAAAGTTCAAAGCAATGTCAAGGTAAAATTCACACCAGGTCTCTGATGGAACTACCTTCTCTAAAGTCTGTGAGGTCAGAAAAGTGCTCCTTTCAGAACACAGCTCCTATTCTTTCTAAATTCTTGATTTCATTCATTTAAAAAAAATAGTTTTTGGTCCTTTACTATGTATCCAATATATTTTATTTTATTTTTGGGTTGAAGTTTTCTGTTTTATTATATTTTATTATAAAACATTTCAAATACACAAATAAACAGCATACTATGACAAATACCCATATACTCCTTTTTTTTTTTTTTATACTTTAAGTTTTAGGGTACATGTGCACATTGTGCAGGTTAGTTACATATGTATACATGTGCCATGCTGGTGTGCTGCACCCACTAACTAGTCATCTAGCATTAGGTATATCTCCCAATGCTATCCCTCCCCCCTCCCCCCACCCCACAACAGTCCCCAGAGTGTGATATTCCCCTTCCTGTGTCCATGTGATCTCATTGTTCAATTCCCACCTATGAGTGAGAATATGCGGTGTTTGGTTTTTTGTTCTTGCGATAGTTTACTGAGAATGATGATTTCCAATTTCATCCATGTCCCTACAAAGGACATGAACTCATCATTTTTTATGGCTGCATAGTATTCCATGGTGTATATGTGCCACATTTTCTTAATCCAGTCTATCATTGTTGGACATTTGGGTTGGTTCCAAGTCTTTGCTATTGTGAATAATGCCGCAATAAACATATGTGTGCATGTGTCTTTATAGCAGCATGATTTATAGTCCTTTGGGTATATACCCAGTAATGGGATGGCTGGGTCAAATGATATTTCAAGTTCTAGATCCCTGAGGAATCGCCACACTGACTTCCACAATGGTTGAACTAGTTTACAGTCCCACCAACAGTGTAAAAGTGTTTCTATTTCTCCACATCCTCCCCAGCACCTGTTGTTTCCTGACTTTTTAATGATTGCCATTCTAACTGGTGTGAGATGGTATCTCATTGTGGTTTTGATTTGCATTTCTCTGATGGCCAGTGATGATGAGCATTTTTTCATGTGTTTTTTGGCTGCATAAATGTCTTCTTTTGAGAAGTGTCTGTTCATGTCCTTTGCCCACTTTTTGATGGGGTTGTTTGTTTTTTTCTTGTAAATGACAAATACCCATATACTCCTTATCGATGCTGACCAATTGTCATATTTACCTTATTTTCTTCTTAAAGCATTTGAAAGTGAATTCCATGTTTATTCACCCTTACATTCTTTAGTATACATCTAGAATATAAGGATTTTTTTCTTAACTAAGTACAATACTTTTGTCATTAACACATCTGAAAAATTAATAATAATTCTCTGATACTTTCTAATATCCAGTATACATTTAGGTGCCCTCAGCTGCCCCCAAAGAGTGTCTTCCAGCTAAGTTGCTCAAACCAGAATCTAATCAATGACCTGCATGAGAGTCTAGCATATTTTAAGCACTGGAAAAACCTTCAGTAAATGAGACAGACAAGGTTCCTGTATTCACAAAGCTTACATAATAGCATAGAAGGAAGACAGTGGTCAAGTAAACAAATAAGATTATTTTAGAGGTAAATGTCACGAAGAAAATAAAATGGGAAGTGAGAGCTAATCGAGATAAAACTTTTCTAAAGAGGTAATTTTTAAGCTGGGTCTAAAATAATGAACAACAACCCAAGCAAGCAAAGATTTCAGGGAAACATATTCCCAGCAGAGGGAACCACTGCCAAGGCCCTGAGGCAATAGGTCTTCTGCCTCAGATGTCCAGCTCCTTCACAATTTCTCTCTCTTTTAAAAACTTCAGGTAAAAATAACTAAAACAACCTGAAAATGTCACCCTTTAGAGAGGTCCTTATTGTTTACCAGGATAAAATAATTTAATACAAAGGGGAAAACTCCAAAAGTAAAATTCCTCCAGGGGACACATTCAAGAAGTAGTGGGCATCTCTCTGTGTCCAAGAAGAACATTCTGACGTAGACAATGGCTACCCAGTTCCACCCAGTCCTCCTCAAGATTCTCAGTGAAAGACGTACTTTGGTGCCAGTTTTTCACACTGAAGTAGGAACTGAAGAACTGAGTAAGACACCATATCTTTTTCCAGCACAAAAATTTCCCATTGCACCAATTTGCCATTCTCCAATGTTTTGAGAGTTGGATTTTTGGAACTGAGACTACATTTCCCTGTGGTAACAATAATATAATTGTAAAGTAGAGCCCTAAGCGAGTCTACAAAAGCCTACCGACTTAAAATGCTGCTCATCTTCTGTAAATTAGCAATGGAAAATAGAATTTTGTCACACTACTGGGAAATCAATAAAAAAAATTGAGTGAAGAAGAATTTATCTTGAATGGCATTGCATAAAGAAAGTCGGATTTAAGAAGAGTTCTTAAGAAGGAAGATTTTGAAGAGAGTTTTTTCACAACTTCTTAAAATTCTGATGTATGACGGGATTTGTTGATGGGTTATGTCTAATTTTACTTCATAAACTTTGGCTTGCTTTATTCTTGGTATAGTTGCAATACTGGGTTTTTTTCTGATGCATAATCACCTATGATTAGAGACAAATGACTTAAGTCTCTTCTTAAGGTTGTGATCATATTAAGAACTCATGCAAGGTGGAGAGAGAGTGGGGATGAGAGAAATGAGGAAGCTCTAAGTCAGTAGTCTTCAAAGTTTTGCATGCATCAGAATCACCTGAAGGACTTGTTGAAACAGAATGCTGAGCTTCATGCCATGCCATCTCATCAATGAGGCTGGGGTGAGGCAGATAATTTGCATTTCTAACAAATTCTCAGGTAATGGTGATGCTGTTAATCCAGGGATGGCACTGTGAAAACCACTGTTTTAAACACAAACAAAGCCAGAAACAAAATTGAAATCTTGCAGCAGGCACTGCTGTTGTCCCTGCAAGG
Organism: Homo sapiens; assembly: GCF_000001405.40. Classification (NCBI taxonomy): domain Eukaryota; kingdom Metazoa; phylum Chordata; class Mammalia; order Primates; family Hominidae; genus Homo; species Homo sapiens. Next base: position 24,049,092 of record NC_000006.12, read on the forward strand.
TTGCACACTGCCCTGATGTTTAGGGATGCTGTGTTATTGACTGATTACTAATAACAATTGTGGTTGGGTTGGGAAGGACCAATTTGTCAGAAAGCAGACTTTTCCAATGTTTTGAGGTGTCAGAAAGCAGGTGCAAGGATTAATAGTTCTTCCTGGTTTTGTAAGATTCTTCTTCTTCTAGTATAAAAAATAATTTCTGGGACCATCTGAAGAAATGTTAGAAGCTGAGACCACAAACACACTGCCTGAACGGTGCTGTTTTGTAGCTTACTCAACAAATAATATTCAGTGTCTACTAGTTGCAAAACACTGAGATAAATAGGACATATGGGAGGAAAGAAAATGATTTAATCTAAAGGGACACACAGTCATGCACCTGAATAGCTAATATAAAAGTATCCTAAACATATCCTAAGAGTATTACAAATAAAATGCAATGAGAGTTTGAAGGTGGGAAGGATACTACTACCTGGAGAAACAGGTCAAGATTTAGGCATGACCTTGAGCAATAGATAAGATTAGGGGTTTGGGAAATTGTGGGTAATAACATAAGGAAGGAATGACAGAAGGAAAACAAATGTCCAGGAAGAGAGAACTATGTGAATAAAAGTTATACAGATGAAGGTGGGACTTGGATCTGGGGGCAATGAGAAATTCAGAAAGCTGGAGCACAGACCACAAGAAAATGCGCAAGGAAGACAGGAGAGATAGGCCAGCACTAGATCATAGTGGTTCTCAAATAGCAGGCAAAAACGATTGGACATTGACCAGGTATTGGGGAACTTTGAATGCTTTTGACAAGACTGATCATTTGGAGCTATAGATTAGGATATTTGATTGGGCAGCAGAAAATTGGGATGCTACTCTTGTAGCCCTGGTCTAAGGAAAGACGCCAGGGTAGGGGAGCAATGAGAAAAAGGAGGAGAGAGTTGATGGATAAAGTAAGGAAAAATCATCATTACCCCATAACACAGGGTTCCCCAACCGCAGGACCAAGGACTGGTACTGGTCTGTGGCCGTGAAGAACCCAGCCACACAGCAGGAGGTAAGCAGCAGGCGAGTGAGCAAAGCTTCATCTGTATTTACAGCCGCTCCCCATCACACATTACTGCCCAAGCTCTGCCTCCTGTCGGATCAGCTGCGGCATTAGATTCTCATAGGAGCATGAATCCTATTGTGAGCTGCACATAAAAGGGATCTAGGTTTTATGCTCCTTATGAGAATCTAACGCCTGATAGATCTGTCACTGTCTCCCATCATCCACATATGGGACCGTCTAGTTGCGGGAAAATGAGCTCAGGGCTCCACTGATTCTACATTATGGTGGGTTATATAATTATTTCATTATATATTACAATGTAATAATAATAGAAATAAAGTGCACAGTAAATGTAATGTTCTTGAATGATCCTGAAACCATCCCCACCTACCTCCACCCCTTCCATGGAAAAACTGTCTTCCACGAAACTAGTCCCTGGTGCCAAAGATGTTGGGGACCACTGCTGTAACATATTTGAGGTCAAGAATAAAAATGAAAGAGACCCAGGTGCAGTGGCTCACGCCTGTAATCCCAGCACTTTGGGAGGCTGAGGCGGGTGGATCACGAGGTCAGGAGATCAAGACCATCCTGGCCAACACGGTGAAACCCCATCTCTACTAAAAAATACAAAAAATTGGCCAGGCATGGTGGCAGGCGCCTGTAGTCCCAGCTACTTGGGAGGCTGAGGCAGGAAAATGGCGTGAACCCAGGAGGTGCATCTTGCAGTGAGCCGAGACTGCGCCACTGCACTCCAGCCTGGGTGACAGAGCCAGACTCCATCTCAATTAAAAAAAAAAATGAAAGAGAAAGAAGATAAAGATAACTCTGAACCTTAGTGACTGGACAAACAGTAGCGTCTCTAAGGGATGTGGAAAGTTCTAAGGAATAATCTAATATTAAGAGAATGACTATACTTTATAGGTATCACAGATTCTTACACCATGAGTAAGGTGGAAACTTTGTTATAAAATCCCAACTTTGCCTAGCCTCATTAATAAGCCCCCTTTGCCTTTGGCCAACAACCCTTGGCATTAATGGTCACCATTTTTGTAAGCACAATTCTTAAATACACATGTGAAAGTGTAAACATAAAACTGAAGCAGTGTCAAGAAGCGGTACTTCGTCTTACGACATATAACACAATCTGATATTTCGTATTCTATTCTGTTTCACTTTTTAAAAATACTCATTACAACCACCAAATTGATTTCATGGCCCACAGATAGGTTGTATCCCAAAGTCCAAAAAACACTCTCCTAACCTAAACTATAAGACTTAGCAATTACTTAGGCGATATAGAAAAGGGAAGAGCTACTTTTAACAGAAGTAAGGGGCAAAAATGTGGAACCAATACATTCTTCTTATTCTCAAGGATATTTTAGACTACTTTTCCAAAAATGCAAGATATCTATAAACATAAAGCTTTAAAATAATGGCTAACTACTCCACTGAAGAGAAAGAGAGTGCTTCTATATCTATTTTAACAAGATACTTAAAGTATTGGACACAGTTCATTTGTGGACATTATGAAAATTTAGTTCTGTATATGAAAACCCATATTTATAACCTAATAAATTAAGGTGGAGGAGGCTAAGCATTCACATTTCAAAGGCAACCTTAACTCTATGAAAGGATCTTTTCAATATGTTTAAATACAAATAATTCTCTTAATGCACTTAAGTCACTAATCAAATTAACTAGCCACTAGACAGAACCAGCTAAAGAAGAACTAGGTTAAATACCACAGCCATTTCTTTTCATCAGAAATAGAGAGCATTGAAACAGGAAAGATGTTCAAAGGAAAGATGTCTCAATTTGTAGAACTGTTATTTATACCCAACTTTTCAAAGTATCTCTTGTCTATCAGAGTAAGGCAAGCAGATGGCAGCCAGCAATGATAGGATGTGCCTTGTCCTTCAATTAAGCCTGACTTGAGGGGCAAGTGCTGCCATGGATGAGCTGGAGGTATTGCTTTTCCACTCACCAGCTTTTGTTAGCCATAATTCATCACTTTAATGAAACAGACTCTACATGTGCATTTCCCTGGAGGAGGACAGAAAAACACAGTGGATTGGCTTGTCACAACCAACTCATACACTATTTATAAGAAAGAATAAAAACTGACCTAAAGTGGGCATTACTATGCATCCTACAGTGCTAAGTACTTCCACAAATGTGATCCTCTAACAACCCAAACAGGCGATCATATTATCCCCAGGTGGATAAATTGGAACTCCAAGAAGTTAAATAACTTCCCCAAAGCCAAACAGCTGGGAAGTACAGAGCTGAGATTTGAGGTAAGATTCCTGTTGAGCAAGTGACACCTGTTGTCTACTATCGGAAGCAGCAATCCTAGGATGTCAATCTACTGCATGGTTTCCAGGTGTCAGGGTTACCAAAAAAAAAAAACATGACTTACACAGGCACTGGACAGAACGACGCTTTATCCACAGAGAAAAGAGATAGAGCTAGATCAGCTTCAATAATGAGCCTGTCTCTCCCACGGCCAGTGGGTCTTGCCTGGCAACCAACACAGGGAGGTGGTCTATATGCATCCCTCCTGTACTGCAGCAAAAGACCCCCTTCCCTCCCCACCAGAACAGATCTGGCCATGGGGTTGGCCAGATGCCATATGACACACACGCTTAAGCAGAACAAAGAAGTATTCATTGAGCATGAACAGGGAAAAATATTTCCAAGCAAAAAGATATGCGTAGCACAGGCTGTGAGGCCTCTTTATCTCTGCAGGGAAATGCTGTAGGCCCACAGCTACTGTCATACAGCCATGCTAGGGGCCACAAGCTGTGCACAACTGCTTTCCGTAACAGTAACAAACTTTCTTAACTTGCCCCAATAAGAAATAAGAGGAAACTCGCAAAAGAGCAGGACAATCGGTCTCCAGCGTAGTTCTTTCATGTAGCTTTATTCAAAAAGGTAATTGGCTTCAGAGTGTATGTTTGAATATACAATATGTGCAGCAAGAGAGGCAATCAAGACTTTCAACAATAAATCATCCCAGATGCTGGGCTATTGAGATTGTTTTCCCCATTTCTTCCACCCCTGAATCTGTCTACCTCCCTGCACCTTTTGGTTTTCATTTCTTCCATCAGTAGCCATGGTAACACCCAAAGATAAAACACAAGCAGGAGATTCTTGCAAGTATCTTGAAATGTGGAATCTTGCCAGCGTTTTTCATCAGGATAATATTGTGTACCACACAAACAAAGCAGCTCCCTTCTCATCCTTTCTCATTCATTTCCCACCCACTCAGTGGCAGCCAAGACCATTCATGAAGCTTATGAGATGACTGTCTGGTACATTTGTATTCATAAACTTGCAGATCAGTCTTTCAATGTGCAAAAAATGCTTGAGCTGGAAGCTGTTGGTTTTGTCTCACCACTCCCAATTAACCTTTACCTAAGAACTAGGCATTAGCCAGAAATGAACTTTTCTGTGAGATATTCTATTTATTGTTCATCTTAATCAGAGGTGACTTTTTAAATTGTGGCACTCCCTCTGGCTTCCCATAGACGTTGAATATTCAATGAAATTTCACCACAATGGGACTCTTCTGAATTTCTCTGCTAGATTGTGAGTACTGAGGGATATGAGAGTGGAATCTAAAAACGGGCTTGGTTTTTTACCTAAAATCAGTCTTGATTAGATTCACAAATACCTGGGTTCACCCAGCTGGAGTACCTAATTATTGATTGCACGGATATAAATCAGAGGCAATTACAAAACAATGATCATCTGTCTGGAGCGCATTAAAACATGAAAGGTTTGCAGAGACGAATACAGTGTGGATGGGTGTATATATGTATATATATGTATATATATGTGTATGTATATATACATATATATGTATATATACACGTGTATATATACACGTGTATATATACATGTGTATATATACATATATGTGTATATGTACATATGTACGTGTATATATGTATTTATACGTGTATATGTACGTATATACGTATATATATACATATATATATTTGAGAATGTGCATAAAAATGGCATAGTCTTTTTAAACTTTTATTATATTTTAAATTGCCTGATTGGGTGCTGATGGTTATTATTTAAAATTATTGATTTTTTATTGCTTTTTCTTTAAAAATACTAGTGACTTTCTAGTGAACTGTAAACCCTAAGCAGAATTTACATCATCAAGACCTGAAAACACACTGACCTTATAGCTCCTTGACCTCCTCAATTTTAACAATAGATATTTTGTGAGTGCCTATTATGTTACAGCCCACAGATACTTTCCATGCAATATCTCCTTCATTCTTCCCACAATCTTCTGTGTTGTGGATTTTTAGTCCCATTTTATGATAGCAGAAATTGAGGGTCAGAGAAATTAAATAACTTACCTGAAGTCACACAGCTTATAGGTAGCAAAGCAGGAGGGTACCCAGGCTTGTGACTGCCCCACACTGCCTCCTTGTGACTTCGTGTCAATTACTCAGAGCTTCAATCACCTGTCAACCCATGAGCATTGGAAGACATTCTACTACGAGCCTGCCTTCTGACCACCACTCTTATCTTTGCATTTCTTCTATTAAGTCTTCTGGCTCCTTATCTCCTCTTTTTTATAATCCGTCATCATCTTTAGCATAAATTCCTTCCTAGCTCAGCCATTTCAGCCTTTTGCTCAGGCCACACTTTGATTCCTGCAAATTTGCTTTCAATTCTTCATCTCTACCCATCTTGTGACTCATCTAAACCCTATACATAAAGTCATTAACGAGCCATGAAGAAAGCCAAGAACACAAGTGGATTATTTGTCCACAGGGCAATGCTAATCAACCTCAGTTTAGTTTTCATTATTTCTTGGTGAGCCTTTAATACATTCCAATTTGATTGTCTATCACATACCTGAAGCTCTATTCCAAACCTTTGACCCTCAAACTCCTAAACACAGTCTGTCGAATCTTTATCTCAAAATTATCTCACATTCCTTTGCTCTAGAGGGACTGAGGCCCTTTAGCACCAAAGCCACAGCTCTCTCTTCTTCCATCCCAATCATTTATTTCCTCCTGCTTTCATCTTAGGGGGAGAGAATCCCTTCATCTCAGAATCTGTACCATCATGCGTCACTTTTGGTCAAAAGGAAATAATTAGTTTGATCCTGATTCAAACAAACTATATGTAAAAAGACATCTGGAGATAACTGAGGAAAATTAAATGATGTCTGGATACTGTATTACAGTGAGAAATGGACGTTAACTTGTTAGGTCTGATAATAGCATTGTGGTTATGAAAACCAAGGATCTTATTAGTTAAGAGGTGCATATGAAATTATTACGAGTGAAAAGGCACACAGCATCTGGAATTTGTTCCAAATGCTTTGGCGACTTTTTGTTCCAATGTAGGGCATAGATGAAACAAGCTTTAGGAAATGTTGGTAATTGTCAAAACTGTGTGATGGGTAGCTAGAAAATAATAGATTCTCTCTAATCTTGTGTATATTTGAAAATATCATTCTAAAAATTAGAAAAGCCAAAGCAATTGAAAGTCTTTTTAAAATCGTTATTAAAAAATTATTCTCTAAAATCTTAAATCACCTTCTGTTGGATTATTACCCCTCCTGCTGCTTTGAAACAAGCTCTGGCCTTTTCTGTCCTAACCTTCCCTGAATAGCACTGTTTCTGGAAACTATAACTATCTTTTTATCTTTTCCAAAATCCTGAAATGCCAAGAAAATAGTTCAGATCATTCTGCCTTTCCAGAATTACACCCAATCCTTATCTCCTCCTGCTCTCACCCTCAGCAATCTGGCTTCAACTGTCGTCACCACCTAGCCAGTTTCAAAATTCTCAGGTGCCATACCACTCATCTCTACATGAACAAGGCTGTTTCTCTGATCTCTCTTTTTTGCAGCCAACCATCTCTCTTCTTCTGGATAATTCAAAATTATTTACATTTATTAACTCAGATAATCATCCCAATAATGCTATGAGGTAGGTACTACTGTTGTCCCCATTTTAGGTAAGGGGAATATTGATGCAGAGAAAGGTCAAATAATTTGTTCGTGGTCACACGGCTAATGACTGGCAGAGCTGGGAACCTAGGTAGCCCAGCTCCTTTGTCCATGCTCTTAACTATTGTGATGGTTAATTGTAGGTGTCAACTTAACTGGATTAAGGAATACCTAGAGAACTAGTAAAGCCTGGGCGTGTCTGTGAGAGTGCTGTGCTTCCAGAGGACATTGGTGTGTGCGTTGGTTGGCTGACTGGGAATGATCCACCCTCAGTGGGCATCATCCAATCAGCTTGAGGTCCAGAAAGAACAAAAACACAGAAATTAAGAAAGAAAGAAAGAAAGAAAGAAAGAAAGAAAGAAAGAAAGAAAGAAAGAAAGAAAGAAAGAAGGAAGGAAGGAGAAAGAAAGAAAAGAAAGAAAGAAAGAAGGAAGGAAGGAAGGAAGGAAGGAAGGAAGGAAGGAAGGAAGGAAGGAAGGAAGGAAAGAAAGAAGGAAGGGACAGTTTATTTTTTTCTCTCTCTCTCTCACTCCCCTGGAGATGAGATACTCTTCTCTTTCTCTTGGATATCAGAACTCCAGGATCTTTGGCCTTTGGTCTCCAGGACTTACATCACCAGCCCCTGGGTTCTCGGGCCTTCAGCATTTGACTGAGAATTATACCATCGGCTTCCTGGTTCTGAGGCTTCTGAACTTGAACTGAGCCATCGCACCAACATGCCAGGGTGTCCAGCTTATAGACTGTCGTGGGACTACTCAGCCTCCATAATTGCATGAGCACATTCCCCTAACAAATGCCCTCATATACCAATCTATCCATCTATTTCCTATTCATTCTGTCTCTCTGGAAAACTCTAATGTAACAGTCACACCAAACTGCCTTATTGACATCTAGTGTAGGACTGCTCCTTCTGTTCCATGAGTACAGCCATTGTACAGCCCCTGTGAGTGTACAACGCCACAAGGAGGTAAGCACATTTGGGATTTTAAAGTTCTGTCATAATGTTCTGCTTGCCCAGAAGAATAACCTTTTCACCATGTTAATGAGACCATCTAATATTCAGCATAGTCAGTGAAATCATTACAAAGTGAATTTTACTTTTAATCAATTAGTCGGCAAAATAATCCAAACATGACTAGCTAAGAAACTAAATAGACAAAACAGCTAGTGAATGGACAGGGACTTTATTTCCTGGTGTTTCCTAAAGTCTGGATAAATAGTATCTTTTAGAAATCCTTTGGGAGGCCAAGGCAGGCAGATGGCCTGAGGTCAGGAGTCCGAGACCAGCCTGGCTAACATGGTGAAACCCCATCTCTACTAAAAATACAAAAATTAGCCAGGCAAGGTGGCAGGCACCTGTAATCCCAGCTACTCGGAAGGCTGAGGCAGGAGAATCGCTTGAACCTGGGAGGCGGAGGTTGCAGTGAGCCGAGATCACGCCATTGCACTCCAGCCTGGGCAACAAGAGCAAGACTTTGTCTCAAAAAAAAAAAAAAAAGGAAAGTAAAAGAAAAAGAAATACAGGACAAGTGAAGTATTTTAGGTAATGCTAATGTAGACTGTATGAATAATATGTTTGTAAATCTTGTCAATGAAAATATAAATAGATTTTCAATCATCACTTTCGTCTAACAATCAGTTTTTCTTTTATTTTCAGCAGCTACTCATGAGCATAAAGTCCAAATTCGTTCAGATGGTATAAAAAGCCTTTCATCCTCCAGCCCTGCCTACCTGTCCCCACTCAGCCTCTGTCACCACCAATTCCCGATATATTCTACACTCTATTTGCGATTTCCTAATGAGCTTTGTAGTTTAAGTCCCTAGGTTTTTGCATAGGCTATTTTTTTTAAGAATACATTACCTCCTCCCTATAGACATCTAGAGTGACCCACTGGCCCCAAGTCAGACCAACCCCTTACCCTGGCTCCAGTAGCTCAATCTGCTCTACAAGGATGATTTTACCAAAGCCAGGTGAAACACATTGCCCATTCCTTCTGAATATTTGCAGCCCAGCCTTGGAAAGGCTGGGTATGTGTATGTATATGGTGTATAATCTTTTAGAACTCTCTGTTGTCTCCATCCTCTGGACTCCTAAAGCTCCTCAATATACCCTCATTTGTCCCTATCTCACTTTTCTTGCAATTATTTATGTACACATGCATCTATCTGCCCTACTGTATTTAAAACTTTATGAAGGCATCTGTTATGACTTATTTTTGTTTCTTCATACAAAGTAGACACTCAACTACTCACAAGATCTTGTTGATTGAATTAATAAATCTGTTTCACCTGAGGATTTTCACTCAGCTTCAGTGGGAAAACCGTAGGAATAGGATATTCTTTGCCTGTGGTGGTCTTATCTATCAAATCATTAAGAGACCAAATTTAATAAACTGTAACAATGTCATACCAAGATCCACTTGATACATTTAACAAACTTTAACAATGTCATACCAAGATCCACTTGAATCAAATCTGTTTAAAATGTCAATTACAACATACCTTTTGCCAATTCGAAAAAACATTGTCTGGTTTAGTAGATCCAAAAATAAACACAAAAATTTGCTACTTACGTTATCAAGTTTATACAGTGTTGATTAATTCAGGTGCTTCTGAAAAGGGTTTCAAAAGTAGATGAATACATCTGATTCAGACTCAGAATGATAAACGTTATGATGAGCATTGTTCTTTAACTTCCCTTCATTCATTTTTAATGTCAGTTCATCTCAGGAATATCTGATTTTGTTTATTCTTGCTGTTTGATAATTCTTAAAATTTTATATTTCGAATGCTTGTAACTTCAGTACCATGCCCTCAAGATATTTTTCCAGGCAATCTAAAGGAAAGCGATTTGTCTCAATATACCTAGAGGGAGACCTGCATCTTATGCCTCTTTGTACACCCAGTAAACGCCATAGATCCTGGCATCTACTAAGTCCTCAATATGCATTTGTCAAATTGAATTGACCTACACTTCATCTGGAGAGTCTGATGTTTAAATCATTGTCAGTGTTGCTTGGTTTTATTTGGAAGGAGATGGGCTTATGTTTAGGGAACATAATCTCTAGGTCATAACTTTTTAATTTCTCTATTACATTTATTCACATATATTATTACATTAATAGGGTTTCAGCAAACCACAAGAACTTTTCAGATTTTATCATCTAATGCCATCAGCCTTTCTTTTGATGAAGTTAGACATTCACTTCTGATCACACACATTTACAGAATATTAAATTTCAATCAAGTTGGAGATAAATATTATCAGGTTTTATTAATTATTTCCAAGCTGATACCCCAGGTACTCTGAAAAGACTGTTATTTCTTCCTCCTTTGCTTATTAACTTTAAATCATAGTTTCTTCACTTACATCTGTCTCTTTTTCATTTGTACATGCTGCCAAGTATTAATTATCATTTTTAAAGATTGGAAAAAGAGGAAGTTTTCTTGCACAGAATGATGACCCACGCTTGAAAAGTCATATAGATACAAACACACGGCACAAGAAATAAAAAACTATACCTTATGAAAGTCCTCAGCCAAACCATAAGCATAGAAAGAAGACATTTAATACCAAGTATACTATGAAAAAGAGCCAATGCACAGCTTTCAGAACTTTAATTATTGCCTGTGTCAGGAAAAAATAACTGTTTCCAGCACACTGTGTACCTACTAAAGATTCTAGATGAAATCAGATATATAGGCATTTCTCTGGTAGTTAAAAGAGGTTAGTAACCAAGTACTATGTAATGACATTAATTAAATCCCAATTTCAATCTGTACTAAAACACTGTTCTCCTGAAGCTGTAAATAATGAGAATTGTTCTAGATAGATTTAGTGCACTACACTCCAAGGAAAAACAGAAGTTTGGGCATGTAGTGAGATGCATTGTAAATTAGCTCTTTCAGGAAAAAGAAAAAAGGGAAAAACAAAATAAAGTATTATTAACATCACTAAAATTCACAGATGACAGTACTAATTGCAGTGGATCTCTCATTCATAAATATTTATTAAGCCCTTACTATTTGTATAATGTGGAAACATACAATGCCCAAAGGCCTCAAAGACCTCAGAATCCAATTAAAGAAAAAAACACATATATTCAAAAAAGCCATTGTCATGATTATCTACATAGAAAACTTCAAGAAATCTACAAAATAAAAAACTCCAGAACTAATAAGTGAATTTAGCAAGGTCACAAGATATAAGATTCATGCACAAAGCAATTGCATTTCTATACTTATTACAGCCATGGAGAAATCAAAATTTAAAAACACAATATCATTTAAAGTCTCTTCAAAGAAGATGAAATACTCAGGTATAAACCTAACAAGACAAACACAGGATATGTTTGAAGAAAATTACAAAATGCTGATGAAAGAAGTCAAAGAACGCCTACATAAATGGAACACATACTGTTCGTCGATTGGAAGATTCAACACAGTACTGATGTCAATTTTTCCTAAATTGATCTGCAATTAATGCCATTTCTATCTAAATTCTAGTAAGATCTTTTGTAGATACAGACAAGCTTATTCTGAAATATACACGGGAAGACATAGGCCCTAGAAGAGCTAAAAGAATCTTGAGAAAGAATAAAGCAGGAGGTATCACTTCACCTGATGTGAAGACTTAATATATGGCTACAGTAATCAAGAGAGTTCATATTGGCAAAAGGATACACACACAAATCAATGGAATAGAGAACCCAGAATAAGACCCACGCATATACGAATTACTCTTCTAGGAATCAGTCTCATCCTGTATTTTGGAACTTTCACTTTTTAGAAGTCTTTCCTTATTGTTCATTTTAAATTCCTGATTTTATAAGATAATGCTTTTACTTCATATTCCAATCTCAATAGAAATCTTAAAAGCTGATTCTTCTACTGTGATATCCCTACTTTGCTTTGAATGTTTTCACTATAATGGGGCCTTATCTAGTTCAACCTCCTCTTCTGAAAGAAAAGAAACCAGAACGTTGACAGGCAATGGGACTTTCCTGAGACCACACAGCTGGACAGAGAAACTGACAGCAGGTCAGAAATGACTGACTGACTGACTGACTGGTGGGTGAAATGGAAGGATTCTAACTTAGAGAGAAACCACTCATATCACATTTGAGTCACTGGTGTACAGAGGGGAATTCTTTTTTTACTTATTATTTTAATTGACACATAATAATTATGTGTCAATTAAATCCCATACACATTTATGGGATGCAGTGTGATATTCTGATACACGTATATAGTGTGTAATGATCAAATCAGGGTCATTAGCATATCCAGCAGCTCAAATATTTGTCATTTCTTCACATTGGAAACATTCAAAATCCTCTCTTCTAGCTATTTGAACATATACAATAAATTATTGCTAACTATAGTCATCCTACTGTGCTGTCACACTAAAACAGTCCTCTTATCTGTGATTTTGTAACTATTAACCAAACCCTCTCTCTGTACTCTCCCTTTACTCCCCTTCCTGGCCTCTAGTAACCACTATTCTACTCCTTACTTCTAAGAGATCAACATTTTTAGCTTCCACATATGAATGAAAACATGTGGTATTTATTTTTCTGTGCCTAACTCATTTAACAACATAATGTCCTCCAGGCTCATCTGTGTTGTTGCAAATGGCAGAATTTTATTCTTTTTAATAGCTGAATAGTATTCCTTCATGTATCTATACCACATTTTCTTTTTCCATTCATCTATTGATAGATACAGGTTGATTCTCTATCTTAACTATTGTGAATAGTGCCATAGTAAACATGGGAGGGCAGATGCTCTTCAACATAACTGATTTTATTTTCTTTGGATATATACCTAGCAGTGGGGTTGCTAAATCATATGGTAGTTCTACTTCTAGTTTTTTTTGAGGAACCTCCATACTGTTTTCCATAATGGCTGTACTAATTTATGTTCCCACTCACAGTATATAAAACTTCCTCTTTCAGAGAGGAGACTTTTGAGCCATGTTGAGGTGGTCTTAAGATTTTAGAAAAGTTGACAAAAGACACCAGAGAGGCTCTCCAAATGAAAAGCCATTCAATGTTGCTGAAAGGAAGAAAAGGACAATATTGGGTTGGGATGGTTACATAGATTTCTGGAGGAATGGTTTTTTTTTTAAACTACATGTAGTGAAAAAGACTTCATCAATATTAAATGCCAAATGAATTGCATAAGACCTATAAAGTAAAAAAAGTCAGAAGGACTGAACCCCAGAACCAACTATGGCTGGCAAAAAAAAAAAAAAAAAAAAAAGCAATAACAATACTTTTTCTTTTTTTCTTTTTTTATTTATTTTTCATTTTACTTTAAGTTCTGGGATACGAGTGCAGAACATGCAGGTTTGTTACACAGGTATACATGTGCCATGGTGGTTTGCTGGGCCTATCAGCCCATCTAGGTTTTAAGCCCCACATGCGTTAGGTATATGTCCTAATGTTCTCCCTCTCCTTGACTCCCACCCACCAACAGGCCCCGGTGTGTGATGTTCCCCTCCCTGTGTCCATGTGTTCTCATTATTCAACTTCCACTTATGAGGGAAAACATGCAGTGTTTTTCTGTTCCTGTGTTAGTTTGCTGAGAATGATGGCTTCCAGCTGCATCCATGTCCCTACAGAGGACATTAACTTATTCTTTTTTATGGCTGCATAGTGTTCCATGGTGTGTATGTGCCACATTTTCTTTATCCAGTCTATCATTGATGGGCATTTGGGTTGGTTCCAAGTCTTTGCTGTTGTAAATAGTGCTGCAGTAAACATACATGTGCATGTGTCTTTATACTAGAAAGATTTATAATCCTTTGGGTATATACCGAGTAATGGGATTGCCGGGTCAAATGGTATTTCTGGTTCTAGATCCTTGAGGAATTGCCACACTGTCTTCCACAATGGTTGAACTAATTTACACTCCCACCAACAGTGTAAAAGCGTTCTTATTTATCCACATCCTCTCCAGCATCTGTTGTTTCCTGACTTTTTAATAATCGCCATTCTAACTGGCACGAGATGGTATCTCATTGTAGTTTTGATTTGCATTTCTCTTTTTAAAAAAAAAAGCAATAACAATACTTTTTAAAATAAGACATACCTAATAAAAGAAATGGTTTTTTTGAATTATGGGAAAAAAGAATGATAGTTTTATCCATTTCTAAATGCAGATGGTTTTATATTAATTTGACTAGAGGAAGCAAAATCAGCTAGGGCTTCATTTCTGTAGTCTCTGTTGGAGAAATCCATCTTTAGTCTTAAAAGGATAGACAAATATTTTACCAGAAAATAGGACCCAATATGCGCCCATTCTTTCACCCATTCATCCAAAAAAAAAAGATAGGCTCATACAACACACTAGGTACTTGGCAGAGTTAGGAAAGTGACATGAATATGGCATAGAAGATAAAAAATGTGCCAAGGATCTAAAGTTGAACAAAATCAAGTGGCATCTGTTTCCTCAAGAAGGTCAGTTATTTAGCATAAGAGACACATTAATTCAATTGTCAGTCAAACAAATGTAAAATTATATTTGTCATGTGTTGCGAAGAAGTATGTGGTGCTATGACAGCATAGATTAGGGAGATTTGATTTAGGGGAGCAAAGGAATGTGAGAAAGTGGTTGGGAAAGACCCCCTTGGAGAGGGATGGTTGAGCTGAGACCTGGAATGAGAAGGAGTTAAATTAGGATACAAGCATGGCAGAGAAGAACCTGCCTGGCAGACAGAATTATGAGTGCAGGAGCCTCGTGACAGTGTGAGCAAGGTGTGCCCAAGTACTGAAGGAAGGCCATCATGGCTGGGCACACAGATGAAGGCAGTGAGATATAACTGCAAAGGTAGGCAAGATCGTTTAGGCAGGGCTTTCTAAGCCATGATCAAGATTTAACTCTTTTCCAGGAACAAAGAGAATTTATCGAAGGAATAGCAGAGTCAGATTTGTATCTCAAAAGACCAATATGCCTACCTGGCATAGGCTTGGGATACCCAGTGAGGAAGTTTTCATTAGTCCAGGTGAGACAGCTGTACCTTAAACTGGTGCAGGAGAGTGGACCTAACAAGAAGGGGAAAATGTGAAGGTATTTTTAGGAAGCATAATCCATTGAACTTTTTGATGAATTGGATATGAGAGAAGAAGGTGTGTGACTATTTTCTATGGTTCCGGTTTGCAGAAGTGACCAGATGGTGGTGCCCTTTACCAAGCTAAGATACAGCAAAGATGACCACAGTTAGGGTTGAAAACCATGAGTTCAAGAAAATCATGAATTATGTTTGAGACAACCAAGTGGAGTTGTCAAATTGGCAGTTGGATATGTAATTCTGGCATCCAGAAGCAAGGTTTCAATCAAGGAAGAGATTCTAAGAAAGATTTTGCTGATGATAAGATGTTAATATACACATATGTATATATTCTATACTGGAGACAATTGCATATGTTGTTTTTTCTGTATCCTCAAGTGCAAAAAGAAATTACAAGTATAATCATGTATCTATTGTTTTTTGTATTATAGAAATCAGGCATTAAAGGCCAGGCGCGGTGGCTCACGCCTGTAATCCCAACACTTTGGGAGGCCAAGGTGGGCAGATCACGAGGTCAAGAGATCGAGATCATTTTGGCCAACATGGTGAAACCCCGTCTCTACTAAAAATACAAAAATTAGCCAGGTGTGGTGGCGCGACTGTAGTCCCAGCTTCTCAGGAGGTTGAGGCACGAGAATCACTTGAACTGGGGAGGCAGAGTTTGCAGTGAGCAGAAATTGAGCCACTGCACTCCAGCCTGGCAACAGAGCAAGACTCTGCCTAAAAAAAGAAAAAGAAAAAAAGAAAGAAGTCAGGCATTAAAAAAATAAGTACTAAAAGAACGAGAATGGAGAAATATTTTGAAGGGAAAAAGGCTGATCCCACAAACATATGCTGGTGAGGTCAACATTAATCACCAAAAGACTCTAGAACAGATGTGGAATAGTATGATTTGTGAGCTCTTCAAAAAGGAAAACATAATTACTGGGCCAAAATTCAGTTAAACTCATTCTATCCCTTTTTTAAAGAATTATTATTAAAATGTGGTAGACTTAGGATCTAGACTTCAGCCAGGCATTTGATAAACACTCTCAAAATGCTGTTATGAAAAATATAATAAGCTAGATGATAACATTGTTAGGTGGGTTGACAGCTGGCTCCAAAAAACATGTTTATAGTCCAAGAGGAAGAAAGTAATGGTGATCTGTAGCATTTGTCTATAGTCCTGTCCTTTTTAGCAACACCTGGAGACATTTTTTGTTGTCATGGCTGAGAGTGGGGTTTGAGGGGTGGTAGGAAGGGCAGTACTACTGACATCTACTGGGTAAAAGCCAGAGATCCTGATAAACAGTCCACAGTGCAGAGGACAGGCCACTACTTTGTCCCTCACTGACCAAGAAAGAATTATTCAATTCAAATGTCATTAAGGCCACTGCTGAGGAAACATATTCTAAGTGTTTAAGTGAAGAGATTAGAATAAAGGGTCAAATATAGCATAAATTAATAAAGATAATTATAATATCCTATATTTACTTCCCTCCAGTTACCAACTGTGTAGTAATGGGCAAGAAGCTAGAGGACCTCACTTCTGGTCACTTCCTTCCACTACAGTAAGTGCTGGAAACAATCTTCTTGCTCCAGCTATTCATTCTAAGAATGCAAACTCGTTCTCAGAGACTCACTTACCTTCTTTAAGCTTCTGTTTCTTTCTTTGTGTAAAAAGGAGATTGAACACGATGATATTTATGGAAGGCTGAAAATGGCTCCCCAAAAGATACTCACATTCTAATTTCCGGAATCTTATTTGGAAAAAGAGTCATTGCAGATGTGATTGTGATGAATATTGGTGTAGATATCACCCTAGATCATCTGTATGAGTCTTAAATGTCATCTCACATATCCTATTAAGAGAGAGGCAGAGAGCAATTACACACAGGGAGAAGAGAAGGCAATGTAAACATACAGGCAGAGATTGGAGTGACTTGCTCTCACAAGTCAAAGAATGCTAACAGCCACCAGAAGCAAGAAACAGATTCTCCCCTGGAACCTCTGGAAGGATCACAGTTATGTCGATGCCCTGCTTTCAGCCCAGTAATATTAAATTCAGACTTCTGGCCTTCAGAACTGTGAGGAAAAACATTTATGTTATTTTAACCCTCCAAGTCTGTGGTAATTTGTTGTAGCAGCCATAGAAGACTAACACAGATTTTGGTGCCAGAAGTGGGATGTTGCTATAACAAATACCTAAAAATAAGGAAATGGCTTTGGAATTAGATACTGCATAGTAACTGGAAGCATTCTGAGGCATGTAGTAAGCTGAAGAAAATGGGCTTCCAAAGATATATTCACTTTCAAATTTTTAGGACATGCAAATATTACCTTATATGAAAATCACTGTGATTAAATTAAATATCTGGAAAGGAGGTGTTATTTAGGATTACCTGGGTGGATTGTAAATGCAATCACATGTATCCTTATAAGAGACAGACAGAGTTTTAGGTCAGACAAACACACAAGAAAGCAATGTAAGGACAGAATAGAGAGACAGATAGCACCAGCCAAGTTTACAGCCCCTAGAAGCTGGAAGAGGCAAACAATAAATTCTACACTGGAGCTTCTGGAGGGAGTGTGGCCCTGCCTACCACCTTGATTTTTGATTTCGGACACATGGAACTGTGAAAGAATAAATTTCTGTTGTTTTAAGTTACCAAATTTATAGTAGTTTTTAGTACAGCCACAGGAAACTAACACTGATTTTGGTACAAGGAGTGAGATGCTGCTACAACAAACACCTAGAAGTGTGGAAGTGGCTTTGGGACTGAATAACGGGTGAAGACTGGAAAATTCTTGAGTTGCATGATAGCCAAAGCCTAGATTGCCTTGAACAGACTATTGGTAGAAATACAGATAGAGATATTCCTGGTGAGGGCTCAGAAGGAAATAAGCACAGTATAGAAAGCATTTATCATCTTAGAAAATACATGTGTTATCATAAACAAAGTGTTTGTGAAAATATGAATTTAAAGGTGATTCTGATGAGGGCTCAGAAAGAATGAGAAATATATCCTTGGAAATGGGAAGGGGGTGATCCTTGTTCTATAGGGGCACACATTTGGCTGTATTGTGTCCTACAGTTATGTAGAAAGCAGAACACGTAGGTGATGAACTTCTCTATTTAGCAGATTAGATTTCCAAAGTGTTAAAGGTGTGGCTTGATATTTTTTTCTTGCTGCCTATAGCAAAATTCAAGAGAAAAGAGATAAATCAAGGACCTGTTATTCAAAACAGAGTCAGGATTCAGTGATTTGGGAAATTCTCAGTCTATCCAGATTGCAAAGGATGCAAAAATTAGTAGATTGGCTGTTAGGAAAGCATGCTCTGGCGATAAGGCCAAGGGTGAGAGTGGACAACACGTAATAAAGAGATTCAGCAAGTGATTCATACATCTACTCAACCATCTCAGCAGAAGTCAAGAATAGAGATAGAATTATCCAGGAAAGATCTGCAGGAAACCCTCTGGTCTAATAGTGGGAATCCACATGGCATATATGGGAGAAGGTTTTGGAAATGTTACACCAGCAGAAGCACTGTTAGCATGAACTGAAGGAGACAGAGACAAGATAAACTGAAAGAAGGTTATCAGACTCCCAGAATTTTACAGGCAGGAAATAAGCAGATAAAACCACTGCAAACATGTGCTCTCAGTTAATAAAAAGGAATGATTTCCCCCAAGGACAGAGCTAGACCTGGAGCTTCAGAGCCAGAGGCCAGAGCCACAGGCACAAAGGCAGAGGATGGAGCCGTGGTCCTACAGGGCAGAGCCTCAAGTCGCAGAGGATTGTTCTCATGCCTTATTTTGAATTATCTTGGGATGGTGGTCCCTTTATTCCTTCTATTTTCTCCATTTTGGAATGGAAATATCTGTAACTGTTATCCTATACCTGTCTCATCTTCATATTTTGGAAGCAGATAACTTATTTTCTAATTTCACAGGTAGGTCCACAAACGGAGAGGAAATTTTTCCTGGAATCTTGAGAAACTTACCCTAAATTATCCAGGTGGCCTCTAAATGCAATTATGTGTATCCTTATAAGAGAGAGGCAGAGGAAGATTGGGGACAGACCCACACACACAGAGGTGAAAGCCATGTGAAGATGCAGCAGAAAGAGATGCAGCCACAAGCCAGGAAACGCCAACAGCCACCAGAAGCTAGAAGAGGCCAGGAACAGGTTCTCCTCTAGAGCCTAGAGAGGGAGTACATCCCTGAGATTGTTGGCCTCCAGAACTGTAATGGAATAAGTTTCTATTCTTTTAAGTCACTGAGTTTGTGTTAGTTTGTTACAGCAGCTACAGGAAACTAATATGGTATTCTACAATTCTAAAAATAAATTCAGGAGCTGTGATGTAATGACAGCAGGCACATAAATAACCTAGGTCTTCAAGTGATGGCAAATTCAGAGTAATATGGCTGTAACACGTACAATGTCACCTTAGAACTTCCTTAATAGAAGATGAGAGTACAGAATAAGGAAGCCAGTGTCCTGTTTTTCTCTACAGTGTTCAGACAATATTATGCCCAGCTCTCTGTACTACAGCTTTAAAAGGCATTGACATATTGAAATATGTTTAAAGAAAGGAAGGTATCACAAGGAGAGTGAAATCATGCATATGACAAAGAATTGAAGAAAAGAAGTAGAGGTGTCTAGTGCTTATTCTGAAAAATGTCCTTGAAGCACAGAATATGGCAGCTGCCCTCAAACTACTCAGAAACCTGTCTTGTGGAAGAGGGAAAAGATGATCTCATTCTCTTTGGCTCTAAGATCAGGACCTAAATTTAAGGAGAAGTTATAGGGAGGCCAATTTAGACTCCAAAGCCTCAAATTTTGATTGATCTGCTTCAGTGGTGCTAGATTGTCCGGAATCTGAGGGATCCACAAGCTGAAATGATTGCCTACTGGGGGATATTGTCTGAAAGATTCATGCATAAGTTGGACGAGGATGCCCCAGGGATCCATTCAAATATGATTCTGTAATTCTACTGTTATTGGTAGGAGAGGAGTAGGTCAAGTTTCTATCCCACAACATTTGAAGATGTGTTCCTTTATTGCTTAGCCTCCTCTTTTCCAGAACCACAACCCCTCCCCAAAAAAATACACAGCTTCTTTTACCCTTACTGCTAGTGTTATTATCCAACATTAAAGCACTCTTGACTTTCTGTGAACCGTGAAAATTCTTCATGACTTCCCCTGTTGCAGTCTAGTATAAAAAACAAGCCCTGAATCTAGGCTTGACTAATTATAAGCAGAACTACATAATGGCAGCCTACATTCTATTCCTACTGAAGTATCCACTGACACAAACCCACACTCCCTTTTCTAAAATCATGAACTGCTCAACCTATCCGTCTTTCCTAAGTATTTTTGAACTTCATTTTGTAAGGCTTGCTGATCCTCTCCATATGAATAAGATAAAGTTGGCAGGAATTGAACTTAGTCCTATTTGTTTCTAACCTCTAATTAAATGCTAATCCTACCCTCCAGAAAGTGGTGTCCTCAGCCAACTTACAGTGTACTTTCTCTTCCCTTTCTCATGTTCTCTAACCAACTAGATAAACAAGACAGGACCCGGGGGAGAACTCCAAACCCTCCTCTTTGGCTGTGCTTATCAAAGAGGAAAGCAACGTGGAATTCAAAGAATCAATTATTTGAGAGCTGCAATATCAAACTACTATTTTTTTCTAACATTGTAACTGCTTCTGAAATTGCAGAGTGGTCCTTATCTCCTCTCAAAGGCATGCTTTCAAAGGCATGCGTTTAAAAGCATGACCAGCCAGGCATGGTGGCTCACACCTGTAATCCCAACACTTCGGAAGGTGGATGTGGGCAGACCCCTTGAGCCCAGGAGTTCAAGACCAGCCAGGGAAACATGGCAAAACTCTGTCTCTATAATAAATACAAAAAAAAGCAGGAAGTGCTTCATCAATTACCATCTTCTGGGCATGATACATTATGCCCAAGGCTCTAAACCATGATAGGATAAATCAAATCAAATCAAATCTTGTCAGTGGTTTGTAAGTATTCCACAGGAGGCCCCAATTCTAAGATGGGTTCCCCTTTTTAGAAAGAGAGCCTTGGAAGGTATCATTAATATGTATCATCATTACCTTTTGGGTGTTTTGGTGAAATGATGGTACATTATCATTATTAATATGTATCAAATTAGCATGTTGGTTAAAACTGGCTTTTGTGACATTTTTTCCAGGACAATTGAAGTCAAAATTGGTGTTTTGGTACCCAAAGGGTAGGGGCTAAAAGGCACACTACCAGAAAATTATACCCATAATTCCATAGACTGGTATCCATTGACTCTAAAAACCTTGTCTGAGCTATTTGTGTATGCAATTTTGACTTCAATTGTCCTGGAAAAAAAGGTCACAAAATCCAATTTTAACCAGCATGCTAATTTTATTACTGAACATGCAAACAAATCAGCAAAGGTTTATTTGAGTCCATTCATAGTAATATGCAAGTGAATTCTGAAGTCAGGGCCAGATGCAGTGGCTCACGCCTGTAATCCCAGCACTTTGAGAGGCCAAGATGGGTGGATCACTTAAGGTCATGAGTTTGAGACCAACCTGGCCAACATGATGAAACCCATCTCTACTAAAAATGCAAAAAAAATTAGCTGGGTGTGGTGGTGTGGACCTGTAGTCCCAGCTACTAAGGAGGTTGAGGCATGAAAATTGCTTGAACCCAGGAGGCGGAGGTTGCAGTGAGCCGAGATCGCATCACTGCACTCCAGTCTGGCAACAGAGTGAGACTCTATCTAAAAAAAAAAGAAGAAGAAGAAGTCAGGATCTTCAAGTTAAATCTAAGCTTGCATCTAAAAATTGGAAAATAGAATTTTGTATTCTAAGGTTGTTTCTGGTTATTTTTTAATGCAGAAAAAGCAATCCACTCATTAACCAACACAAATTTACTGAAATCCCCAAAGGTACATGATCATCACTAATAAAAATAATTGAGATGCATTTTATTCATATAAAAATACCATGTAAATGCTGAATAATTACAAGTCATCATTTCAAATCTGATTTGAGAGACAAAGCATTTATATTTGGCAAGCGTTGTTCCTGTGCTCCTGATCACTGAGCAACCATGAAATTGACTACAAACAATAACTGACACCTTATTTACAAAAGACTTCAGGTTTTCATGTTATAACCTTTTATGCTAGCATTAACAGTTCTTATTTTGTCCACTGCATAGAGGAGCCACAAGAGGAGACATGAATCCACATAGAGGAGACATGGGCAGTGAATGGCAAAAATATGGAAACAGAAAAACCAACTTGATATCCATCTGCGTGATAAATGGCATGCTTTTAAAAGCATGACCAGCCAGGCACGGTGGCGCACACCTGTAATCCCAACACTTTGGAAGGTGGAGGTGGGCAGACCCCTTGAGCCCAGGAGTTCAAGACCAGCCAGGGCAACGTGGCGAAACTCTGTCTCTATAAAAAATACAAGAATTAGCCAGGCGTGGTGGTGTGCACCTGTAGTCCCAGCTACTCAGGAGGCAGAGGAGGGAGGATTGCTTGAGCCTGGGAAGTCAAAGCTGCAGTGAGCCATGAGCACACCACTGCACACCAGCCTGGGTGACAGAGCGAGAACTGTCTCTCAAAAAAAAGAAAAAGAATAAAAAGATGACCAACCAGTGTATTAAAGTGAGTTTACTATGCCAATGAGGTATAAACTATTTATTAGCACAGACTTTATTAAACTCCAGTCTCCCTAACAGCCAAATGTCTACATCTTTCCTTCAGAAAGCAATCCTACATTTTATCAAGCATTATGATAGTTTTCAAACTATTCTCAAAGAATCTTGAGGAGTCAGACTCAAGGCTAGAATCCTGTGTGTGTTCTTTCAGGCTCAACTACAGGCAATCACAAAGACTGCCTGGCAGGCCTCATGTGGAGAAAGCTGTGGTCCCCACATCACACTTGGTGCAGAGCCAGTGCGTGACAGTCTCTGGAGGGAGTTGCAGCTTTAGCTCACCCACCCCACCCACACTGGCCCTGCTCATACACACATCTGCACACCCAGCCTGGGCCCCTCCATTCAAAGCTTCCCTATATGTGTATGAGCAGGGTGGGGTGTAGCAGGTGGGAAGGGAGGGACTTGGTTGAGACACTGTCCAGGTGCCTCTCCTTCCCCAGAGCCCCACGTTCATAAAATGGCAGGAGCCTTTGTTTGGGGATCCCTCAGCAGTGAGACAAACCCCCTTCCCAATCTGTGCTGATCCATCTGACCCTTTCCCAGTGCCATGCCAAGGAGAAAAATGGAACACTGAGGAAGCTGGCACCCTCTTTCTCTTTCTGGCCTCGTGATAACACCATTGAAGCAAGTGAATAACGGCTTAGTTGTTACTTTCAGTTTGACTCCTTGTCCTAATTGACTGCCACAACACATGGCAGCTCTCTAACAGGTCCGAGAGTTCAGTGGAGGGACCTTAAGGATGTCATGAGGGAAGACAAAGAGGCTAGATGACAGTAGCCTTCCCACTCCCACCGAACAAACCTAATGGTTTCAACCAGAGTAGCTCTGCTTCTGTTTCATATGTTGAGGTTATGAGCAAGATTTCAACTGAGATAGGCTGTTCAAGGCTTACCATAGTTCCTAGCACATAGTAAATGCGTGTTATGACGATTATCGCAAATTTGAAAACCACTACACTAGTAGTTCTGATTTCTAGGTTCTAAATAATTGTGCCATTTTGGAAAGTAAAGATCATAGCTTAAATAGGTAGGTTGCTATTCATTGTAGATTCCTCACTCTCAAAGCAGGGTGGGCTCAACCATCACCACGCAGGGGGATATTGATAAGGGAGTCATAAAGAACATGTAGAAGCTAGAGCCTATCTTTACCAAAATCTTCTACTCAGAGAGACAAGAGAGGAAAACATGCCCTATATGGAGCCACCGATTAAGAGAGACAAGAATTCTCACTATCGTCATGGTTGCCATCACATCCTAGTAATGCGCAAGTGAACCTATATTATAAATACACATCATATGTTGTCGAGGTTAATCTTCTTTAAAAAGAAAGTCCTAAAGTATAATCCTCACTTTACAGATTAAGAAATTGAAACTTGGAGGAATCGAATAATATTTCCAAGGTCACACAGAAGGTGAATTCCCACTCCATTTTAACCAATTTGATTACAATGCTCATGTTTTTAACCCCTCCTCAATAATACCCCTCCAGTAATGTTTCTGTTTGCATAGAGTGGAATAAAATTTGTTCTATTACTTACCTTTGTACTAGATACCTTAAAAACAAGCAAATTATTTTGCCAAAGACATTATTTCATTCTTTTTATGGCTGAGTAGTATTCCATGCTATGTGTGTGTGTGTGTGTGTGTGTGTGTGTGTGTGTATATATATATATATAATTTATCCACTCGTTGGTTGATGGGAATTTAGGTTGATTCCATACCTTTGCAACTGTGAATTGTGCCATGATAAACATATGTGTGCAGGTGTCTTTTTGATATAATTAGTTATTTTCCTTTGCATAGATGCCCAGTAGTGGGATTGCTGGATTAAATGGTAGATCTACTTTTAGTTCTTTGAGAAATCTCCATACTGTTTTCCATAGAGGTTGTGCTAATTTAAATTCCCACCAGCAGCAGAGTATAAGCATTCTCTTTTCACCACATCTGTGCCAATGTCTTTTATTTTTTGACTTTTTGATAATGGACATTCTGGCTGGGGTAAGGTGTTGTCTCATTGTGGTTTTAATTTGCATTTCCTTGATGATTAGTGATGAGCATTTTCTCATATGTTTGTTGGCCATCTGTATATCTTCTTTTGAGAAATGTATGTTCATGTCCTTTGCCTACTTTTTAATGGGATTATTTGTTTGTTTTTTTCTTGCTGATTTGTTTGAGCTCCTTGTAGATTCCAGATGCTAGTCTTTTGTCAGATGCATAATTAGCAAATATTTTCTCCCATTCTGTAGGTTGTCTGTTTATTCTGTTGATAGTTTCTTTTGGTGTGAAGAAGCTCATTAGTTTAATTCAGTGCCATTTGTCAATTTTTAGTTTTGTTTTATTTGCTTGTAGGGTCTTAGTTATAAATTCTTTGCATAGGCCAATGTCTAGAAGAGTTTTTTCTAGGCTTTCTTCTAGAAATTTTCAGGTATTGATTTAAGTCTCTGATCTATGTTTAGTTTATTTTTGTGTATGGTAAGATATAGGGATCCAGTTTAATTCCCCTACATGTAGTATCCAGTTTTGCCAACACCATTTATTGAATAGGGAGTCCTTTCCCCCCACTGTATGTTTTTGTCCACTTTGTTGAAGATCAGATGGTTGTAAGTATTTGGCTTTATTTCTGGGTTTTGTTTTCTGTTCCATTGGTCTATGTATCTACTTTTATACCACTACTATGCTATTTTGGTTACTACAGGCTTGTGTTAGGTTGGTGCAAAAATAATTGAGGTTTTTGCATTGCTTTTGCAACAACCTAATAGTACAATTTGAAGTGTAATGTCTTCAGATTTATTCTTTTTGCTTAGGATTGTTTTGGCTATTGGGGTTCTTTTTTTGATTCCATATAAGTTTTAAGATTGTTTTTTCTTCTAATTCTGTGAAAAATGATGTTGGTATTTTTATAGGAATTGCATTGAATCTATAAATTGCTTTGGGCAGTTACGGCCATTTTCATGATATTGATTTTTCCAATCCATGAGCATGGGATGTATTTCCATTTGTTCGTGTCATCTATGATTTCTTTCAGCATTGTTTTGTAACTCTCCTTGTAGACATCTTTCACCTCCTTGGCTAAGTATATTCCTAGGTATTTTATTTTTTTGCAGCTATTGTAAAAGGGATTGAGGTCTTGATTTGATTCTCAGCTTGGTCATTTTGGATGTATACCAGTGCTGCTGATTTGTGTGCATTGACTTTGTAACGTGAGACTTTACTGAATTCATTTGTCAAATCTAGGAGTCTTTTGGAGAAATCTTTAGGGTTTTCTAGGTACACAATAATATCATTGGCAAACAGAGATAGTTTGACTTCCCGTTTTCCAATTTGGATACACTTTATTTATTTCTTTTGACTGATTGCTCTGCCTAGGACTTCCAGTGCTATATTGAACAGGAGCAGTGAAAGAGGATATCCTTGACTTGCTCCAGTTCTTAGGGGGGATGTTCTCAAACTTTCCCATTCAGTAGATGTTGGCCGTGGGTTTGTCATAGATGGCTTTTATTATTTTGAGTTATATTCCTTCTATGCCTCATTTGTTGAGGGGTTTTTTTTTGTTTTTTGTTTTTGTTTTTTTTTTTTTTTTTTTGAGATGCAGTCTCGCTCTGTTGCCCAGGCTGGAGTGCAGTGGTGCGATCTTGGCTCACTGCAAGCTCCACCTCCCGTGCTCATGCCATTCTCCCGCCTCAGCCTTCTGAGTAGCTGGGACTACAGGCTCCCACCACCACGCCTGGCTAATTTTTTGTATTTTTAGTAGAGTTGGGGTTTCGTCATGTTAGCCAGGATGGTCTCGATCTCCTGACCTCGTGATCCACCTGCCTCAGCCTCCCAAAGTGCTGGGATTACAGGCGTGGGCCACCGCACCCGGCCTTGTTGAGGGTTTTTATCATACAGCGATGCTGGATTTTTTTGAATGTTTTTCCTGTGTCTAATGAGATGATCATATGGTTTTAGGTTTTTATTCTGTTTATGTGATGTATCATATTTATTGACTTGCATATGTTAAACCATCCCTAGGATGAAACCCACTTGATCATGGTGAATTATCTTTTTGATGTGCTGTTGCATTTGTTTTGCTAGTATTTTGTTGAAGATTTTGGCATCTATGTTCATCAAGGATATTAGTCTGTAATTTTCTTTTTTATGTCCTTTCCTGGTTGTGCTTTCAGAGAGACCCTGGCCTATAGAATGAGTTATAGAGGATTCCTTCTTTCTCAATCTTTTGGAATAGTTTCAGTAGGATTAGTACCAATTCTTATTTGAATATCTGGTAGAATTCCACTGAGAATCCATCTGGCCCTGGGCTTTTACTGTTGTTTGGCAACTTTTTTTTATTACAAATCAGCAGCAGTGCTATACACCAGATTTTTTATTACAATATCACTGCTTGTTATTGGTCTGTTCAAGGTTTCTATGTCTTCCTGATTCAAGCTAGGAGGGTTTTATGTTTCTAGGAATTTCTCCATTTCCTCTAGATTTTCTAGTTTGTGTGCACAGAAGCGTTCATAGTAGTCTCAAATTACCTTTTGTATTTCTGTGGTTTGGTTGTAACGTCTCCATTTTCATTCCTAATTAAGCTTATCGGAATCTTCTCTCTTCTTTTCTTGGTTAATCTGGCTAATGGTCTGTTGATTTGGTTTACCTTTTCAAAGAACCAATATTTTGTTCCATTCATCTTTTGTATTGTTTTTTGCTGTTTTAATTTCATTTAGTTCTGATCTGATGTTTGTTATTTCTTTTCTTCTGTTAGCTTTGGGCTTGCTTTGTTCTTACTTCTCTAGTTCCTTGAGGCGAAATGTTAGGTTGTCAATTAGTGATCTTTCAGACTTTTTGATGTAGGCATTTAGTACTATAAACTTTCCTCTTAGCACTGCTTTTGCCGTATCCAAGATTTTGATAACTTGTGTCACTACTACTCATTCTGAATAATTTTTCAATTTCCATCTTGATTTCATTGATAACCCCAAAATCATTCAGGAACATATTGTTTAATTTCCAGGTATTTATATAGTTTTGAGGGTCCTTTTGGAGTTGATTTCTAGTTTTATTCCACTGTGGTTGAAAAGATGTTTGATATTATTTCGATTTTTCTAATGTATTGAGACTTGTTTTGTGACTTATCACATGGTCTATCCTGGAGAATGTTCCATGTGCTGATGAAAAGAATGTATATTCTGCAGTTCTTGAGTAGAATGTTCTATAAATAACTATAGGTCCATTTGCTCTAGAGTGCAGTTTAAGTCAAGTGTTTCTTTGTTGACTTTCTGCCTCGGTAATCTGTCAAGTACTTTCAGAGGAGTTGAAGTCCCCCACTATTATTGTGTTACTGTTTATCTTTTTACTTAGGTCTAGTAGCAATTGTTTATGAATCTGGGAGCTCCAGAGTTAGGGTTAAATATTTAGGATTGTAGTATCTTCTTATTGGATTAATCCATTTATTATTATATAATTACCATCTTTGCCTTTTTCAACTATTGTTGCTTTAAAGTCTGTGTTATCCAATATAAGAATAGCTACTGCTGCTCACTTTTGGAAACTGCCAACAAAGGAATATTCCCAAACAGTCAAAGCAAATTAGCCATCATTTGCTCAGATACATACACACACACACACACACACACACACAAAAACCCTAAGAACCTAACAAAATTTTCAACTTTTCACTGGCCTAATTCATACTTAATTTCTTTTTAACTCTTCCATCTAACAGTCTTCTCTCCTAGAGTGAAAAATTAAGATGAATGCAAATATCATCAGCAAACAGTAGAAGGATTGATTTGAATTTTTCCTTAATTCCTGTGATTGCTTTCAATTGAGCTATCCACCCTCTTCCCTGTTCTGTAATCAAAAATCAAGTCTCCTAGTGTGACAATAAAATACCTAGTTGTTAAACTGACCCATGTGGGATTTCAACACTTTACTATTTTTCTTTACCTATGTTTTAATTCACAGTTAAGATTAAAATCTCATAATGTGTTGCACATGACTTCACCCGTTCTGGTCCCATCAGCACCCCCACAACCTTCAAACCTCCACTCTCACGCCCAGCTACTAGATGCAAGGCATATGTTTGAGATGGGAATGTAAACCTGAAACGGCAAAACACCTTAGAATTAACCCAGCGCCCAGCCCTTTCTCACTTGAGTTAATTTGCATCCATGAACAATTAAGCCAACAAGGTATATTTTTTTGTTTACATGAGCATCCTGGCTATTGCAAGTAAGTTCTGCATCATAGTTAACCACTTCCCGGAAAGTAAATTTCTCCCTCAACTTCTCTGTGACTTTCACGGCCAGTTACAAGAACCCTAACTAGATGATAATCCATTCACCAAAAGTCAGTGAATTGTCACTGTAAGTGGTATAAATGGCAAGTTTGCAATCTACTAGGATAGGTGTCATGCAGTCTCCACACTTAACCAAAATATAGATGCTCTGTGCTAGTCAGGGGCATGGCTGACTCACTGCGTGGAGGATGCAGATGAGTCACTTGTGAAATCCAAAATATCACCAATGCAAATGACTCTGTCTAGTGATGTTTTTCCAATCTGCCAACTCAGTTATAACACTGGGAGTATTGCCGATTTCCTGTGTGGCTCTGTTTTCCTGCCTGAAAACAATAAAAATATCCAAGTCATTTCTAGGCAGACTGACCTGGGTCTTTTTTAATGTTACTCCAAGACCATAAACGGAAAGAACTTTAAGAAAAGGGGTGCTACTCTAGTTCTTAGGACTATAAAAGTTGTTGTTTCTCATGATCTTTACATAAGCATATGACTTCCTAAAGAGTTTAATCAAAAAAAAAAAAAAAGAAAAAAAAAGGCCGGGTGCAGTGGCTGACACCTGTAATCCCAGCACTTTGGGAGGCCGAGATGGGTGGATCACGAGGTCAGGAGATCGAGACCATCCTGGCTAACACGGTGAAACCCCATCTCTATTAAAAATACAAAAAATTAGCCGGGCGTGTTGGCGGGCGCCTGTAGTCCCAGCTACTCTGGAGGCTGAGGCAGGAGAATGGCGTGAACCCGGGAGGCAGAGCTTGCAGTGAGCCGAGATCACGCCACTGCACTCCAGCCTGGGCGACAGAGTGAGACTCCATCTCAAAAAAAAAAAAAAAAAAACCTAAATGGGCAATTTGCTTTCTTATATTTTTAAAACAGTCAAAATAATATTTCTGTATCCTAAAGATTCTAAACAAGCCAGGCAGACTCTCCAGGGTCCTTTATTTTAAAGGAGGACATAGTGGACTAGGGTTCATCTTGACAATAAGTTCTAGTTAACAGTCCTCTTGCCTACCTTCGGAATAAACTTGTTCTTCTGACTTAACTTTGCCAAAATAAACACAGACATATGGAACTCATTCCTGATGCTTTATTGGCAGGCTACCATGTTTCCCTCCTTAGAGAAAGTCAGAGCAGGGATAGGTGTCCTCAACCTTCATCCTCTAAGAAAAGCGTAAGAGTGAGGCAGTTCAGTTACAAAAGTGTAATTAATGTCATTAAACTACTGTTGGGAAAATGATTATGCCTTGAATTTAGAGGTGACCTCCCTGTAGGGATTTGCAAAGGAAAAATCCTCACCCTCACATTGTCTTACTCATCCTGACAGCACCTCCTGTGAGGCAGGGAGACAATCTGCTTTGCTCTATGTGGCCTCTCCAGGAAAGCACACACATTTAATTTACCATGCTCAGATGCTTCTCCTAGAGGTCCTGTCTTCTTCCTCCCTCCCTGGGATGTACGCAGGGCCAGTTTTATGACCATATGACCTGTATAGCTACACAGGGTTCCACATTTAGAAGGGCCCCATGCTTGGTTTCATTCTCTGATGTCACTCCCTTGAAACTCTTCATAATTTTTGAACAAGTGGTCACGCATTTTTATTTTACACTGTACCCTACAAACTAGATAACCAACCAGCCCTAGATACAGATTTATTGAGCTGAACGTGGAATGTGAATGAGGAAGCATTATACCAAGCAGACTGTACCTTGTCATCTCTGCAGGAATTGTGTACCCCAGAGGTGTAGTAGTCATTAGAGCTGTTCACCAAATATTTTGGGTTCTCCTTCCAGACACAGGTAAGTTTGAACTAAAACTTGTTTTGGTCTCTAAAATGAAGAAGAAATGATTATGTCACCTCTGAGCAAAAAGTTTCAAAGCCAGTACTCCATTTGCCACATTCTCTTTCTCCTGCCTTGGCAGTCAAAAGACAGAGCCCCCAGACAACCTGTAACCAAAATGTTCTGTGAACAAGAAATAGACCCTGGTGATTTTAAGCCACTGAGATTGTAGGGCTCTTTTGTCCTCTAACTTAGCCCATCCTGATGGGTACACAGGGTTATAAACTCAGATTCCAGAGCATTCTTTGAGATGCTTAAACACTCATGCAGGAAGCTGTGAAGAAGCAGCAAAGCAAATGGCAATATCAGCTCTGGGAATGGGGAAGAAGGCTTCTACACAAAGATATGAGGGCATTAGAAGAAGCCTAGTGACCATTGTATAACTTGTTTAGTCTAATTATTCACCACCGAACCACAGAAAATATGGCATTAGCACAGTGCATATGCAATGGTCTCAACAGCAAATAAATCTGTATCAGAGAAAAAACATTGATTAAATTTGTATATCCTTCCATCCCTGCCATTTTGTTTCTCAAATACTCAGCAAGCACACATTGCTTCTTTTAAGAGATAAAAAGGGGGGGCGAGATAAAAATGACAGTAAAGACCCCAAGAAACATTATCAGTTCTCCGGAGGTTGACTAGTGAAGTTCAGCAGACATGCAATATTTTAATAAAATGTTTGGTAAGCTTGGGAGATGTAACAGCTTAAAATAAAAATTCAACCTATCTTATAATTGTCTCTCTCATAAGCAAGAAATCAAGGTCAATGTGAATTTACAGTAGCCCCTGGAACAGCTCTGTTAAGAAGGGTCTCATCCTGCCTGCAAGTTGGAACAGCTGCTGTGTTCTTTTATTCATGACCAAATGTTTCCAGAATGATTAAACTGGCATTGTAAATGTGCGGCCTATATCAGCTGAGTGACAAGGATTAAGTGAGATTCAGATTAAAATGCTAAGTGAGTTTGTACCAAGATCAAGCCAGATATATAGTTAACACTAAGAAAATACATGCCAAAGAAAAAGTATAAAACAACCACCTAGAGGAAACCTCAGAATAACAAACTGTAACAGAGAATGTCTTGAATGGCAAGTAAGTCAGTAGGGGCTGATTTACACTTTTGAAAGCACAATCGCTGGGCAATATTTTGGAAAAAAACACAAAGCCAAACAAACAGCTTGGCCATCATATATATTCAGAGGAGGTTTTGTTCAAAAAGAAGGTTGCAATTATAATGTCCATTTTATTGATACAATAAATGTTGATAGAGAAATTTCAGGACAAAATATAAGTTGGAAACCAAAAATTACCATAAGAACTGCTAGATTTATGACTGAAAAAAATAGGAAAATGCTTTGAGTCATGTAGAGCTTTTCTCCCCCACAAAGAAATCCACAATTGAAAGCCAAAATGAACGAAAATGTATTATTTATGAAACAACAGTTTGGACAAATAGTTACATTTGTTGCAACAAGTAGAATTTTTAAAAGCACCATTAGAAAAGAAATCTGAACCAGGCTCGGTAGCTCATGCCTGTAATCCCAGCACTTTGGGAGGCCAAAGCAGATGGATCACCTGAGGTCAGGAGTTCGAGACCAGCCTGGCCAACATGGTAAAACCCCGTTTTTACTAAAAATACAAAAATTAGCCAGGCATGGTGGAGGGCACCTGTAATCCCAGCTACTTGGGAGGCTGAGGCAGGAGAATCACTTGAACTGGGAGGCGGAGGTTGCAGTGAGCCGAGATCGTGCCACTGCACTCCAGCCTGGGCAACAGAGTGAGACTCCCTCTCAAAAAAGAAAAGAAAAGAAAAGAAATCTGTAATCACTATATACGAGTAATGTATTAAAATCTTGTGGAGTAATTAAATAGAAATAAAATCGCATAGCCTTTGATGATGACAGTGATCTGAGACACTGATTAATAAATACAATATTTGA
This sequence comes from Homo sapiens, assembly GCF_000001405.40. Classification (NCBI taxonomy): domain Eukaryota; kingdom Metazoa; phylum Chordata; class Mammalia; order Primates; family Hominidae; genus Homo; species Homo sapiens. Next base: position 24,081,970 of record NC_000006.12, read on the forward strand.
ATTGACACCCTCAAGCCTCCCTGTCGATGGTCTTCCAAACCTCTATAAATCAGCTCACGTTCCATAGGACTTAACCCCATTGATCTGCCGTTCTTTGCTGAAACTTGTGTTTTTGGATTTGCAAAGGGAACAGAAAGGGAACAATAGTTTTACATCCTTAGAATTCCCAGTAGTGGCCTTTTGCCTGTAAATTTCCCAGGTGGCTTCATGAAAACACTCCTTTCCAGACCCATTAGACACTCCAAGTTTGTCCTCCTATAGGGAGGACTTAATACCATCACTCCTAAAGCTCTCATTGAGGTCAATAGAATGATGATAACATTTTTATTTTCAGTGCCAAATAAGTATGAGGAAGTACCCAGGCTAAAGTGAGTGAGAGGCCATAGTACAGCACAGTGATTAAGAACACAGGCTCAAAGGCCAGGCACGGTGGCTCAGGCCTGTAAGCCCAGAACTTTGGGAGGCAAAGGCAGGCAGATCACCTAAGGTTGGGAGTTCGAGACCAGCCTGACCGACATGAAGAAACAGCACCTCTACTGAAAATACAAAATTAGCTAGGCGTGGTGGTGCATGCCTGAACTCCCAGCCACTCAGGAGGCTGAGGCGGGAGAATCGCTTGAACCTGGGAGGAGGAGGTTGTGGTGAGCTGAGATTGCACTCCAGCCTGGGCAACAAGAGAAAAACTCTGTCTCAAAAAACAAACAAACAAACAAACAAACATGGGCTCGGAATCCAGCCAGCCAGCAATCTCAAATCTGCCTACAGCTCTCATTTTCACATATGTAGCTTGTGGATGGTAATACTACATGACACATCATGAACCAAATAATCCTTGTTCACCACTTACAAAGTATCTTGCACATAGAAAGTTAGGAATAGGAGCCAAGATGGCCGAACAGGAACAGCTCCGGTCTACAGCTCCCAGCATGAGTGACACAGAAGACGGGTGATTTCTGCACTTCCATCTGAGGTACCAGGTTCATCTCACTAGGGAGTGCCAGACAGTGGGCACAGGACAGTGGGTGCAGCGCACCGTGCACGAGCCGAAGCAGGGCAAGGCATTGCCTCACTCGGGAAGTGCGAGGGGTCAGGGAGTTCCCTTTCCTAGTCAAAGAAAGGGGTGACAGACAGCACCTGGATAATCGGGTCACTCCCATCCCAATACTGCGCTTTTCTGACGGGCTTAAAAAACGGCACACCAGGAGATTATATCCCGCACCTGGCTCCGAGGGTCCTAGGCCCACGGAGTCTCGCTGATTGCTAGCACAGCAGTCTGAGATCAAACTGCAAGGTGGCAGAGAGGCTGGGGGAGGGGTGCCCGCCATTGCCCAGGCTTGCTTAGGTAAACAAAGCAGCCAGGAAGCTCGAACTGGGTGGAGCCCACCACAGCTCAAGGAGGCCTGCCTGCTTCTGTAGGCTCCACCTCTGGGGGCAGGGCACAGACAAACAAAAAGACAGCAGTAACCTCTGCAGACTTAAATGTCCCCGTCTGACAGCTTTGAAGAGAGCAGTGGTTCTCCCAGCACTCAGCTGGAGATCTGAGAACGGGCAGACTGCCTCCTCAAGTGGGTGCCTGACCCCTGACCCCTGAGCAGCCTAACTGGGAGGCACCCCGTAGCAGGGGCAGACTGATACCTCACACGGCCAGGTACTCCTCTGAGACAAAACTTCCAGAGGAACGATCAGACAGCAGTATTTGCCGTTCACGAAAATCCGCTGATCTGCAGCCACCGCTGCTGGTACCCAGGCAAACAGGGTCTGGAGTGGACCTCTAGCAAACTCCAACAGACCTGCAGCTGAGGGTCCTGTCTGTTAGAAGGAAAACTAACAAACAGAAAGGACAGCCACACCAAAAACCCATCTGTACATCACCATCATCAAAGACCAAAAGTAGATAAAACCACAAAGATCGGGAAAAACCAGAGCAGAAAAACTGGAAACTCTAAAAAGCAGAGCGCCTCTCCTCCTCCAAAGGAACGCAGCTCCTCACCAGCAATGGAACAAAGCTGGATGGAGAATGACTTTGACAAGTTGAGAGAAGAAGGCTTCAGATGATCAAACTACTCTGAGCTACAGGAGGAAATTCAAACCAAAGGCAAAGAAGTTGAAAACTTTGAAAAAAATTCAGATGAATGTATTACTAGAATAACCAATACAGAGAAGTGCTTAAAGGAGCTGATGGAGCTGAAAGCCAAGGCTCGAGAACTATGTGAAGAATGCAGAAGCCTCAGGAGCCGATGCGATCAACTGGAAGAAAGGGTATCAGTGATGGAAGATGAAATGAATGAAATGAAGCGAGAAGGGAAGTTTAGAGAAAAGAGAATAAAAAGAAATGAACAAAGCCTCCAAGAAATATGGGACTATGTGAAAAGACCAAATCTGCGTCTGATTGGTGTACCTGAATGTGACGGGGAGAATGGAACCAAGTTGGAAAACACTCTGCAGGATATTATCCAAGAGAACTTCCCCAATCTAGCAAGGCAGGCCAACATTCAGATTCAGGAAATACAGAGAACGCCACAAAGATACTCCTCGAGAAGAGCAACTCCAAGACACATAATTGTCAGATTCACCAAAGTTGAAATGAAGGAAAAAATGTTAAGGGCAGCCAGAGAGAAAGGTCGGGTTCCCCACAAAGGGAAGCCCATCAGACTAACAGCAGATCTCTCGGCAGAAACTCTACAAGCCAGAAGAGAGTGGGGGCCAATATTCAACATTCTTAAAGAAAAGAATTTTCAACCCAGAATTTCATATCCAGCCAAACTAAGCTTCATAAGTGAAGGAGAAATAAAATCCTTTACAGACAAGCAAATGCTGAGAGATTTTGTCACCATCAGGCCTGCCCTAAAAGAGCTCCTGAAGGAAGCACTAAATGTGGAAAGGAACAACTGATACCAGCCACTGAAAAATCATGCCAAATGGTAAAGACCATCGATGCTAGGAAGAAACTGCATCAACTAATGAGCAAAATAACCAGCTAACATCATAATGACAGGATCAAAGTCACACATAACAATATTAACTTTAAATGTAAATGGACTAAATGCTCCAATTAAAAGACACAGACTGGCAAATTGGATAAAGAGTCAAGACCCATCAGTGTGCTGTATTCAGGAGACCCATCTCACGTGCAGAGACACACATAGGCTCAAAATAAAGGGATGGAGGAAGATCTACCAAGCAAATGGAAAACAAAAAAAGGCAGGGGTTGCAATCCTAGTCTCTGATAAAACAGACTTTAAACCAACAAAGATCAAAAGAGATAAAGAAGGCCATTACATAATGGTAAAGGGATCAATTCAACAAGAAGAGCTAACTATCCTAAATATATATGCACCCAATACAGGAGCACCCAGATTCATAAAGCAAGTCCTGAGTGACCTACAAAGAGACTTAGACTCCCACACATTAATAATGGGAGACTTTAACACCCCACTGTCAACATTAGACAGATCAACGAGACAGAAAGTTAACAAGGATATCCAGGAATTGAACTCAGCTCTGCACCAAGCAGACCTAATAGACATCTACAGAACTCTCCACCCCAAATCAACAGAATATACATTCTTTTCAGCACCATACCACACCTATTCCAAAATTGACCACATAGTTGGAAGTAAAGCTCTCCTCAGCAAATGTAAAAGATCAGAAATTATAACAAACTATCTCTCAGACCACAGTGCAATCAAACTAGAACTCAGGATTAAGAAACTCACTCAAAACCACTCAGCTACATGGAAACTGAACAACCTGCTCCTGAATGACTACTGGGTACATAACAAAATGAAGGCAGAAATGAAGATGTTCTTTGAAACCAACGAGAACAAAGACACAACATATCAGAATCTCTGGGACACATTCAAAGCAGTGTGTAGAGGGAAATTTATAGCACTGAATGCCCAACAAGAGAAAGCAGGAAAGATCCAAAATTGACACCCTAACATCACAATTAAAAGAACTAGAAAAGCAAGAGCAAACGCATTCAAAAGCTGGCAGAAGGCAAGAAATAACTAAAATCAGAGCAGAACTGAAGGAAATAGAGACACAAAAAACCCTTCAAAAAATTAATGAATCCAGGAGCTGTTTTTTTGAAAGGATCAACAAAATTGATAGACCACTAGCAAGACTAATAAAGAAGAAAAAAAGAGAAGAATCAAATAGACACAATAAAAAATGATAAAGGGGATATCACCACCGATCCCACATAAATACAAACTACCATCAGAGAATACTACAAACACCTCTATGCAAATAAACTAGAAAATCTAGAAGAAATGGATAAATTCCTCGACACATACACCCTCCCAGGACTAAACCAGGAAGAAGTTGAATCTCTGAATAGACCAATAACAGGCTCTGAAATTGTGGCAATAATCAATAGCTTACCAACCAAAAAGAGTCCAGGACCAGATGGATTCACAGCCAAATTCTACCAGAGGTACAAGGAGGAACTGGTACCATTCCTTCTGAAACTATTCCCATCAATAGAAAAAGAGGGAATCCTCCCTAACTCATTTTATGAGGCCAGCATCATCCTGATACCAAAGCCGGGCAGAGACACAACCAAAAAAGAGAATTTTAGACCAATATCCTTGATGAACATTCATGCAAAAATCCTCAATAAAATACTGGCAAACCAAATCCAGCAGCACATCAAAAAGCTTATCCAGCATGATCAAGTGGGCTTCATCCCTGGGTTGCAAGGCTGGTTCAATATACGCAAATCAATAAATTTAATCCAGCATATAAACAGAACCAAAGACAAAAACCACATGATTATCTCAATAGATGCAGAAAAGGCCTTTGACAAAATTCAACAACGCTTCATGCTAAAAACTCTCAATAAATTAGGTATTGATGGGACGTATCTCAAAATAATAAGAGCTATCTATGACAAACCCACAGCCAATATCATACTGAATGGGCAAAAACTGGAAGCATTCCCTTTGAAAATTGGCACAAGACATGGATGCCCTCTCTCACCACTCCTATTCAACATAGTGTTGGAAGTTCTGGCCAGGGAAATCAGGCAGGAGAAGGAAATAAAGGGTATTCAGTTAGGAAAAGAGGAAGTCAAATTGTCCGTGTTTGCAGATGACATGATTGTATATCTAGAAAACCCCATTGTCTCAGCCCAAAATCTCCTTAAGCTGATAAGCAACTTCAGCAAAGTCTCAGGATACAAAATCAATGTACAAAAATCACAAGCATTCTTATACACCAATAACAGACAAACAGAGAGCCAAATCATGAGTGAACTCCCATTCACAATTACTTCAAAGAGAATAAAATACCTAGGAATCCAACTTACAAGGGACGTGAAGGACATCTTCAAGGAGAAGTACAAACCACTGCTCAATGAAATAAAAGAGGACACAAACAAATGGAAGAACATTCCATGCTCATGGGTAGGAAGAATCAATATCATGAAAATGGCCATACTGCCCAAGGTAATTTACAGATTCAATGCCATCCCCATCAAGCTACCAATGACTTTCTTCACAGAATTGGAAAAAACTACTTTAAAGTTCGTATGGAACCAAAAAAGAGCCCGCATCGCCAAGTCAATCCTAAGCCAAAAGAACAAAGCTGGAGGCATCACGCTACCTGACTTCAAACGATACTACAAGGCTACAGTAACCAAAACAGCATGGTACTGGTACCAAAACAGAGATATAGATCAATGGAACAGAACAGAACCCTCAGAAATAACGCCGCATATCTACAACTATCTGATCTTTGACAAACCTGAGAAAAACAAGCAATGGGGAAAGGATTCCCTATTTAATAAATGGTGCTGGGAAAACTGGCTAGCCATATGTAGAAAGCTGAAAGTGAATCCCTTCCTTACACCTTATACAAAAATTAATTCAAGATGGATTAAAGACTTAAACGTTAGACCTGAAACCATAAAAACCCTAAAAGAAAACCTAGGCATTACCATTCAGGACATAGGCATGGGCAAGGACTTCATGTCTAAAACACCAAAAGCAATGGCAACAAAAGACAAAATTGACAAATGGGATCTAAATAAACTAAAGAGCTTCTGCACAGCAAAAGAAACTACCATCAGAATGAACAGGCAACCTACAAAATGGGAGAAAATTTTCACAACCTACTCATCTGACAAAGGGCTAATATCCAGAATCTACAATGAACTCAAACAAATTTACAAGAAAAAAACAAACAACCCCATCAAAAAGTGGGCGAAGGACATGAACAGACACTTCTCAAAAGAAGACATTTATGCAGCCAAAAAACACATGAAAAAATGCTCACCATCACTGGCCATCAGAAAAATGCAAATCAAAACCACAATGAGATACCATCTCATACCAGTTAGAATGGCGATCATTAAAAAGTCAGGAAACAACAGGTGCTGGAGAGGATGTGGAGAAATAGGAACACTTTTACACTGTTGGTGGGACTGTAAACTAGTTCAACCACTGTGGAAGTCAGTGTGGCGATTCCTCAGGGATCTAGAACTACAAATACCATTTGACCCAGCCATCCCATTACTGGCTATATACCCAAAGGACTATAAATCATGCTGCTATAAAGACACATGCACACATATGTTTATTGTGGCACTATTCACAATAGCAAAGACTTGGAACCAACCCAAATGTCCAACAATGATAGACTGGATTAAGAAAATGTGGCACATATACACCATGGAATATATGCAGCCATGAAAAATGATGAGTTCATGTCCTTTGTAGGGACATGGATGAAATTGGAAATCATCATTCTCAGTAAACTATTGCAAGAACAAAAAACCAAACACCGCATATTCTCACTCATAGGTGGGAATTGAACAATGAGAACACATGGACACAAGAAGGGGAACATCACACTCTGGGGACTGTTGTGGGGTGGGGGGAGGAGGGAGGGATAGCTTTAGGAGATATACCTAATGCTAAATGACGAGTTACTGGGTGCAGCACACCAGCATGGCACATGTATACATATGTAACAAACCTGCACATTGTGCACATGTACCCTAAAACTTAAAGTATAATAATAATAAAATAAAAAATAAAAAACCAACACAATTATCTTAATAAAACCTCCAAACCCACTGTAGATTAATAAGAGCACAACCAATTCATTTGACTAACTTCATTAAATTATAAGTTGTTGTACATGTCATTCTTGGCTTGTTAAAGACTCAAAAATCATTATGCAAGTAACTTTTAGTATGCCATTAGTAATATCATCCTTGCATGAAACATTAAATGTTGATTAAATGCTGCTGAGGCAAGAGGTTGAAAAAAGTAACAGCAAATAAATGCATTTTTATAAATGAAAAATATCCTACATCACATTAAAGAAAGAAACAAGGGAGCTTATGTAGATGTATTAGAAAAGTTGCAGCTTTGAAAAACCTGTAAAAAGAAAATGCTAAACTTCTGTAGGAGAGGCTAAGATCTGATAATTATCTTGACAAGTAGACCAATTCTACTACAAATAGATTTATAGATTTAAGTTTTGGTTATCAACAGTCAGAACTTTTTGTCTTTTGCTTTACCAAAATCAGTTGAAATATTATTCAAAATATTACATAGGTTACAAAAAGGTAGATATAAAAATTAATAGTATTCAAAATTGTATTATTTCATATGAAACTTCATCAATAAATTTACAAAGCTTTACTAAAAAAAAGGAATATATGGTTGCCATTATGATTATAGTAAATTCTCCCTCTTCTGGGAAAAATTTAGAGACACCCTTAACCTTTTGACTTTGTTCACCCTCTTACAAGAGTCACAGATTTCTGCTTGTGTGCTACAGATACTGATGCTGTCAAGGAGGTGAACAGATGCAGTGTCCCAAAATTGGACAGAAAAATAAAATACAGACTGTTGAAGAAAGGTCAGGAAGAGGCAGCTGCACAGGAAGAGTAAGCAGAAAACAACATTCAAGGTCCAACCCCTGATGAGGTGCTAAGTGACTGGTGAGAGTAATTCCTGCTGTAATCCAGTTAACATTTAGCACCTAATTATCACTTCTCAGTGGAGTCCAGACTAGATAATTGTGAACTGCAACCTCCGAGCTGCACGAGAAATGTATGATGCTACTAAGCCATGGATTCAATCATTTAGCAGGTACTGCTATCTAGAAGTAAGTAGAAAGACATGTAGAATATTACTCTGGTTAACCAGTGAAGGGTCATCTTTTTTTCTGGATCTGGACTGCAGTTCAGTGGATTTTAGCCCAACAAGAAGTGAATGACTTAATCCAAGATTTCCTTCTATATTCCCTCTTGTACTAGCAGTCAGGGACTCTAGAAAATTCAGTGTGAGACTCCAAACCTCAAGTCCCTTCATATAGGGTACAAAGCAATGCTAGCAATTCATCACTTTTGTTTTGTTTTTGCTTTTGTTTTTCAGGAAAGATGACAAACTTCCTCATCCTTCCAGTCTTCCAAAATACATTTTCTTAATATCTAAATGGGGTAACTGCCTGGGATAGAATAATGACTAAAACATAGGTCCCAGGCCTGAGAAGCTCATAGTCTAATATAAGAGACTAATGGAGAAGCCAGAGATTTTCTATTTATGTAATAAAGTCATGGGGGGAGGTAGAAGTTTGTAGTAGCACACAAAACAGGGCAACTAAATCTGCCTAAAAAAGCCTTAGAAGGCTTTTCACAGAAGTAATGACATGTATGTTACATCTCAAAGATAAATAAAAGAAAAAAAGAGGAAAGGCATTCTGGGCAGATAGAAGGGTAAGAATAATAGAAAAAGGCTTAGCATGTTTGAGCAAAATAAGAAGTTTGTCATCATGTATGCTGTGGAGTAGGGGACATGGTATTGGAAAGACAGGCAGAGAATATAGCGTAAAACATAGCATGAAGAATATTATAAAATAAACCTAGGAGTTTGGATTTAATCTTGTAGGTAATGGGAACCAGTAGTGTTTTGTTTCATTGCATTTTTAAGACAGGATAGTGACATGGATTTTCATTTTTGAATGATCATTTCAAAAATTAAAGATGTAGAGATATGTATTAAGATGAAAGAGAATAGAGATAAGAAAAAGTAGGTGTAAGTAATGTGATGGAAGGGAAGAGAATGGAGATGATAAAGACCAGACAGAACATTGTCACAATGGTCTGGGAGGAAAATGTTGGGATTGTGAATCAGGACAAAGACAGTGGAGATAGAGGACAGGTCAATTTTAAAAGACTTTTTGGGGCTGGGCGCAGTGGCTCATGCCTGTAATCCCACCACTCTGGGAGGCCTAGGTGAGTGGGTTATCTGAGCTCAGAAGTTTGAGACCAGCCTGGGCAATATGACAAAACCCCATCTCTGCTAAAAAATACAAAATATTAGCCGGGCAATGGTGGCACGTGCCTGTAATCCCAGCCACTGGGGAAGCTGAGGCATGAGAATCCCTTGAGCCAGGGAGGCAGAGGCTGCAGTGAGCCGAGATGGCGCCATTGCATTGCAGCCTGGGAGACAGAGCAAGACTCTGTCTCCAAAAACAAAACAAAACAAAACAAAGACTTTTCAGAGATATAAACGAAAGATGCTTGGGAGGAGAACAAGAGTGGAATTAAGAATACGTTTGCAATAAAGAGTGGGGTAAAAGTCATGTTGTGGAGTAGGAAAGAGGTGGAAATAGAAGCCTCTCTCAAGCAGTAGTGAATGAAGGCTCTTTCCTCATCCCTGGTATAGAGGTGATACCAATCTTCAGCACTACTGCATGGAAATCCAGTCATGGAATAAGATGAAGCTAACTGGATTACCTCGGGTCACTAGCTTGGCCTCATTTGAACCACTTCAGTCAACCAGCCCCAGACCAAAAGCTTTAAACGCAAACTCATTTTCCAGGAGCACACTATTCTCAAGAAAACCAAAAAGCTATTCTTTCAAATAGCCCTGATTTAACCTCAATCCCCCAGAAAGCTGAGCCAAGGACAAAGACATATGTGCAAGAAATTGATAGAGTGGAATTCCAGGAGCAAGAGAGTAAAGCAGGGAAGAGTCAACACAAATACACATCAGCTACTGCCACCGACAGCTGGTTGCTCAGTCATCCAAGCATTGTGCCTAAACACTACACTGATTAAGAGCTTTTTTACCTCTCTGGTTCACACCCTCACTATTATTTCTTTTGACCTGTTACAATAGTTTAGTAACTAACAGTATACAAAATACATTAGGAATATGCAAAGTACTATAAAAAATTACCTGTTACTTATACTCAGATTATCACATCTTAGAGCAGGTCTTATTCTCCAGATTCAATAGAGTTGTTCTAGTTGTAGGTAGCTGTCCCTTCCTTCTTATATAGACCTCTTTTACTTTTGCATTATACTGGGTTGAACAATGTCACATCCCAAAATTTTTGTCCCCCACACTCAACTCCTCCTGCAGAACCTCAGAATGTGGCCTTATTTAGAAATAGGGTCTTTACAGATGCAGTTAGTTAAGGTGAGGTCATACTGGATTAGGCTGGGCCCTAAATCCAATGACTGGCGTCTTCATAAGAGAAAGGAGAAGGAGATTCAGAACACGGAGGAGGGAAGAAGGTGATGTAAAAATAGAGGCAGAGATTTCAGTGATATATCCACAAGCCAAGGAACACTAAGGATTGCCAGCAACCACCAGAAGCTGGGAGAGAAGCATAAGATGGTTTCTCCCTCAGAGCCTCCAGAAGGATCAATCCTGCCAACATTTTGATTTCAGACTTCTGGTATCCAGAACTGTGAGAGAATAAGTTTCTGTTCTAAGCCACTCCATTTGTGACACCCGCTTAATGCAGCCCTAGAAAGTGAACACAAGCATTGTCCTCACTGACAATTCCTTGATCAGGATATTTGAATACCTGGGTTCCTCTGCTGGATCTGCCAAATGAGAGCTCAAAGTCCACATACTCAACCAGCTAGACTGACCGAACACCACATCTGCCTCCTCCAAAAAACACAGATTGTTAACCTGTAAAACTGAACTGAATGTTTTTATGATATAATTACTCTAACCTTCAGAAAAGTTGAGGATGGATTCACAGACAATGTATAACATATACACATAAAATAATTTAGTTTGTAGGTATTTTAGAAAAAGAAAGGTTGGGAGACCAAGGCGGGCAGATCCCTTGAGGGCAGGAGTTCGAGACCAGTCTGGCCAACATGGCAAAACCCCGTCTCTACTAAAAATACAAAAGTTAGCCAGGCGCGGTGGCGCATGCCTGTAATCCTAGATACTCAGGAGGCTGAGGCAAGAGAACTGCTTGAACCCAGGAGGCAGAGGTTGCAATGAGCTGAGATCGTGCCACTGCACTCCAGTCTGGGTGGTGAGAAAGCAAGACTCTGTCAAAAAAAAAAAAAAAAAAAAGCCATTTATCTTCAGTGCTCCCAAACTAAGGTCAAGGAATTTAGCTCTATAGTGTAAAATTTCTCAATTCACACTAGTGTCCCAGAAAAGAGGGGAGAAATTAGGTTAGTGTATGAGAAAAACGAAAAGGAAGAAAAGAAGAAAAAGAGAGGAATAAAGAAACATCCTACTTCATTATTACCAAGACATACATTCTTTTACAAATTACTCTCTAGAATTGGGATGAATCATAAGGTCTTGTGATCATGAGGTAGATGTTACGCCACACTTTTATAAAACCCTCTTTTAACAATTTCTGGAAAGTTCAAGAAAACAACAGCATCAGAGCACACTGGAATTGATGAAATATGAGTAACAAAAATTAAGGGAGACAGTCTGAAGTGGTTCCACATGCTTTAGAAAAGTACTTTTATAAAAGATGAGTTGCTATTCGCACATTGTAGAGTTCCCCGGGGTTTAGGGGATAGTAAGTAACACCCTAGCCACCTGCTGAATGTAGAAACTGTCTTTTACACCCTAGAATATGCATCCTATTATCAATCATTGCAAGATTTTTTATAAGAAGCACTTTTAAAAATTTTTTTACAGTTTTGCAAAGTATGAAGAAATGACTTAGAATAATAAATTTGAAAAATGAAGGGTCTTTAAATGTTAAATTCTTGATTTTACAGACTCGTGAAATTGAAAGACAAAGAGATAGGTGACCTGCACAAAGTTGTAGTTAGAAGTATACTGAGAACTCAGTATTCCAGACAGCATGTAGCATTTTCTTTTTTTTATAATTTCAATTTTTATTTTAGACTCAGTGGGTACATGTGCAAGTTTGTCACATGGGTATACTGCATGATTATGAGGTTTGGAGTATGAATGATCCCATCACTCAGATAGTGAGCACAGTACACAATAGGTACTTTTTCAGTCCTTAAACGCCTCCCTCTCTCCTGCCTTTAATGGTTGCCAGTGTCTATTGTTTCCATATTTATGTGCACGTGTAGCCAAAGCTTAGCTCCCACTTATAAGTGAGAACATGCGAGGGCTGGGTGCAGTGGCTCACACCTGTAATCCCAACACTTTGGAAGTGTGGGGGGATCACCTGAGATCAGGAGTTCAAGACCAGCCTGGCCAACATGGTGAAACCCCATCTCTACTAAAAATACAAAAATTAGCTGGGCGTGGTGGCACACACCTGTAGTCCCGGCTACTTGGGAGGCTGAGGTGGGAGTATCACTTGGACCCTGGAGGCAGAGGTTGCAGTGAGCTGAGATTGCACCACTGCACTCCCAGCCTGGGTGAAACAGCAAGGCTGTGTCTCAAAAATAATAATAAGTGAGAACATGTGGTATGTGGATGTTTGTTCCTGCATTAATTCACTTAGGATAATGGCCACCAGCTGCATCTATGTTGCTGCAAAGGACATGATTTTGTTCTTTTTTATGGCTGCATAGTATTCCATGGTATATATGTACTAAATTTTTTTAAATACAATCCACCAGTATGAGCACCTGGGTTGATTTCATGTCTTTGCTGTTGAGAATAGTGCTGTGATGAACACATAAGTGCAAATGTCATTTTGGTAGAATAATTTGTTTTCCTTTGAGTATATACCCAGTAATAGGACTGCTGGGCCAAATGATAGATCTGTTTCAAGTTCCTTGAGAAATCTCCAAACTGCTTTCCACAGTGGCTGAACTAATTTCCATTTCCACCAACAGTGTGTAAGCATTCCCTTTTCTCCACAGCCTTGCCAGCATCTGTTATCTTTTGACTTTTTATGATAGCCATTCTGATTAATGTGAGATGTCGTCTCATGATTTTAACTTGCATTTCTCTGATAATTAGGGATGTTGAGCATTTTTTCATATATTTGTTGGCCTCTTGCATGTCTTTTTTTTTTTTTTTTTTTTTTTTTTTGAGACAGAGTCTTGCTCTGTCACCAGGCTGTAATGCAATGGCGTGATCTTGGCTCACTGCAACCTCTGCCTCCCAGGTCCAAGCGATTTTCATGCCTCAGCCTCCCAAGTAGCTGGGATCACAGGCACCTGCCACTATGCCCGGCTAACTTTTTGTATTTTTAGTAGAGATGGGGTTTTGTCATGTTGGCCAGGCTGGTCTCGAACTCCTGACCTCAGGCGATCCACCCACCTCAGCCTCCCAAAGTGCTGGGATTACAGATAAGAGCCACTATGCCTGACCTGTCTTCCTTTGATAAATGTATATTCATGTCTTTGCCTACATTTTAATGGGATTGTTTTTTCATTTTTCAACTGTTTAAGTTCCTTATAGATTCTGGATATTAGACCTTTATCAGATGCATAGTTTGTGAATATTTTCTCTCATTCTGTAGGCTGTCTGTTTACTCTGATGATAGTTTCTTTTGCTGTGCAGAAGCTCTTTAGTTTAATTAGGTCCCACTTGTCAATTTTTGTTTTTGTTTCAATTGCTTTTGAGAACTTAGTCATAAATTCTTTGCCAAGGCCAATGTCCAGAATGGTGTTTTCTAGAGTTTCTTCTAGGATTCTTATAGTTTGAGGTCTTACATTTAAATCTCTTATCCATCTTCAGTTAATTTTCGTATATGGTGAAAGGTAGGGGTCCAGTTTCATTCTTTTGCATATAGCTAACCAGCTATCCCAGCACTATTTATTGAATAGGAAGTTCTTTCCCTATTACTTATTTTTGTTGACTTTGTCAAAAATCAGATGGCTGCAAGTATGCAGCTTTATTTCTGGGTTCTCTACTCTGTTCCATCGGTCTACGTGTCTGTTTTTGTACCAGTACCATGCTGTTTTGGTTAGGATTGCTTTGGTTATTCGGGCTCTATTTTGATTCTACATGAATTTTAGAATAGTTTTTTCTAGGGCCAGGCATGGTGGCTCACGTCTGTAATCCCAGCACTTTGGGAGGCTGAGGTGGGTGGATCACGAGGTCAGGAGATCGAGACCATCCTGGTTAACATGGTGAAACCCCGTCTCTACTAAAAATACAAAAAATTAGCTGGGCGTGGTGGTGGGCGCCTGTAGTCCCAGCTACTCGGGAGGCTGAGGCAGGAGAATGGCCTGAATCCGGGAGGCGGAGCTTGCAGTGAGCAGAGATCGCGCCACTGCACTCCAGCCTGGGTGACAGAGCGACACTTCATCTCAAAAAAAAAAAAAAAAAAAAAAAGAATAGTTTTTTCTAATTCTATGAAAAATGACATTGGTAGTTTCATAGAATCGTGTTCAATGTATAGGTTGCTTTGGGTAGTATGGCCATTTTAGCAATATTTATTCTTCTAATTCATGAACATGGAATGTTTTTCTATTCGTTTGTATCATCTATGATTTCTTTTAGCGTGTTTGTAGTTCTCTTTGTAGAGATCTTCCACCTCCTCAGGTAGACGTATTCCTAGGTAGATGTATTCCTCAGGTAGATGTATTTTATTTCTCTGTGGCCCTGTCTCAAAAACAAACAAACAAAAAGCTTTCAATTCCCTTTACCTTAAGAGTTATGGAAAGTCTCTCTGAAAAATGTTCCCAAATTATTCCTGTTTTAGACACAAGCATTGATGATCTATATTAATGCAAGTGTAATATGGAATGGAGAATTTTTACAAATGGTGTCATTACCAGCCATTAATGCCATAGCTTTAATTTGTTCATTAAGTTTAGCAGCCAGTTACCTAACAGGTCATCAAAGGAGGGACACAGAAGAGGCAAGCACTGATAATGAAAGGTCTATATCACAGGTGTGCTCAGAAAAGGCAAGCACAGGTAAGCAAGCTCAGGGAGAACTGTCAGGAAAACATGAGAAGCAAAAAGAAAAACACTGCTAGAAGGGCTCGAGGAAGAATTTTTCTTTATTTAGCAAACTTGGGCTGAGACCTGATCGCTGAAATAATAAGTATTCATTTGTCTCTCCTCTATGCACACACACACAGACACACACACACACACAGAGCACTCCTACAAGTTTAGCTCCACATTGAGGAAAGAAGTAATATTCCATTCCATGATGACCATTATAGCTATTGCTATGTGGTTAATGAGTTAATATATTCAAAGCACATAGATGTGGGCCAGACACATGGTAAGTACTATGTAAATGTTAGCAATTACTCTCATTATGTCCATCCATTTTTTTCCCACAAAACACTACTGGGACTCTCTTAAATGCCTAGCACTGAGAAATCAGATATGATTCCGAATTTTGAGGATTTTGGTTAAAAACAGGTGGCAGTGTTCAAATCTATTAACCTTATGAATTAAGTGTTTTTTATTCCCATTATATTCATGAAGAATTCAAGATTCAAAGAAGTGACTTGCAAATACACCACTGATAATTAATGAAGTTTGGACTTCAAACCAGGCTGTCTAAACTGAAATCAGAGCTAAAGCTCGGAATGTAGGATGCATGATTGCCATAGCTGTAGCAGACCAGTGATTCAATGATTTGGAAAAGGAGGCACAAGAGCAAGATATAACTAACTCTGCCTGAAAAAACTTGTAAAAGCTTAGAGAGAAGGTGACACTTAAGCAGAGAAGATTCCAAAAAAAAGAGAGGGCAGGGAGGTAAAAGGGTATTTCAGCCTAAGGCTCAATGCCTTGTTTTGCTATGGGGTCAGATGAACTCTGATAGCTATTTAAACCCAATAGCCTTCCTCTCCTTGTTTGGGATAGTTGGTTTGTTCATTCAATGAGTATTTATTAAACAACTTCTTTGTATAAGACCATATTAAGCACTGATATAGATAAAAGAAAATCCCAAAATAGATTCCACCTCCAAGGATCTTCCTGAAGGAAGGAGCTGACTAGGTTAGCTCCTCTCTTAGTCCTCAGTTCTTGCAATTTGTGTGTAGTTCTCCTTTCAGCCTGGCATGGAGAGCAGGTATAAAATAGAGCATTGCAATGGGCTGAATGTTTGTGTACTTCTAAACTGCTTATGTTTCAATCCCAACACCCAGGGACTTGTATTAGAAAGTAAGACCTTTGGGAGGTAATTAGATTGTAAAGGTAGAGCCTTCACCAATGGGATTAGTGCTCTTGTAAGAAGACTTATAAGCTCCTATAAGAGAACTTGCTTCCTTTTTCTCTCTTTCCACCATACGAGGAAACAAGGACAAATCTACAACTTAGAAGAAGTTCTTCACCAGAACCCAACCATGCTAGCACCCTGATCTCTGACTTCCAGACTCCAAAACTGTAAGAAATAAATGTTCGTTTTAAGTCACCCAGTCTATGGTAATTTGTTATAGCCGCTAGAACACACTAAAACAAACATAGTGCCTGTTACTCTAGGAGTGACTATCTGATATTCCATAATAAAGGTGACAAAAGATAGTATTATTTCCAGAAGAAGCAAAAATGTATTCAGTGCCCAAGAATGACAAATTTCAAAAAGAATTAGGACTCTAGTTTAATCTAGACAAGAAATATGAAATGTTGTCCAAAAATAAGTTGGAAGAGAGCAGGATATTTCCATAGATAGCATTTATCTCGAGAAAATTCTGAGCTGGAAATACGAAGAGGTAAGCTCATGGCATATGCAGGGTAGCAGAGTCAGAACTTGAATCCAGTTGAATTCAACAAGGCAAATGTCAGTAAGCCCTCTCCTTTGAACCTGGCAAACATGGTGAGAACCTCTCATTGGTTCTGGGAGAGAAGGAAAGTGACTGAAAACTCTAAGTTGTTATTAATGCTTCTTAAAACCTATTACATTTTTTATGATTTTGTGGAACAGCATAATTAAACCACATGCAGCATGCTTTACTTGCCTCAGGGAAAGCTCACTGGATAAACAAGGTATGGTTCCTCCCTTGCAGCTTCCACTGTCAAGGTTAATAGGAAAAAAATCTAAATAAGTATTACTGTTCCTAGCAACAACAATAATAATAACAGTGGCAAACAATGAAGGACTGCCTTTTATGTGCCAGGTGCTTTATCCTTGTTTTCCCTGATCCTTTCACATATTCTCTGAAGTAAGTATTACTATCCCCATTTTGCATGTAAGCTGACCAATACTCAGGGAAATTTAGAAACTTTCCCAAAATGACACAGCCAGGAAGTGGCACAGCTGGGACTCAAACCTAGATTAACCCCAACTCTACAGTAAAATAATGCTCAGTGTACATGAGAAGGAAGTAATATCAGACCTTGTAACGCTGGGCAAAATAGCAATACAGGAGACCTGAATTCAGATCTTGGTTGTACCACTTGCTAACTCTGTGAGCCTACAGCTAGTTGCTAAACACATGACCGTTAGGTACAAGATTACAGTTAATGAGAGAATTGTATAAGATTAGATGTTGTAAATGTGCCAAAACCAATACCTAGCACATAAGATTCTGATTTAAAGCTAGTCAAACCTAAATAACCAAGTATATTTCATTTTAAGGAAACCGAGAATAATATGCCAAAATCAGAATTTACCAAACATGCTTCCATTTCCATTTCCAAACAAAAGAATTCCTGTATTATACCATCAACAGAAAAATATTCCCGATGTGTGTAAAAGATCATTTGATTTACAAACATTAACTTTATACAGGTTCCCAGGCACATTGATTTCATCAAGCAAGGTACACCTGAGGTCTAGTGACTAAGACATTACATTCCTCCTGCATCTTCGATTCTTAAAAACTGCTTCCAAAACAAATTATTAGAAACTACCTACAATTTAATCACTCTATTCTTTACTCTTCAAGTCAATGGCGACTTACAAATGGTGAAGGGAACTAAAATGTACTGTGTGCCTATCATGTGCCAGTTTTCTTATGTGAATCTCACCAGGTAGGTTTACTTACAGGGTTCACAAACACTATACTCTTGATAATTTCAGACCCTGGAATGGAATTATCAAGATCTCATCAGTCATTCTAACTCCCAGAGGAGTGATTAATCTATCTGCAAGGCTTTCTCTCATCTGTAATTACAGTGGCCATATATCCTGGGCTTCTCAGTTCATTTTAAACATTCTCTCTTGTCGCCAGACCATGTCTCCCAATTTTGAGGTTGGTTGATAGACTCTTGGTATCTTTAATTTAGAGTGAATTTAAAGCATATATTTCTCAGAAAGAAAGAGGGAGGGAGGAAGGGAGGGAGGAAGGAAGAAAGTAATAGGAAGGAAGGAAAGAAGGAAGGTAGGAAGGGAGGGAGGGAGGGAGGGAGGGAGGAAAGGGGTAAGGGGGGGGCCAGAGAGAGAGAGACAGAGAGAGAGCAAGCCCTTCCTCCTCACCCACACATGGGCCACATGAAGCAGGGGCACATTTATCCAGGAAATTGATGTAGTAGCCACAAGGGATTCATTTACAAGGGGAAACTATAGCCCTCAAAGAGGCAAACAGTATGAATACATCAAGCTTAGCAGTAAAGCCTCATCCATTTGCAGGTCTATCTGCCCTACCCCCTCTCCTTTTATGTTATTCATGGTCATTTGTAGAACTAATCAACTGCCAGATGAGGTGTGAATTTGGTGGGCTTAAAAAAAAAATTTTTTTTTTTTTGCTGGTATTTGGCAAGACTGCCTCTCCTCTCCTGACAAATTAATTACCTGTGAATACCTCCCAGCAGCCCCAGACTTTCTTAGATGAAAGAACAGTGGGTATATGTGCTCACTCTTTCAAAATGTGAGCATAATAAATGAAGTGATCAAAACACAGGGCTCAGACCTGGAGCCAAGGACAGAGAGCCTGCTGTACGTTCTTCACAACACTGTTTTCATCAGCATCAACTTCCACAGATCACAGTTTCCAGGGCTGCCAGCAGAATGGATTTAATATTGCCACGTGGGAAGAAGAAAAAGCCACAGGGGTGAAGGAGCTATCAGAAAGAGAGAGGCCTTAAAAAGTTCTCCTAGAGAGCTTCTTAAAGGCAGGGGAGAAGGGACAGCATTGAAGCACTGGGGTCCTGCTGCCATGTGGAAACTCCCCTACCTTTGGAGGCAACAGGGCTGGAGGAAAATGGGTTGCTGGACCTGCACAGGGTGCTAGTGCTGGTTCTGGCTACGGCAACTTTCAGTGATCTATTAGCACTTAGGGCTACAATTTTCCTTACATTTGCAGGAGTTTGCTTCCAGGTTACCTTGCAATTTCTTCTTAATTGTTCCACCTGGATCTGAGCCTCCAGCTGGTTTTAAGTGTCTCAAGGGCAGGAACCAAGATTGCCATTTCATTTATAACTTTCTACAGTGCTGAGTAGCAAAATAACATTTGTATAATGCTCTACGGTTTGCAGATTGCTTCCTGGGCATTAGCTCATTTGTTCTTCACCATAACCCTGAGAAGTGGGAACTATTATTATCTTTATTTTGCATAATCAGAATTCGGTGCACATGTGAAGGCTGCTTTATCTCTGGATGATTAGTCCATTTCATTAAAAGGCTAACATGGTTTTCGTTATGTCCTGGGCACTTATAACACATAAAGAAGAAAGGAAAATATGCACAACTTTGTGAAAGGTGAACTCTATACAAGTTACTGGCTTGGAGAATTTTGACTATAGGTTTTAGTTTAGAAAACCTCCCAGGAATATATAAAGATGTGAGAAAAAATGGGACTACATGAGCCAAGCCTTCATCTTCAAGTCCGTCCATCTGAGAGGCTTGCAGAAAGCCCTGGGAGATGAGCTCCTTAACCGTTAGCACAAGTTTTCCAATCCTCGTAGACATCAAATAGTGCTGGGCAGGGTGTGAGAGCCCCAGCATCGGAAAGTGGTTGGCTTGCAGGTCGTAGGGTAGTAAGAATTTACTGACAACAGTATAGGTTTGAAAAGGTAAGTTTCATTGGATAGAAAGAATGCTGCAGAAGAATGCAGCAGGTGCCTCAGCAAGACAGAACTGAGTGCGCCATGGTGGATTTTTCCTTATGGGTATTCATGGACCTTAACGTGGGAGCTGAAGGGTAATTTGGACCGTATTAGCCATGTAGGTCATGATAAATGATTACATTTGAGAAATTTTGGTGCCTTGATGTTAGCAAGGGTTGCACAATGAGTTTTGCCATGCACGCATTCCAGAGATGTATAAAAAATCTAGTTACTTATAAATTTGGGAGAAAGAAGCCTGGTATCAGATGCTGTCTTTAGCTAAGAGGGAAGTCTAATTCCTTCTAAATTCCTCAGATAAGGAGTTTTTCCTCTGGATGGCCTGCTTGATGGTCGCCGGGTGATCTTTTCTCTCCTCAGTACTGTCTATAGCTGAATAAGTAACACATCTCATACATATATGCTCATGCTTTTGTGAATGATTAAATCTCATTTAAGCATGACTTTATTCACAGTAGACTTTTTTCTTCATTATATGTGTTCTCAAACAACAAGTGCCAGAAGAATAACTGCTTTCACGTGAGAACCATTACATTTGGAAGGGGTCCTCATATGGTAAGGTAGGTGGTCTTGCTGCCTGAGAGCCAGTGTGAGATCTGGAAACGAAGCCTGGGTTCCTGAGCTGGAGATGATCCTCAGGAAGTGTGTGAGTGGGTCAAATGTCACATTGAGCAGAGTAGGTACCACAGCATTGCTCTACTCCTAAGTGATGTTTAAATGCCTTACTCAAGTTTCTTCAGATCTCATCAATGCTGTGTTCTAAGGAGACTTAATCCAAGAAAAGGGGGTCACTTAAGGAGAGAAATAGTAAACAGGGAAGAGAGCTCATCACCATCACTATCATCTTCACTTGTTTCAACAGATCCAGTTTGGAACTCCAGAAAATACACTGGCAGAAATAAAAAATCTATTCTTGTCATCCTTATCAATAGCATCTTTATCATCACTTCTCCCATAATAAATCTATGCAGTCAATACAATTTCAATCAAAGTCTGATGAGTTTCTTCATGGAACATTCAAACTGATTCTAGAATGTATTTGGAAGAGCAAATGGGCAAGAATAGCTAAGAAAATTTTATGAAAGAACAGAATTGGGACCGGCCCTCCTAGGTGTCAAGATATATTAAAAGCTACAGCAATTATATGGCATCGGTGTAGGAGTAAATAGGTTATTTAAAAATAATCAAAAACTGAAACAGATCCATGTTGATGTAGGAACTTAATGTTCAATGAAGTTAACACTTTATGAGGAAAGAACAGATTAGTAAGTAAGTGATACTGGGAATAATAGACTTCCTTTTGAAACAAAAAAGAAAATTTGTTAATATAAAGATTCCATATAGATTAAACACAAAGTGTTAAAAGAAAATGTTGGAGAATGTATCTATGACTTTGGGGGTAGGAAAAGTTCTCCTTAAACGATGCAAAAACACAAAAAAAAATCTTTAAAAGAATAATAAATTTAGCTACCTCACAATTTAAAATTTCTGTTTGTCAAAAGATACCACAAGCAGAGTTAAAACACAAGCAAAAATAGAAAATATTTGCATCATATAGAACAAATAATTAGTATCCCATATCAATAAGAAAACATCAAACTGGCAGAAAAATAGGCAACATATATTTCCAGGCAATTCACAATAAAGGAAATATAAACAGCAAATAAACATGTAAACGTATACTCAACCTCACTGATCATTAGCATGTTAAAACCACAAATGATATATCTTTTCTTTTTTCACACACATGATTATTAGACATTTAAAAAGGGCTGACAAATTTGACAAGAGTATAAAGAAAATGTTACTGTCAACTGCTGTTGGTTGAAATGCAAATTGGCATTGCCACTTTGGTGGTCGTAGTGCAGAACAAGTTGAAGCTAAAAATACGTACCCCTTTTGATCCTGTGCATCTACTTCTTGATGGCTTCCCTCGAGAAATTTTTGCACAAGTGAGCTGTAAAGATGTTTGTTGCAGCATTGTTTGTGCAAGTAAAAAAGTAGGATTAACCAAAATGTCCATTGATAGAGAAATGGTTTTTAAAAATATAATGCATACACCCTAGGGGACTCTGCAGTAGTTAAAGATAGTAAGTTATCTACACCTATTAACTTGGGTTGATCTCAAAAACATAACAATTGAAGAAAAAAAGCTGTAGAATACTATATATTACCTCTAGGGCGAAAAAAATACATGTCTATGCCCAGCAAAAGATCAGGAAAGATATGCCAAAAAATGTCAAGAGTGATTACCTCTCAATAGAGGGGTAGGAAACTAAGAATGAAATTGAGGAGAATAAATGGCTGAGGGACACTTTGGCCTCATCTATCTGTAATATTTCCATTTTTAACAGGGATACTGTATTTTTGTTTAATTAAAATTTAATTTTAGCCAGGCATGGTGGCTGAGGTCTATAATCCCAGCACTTTGGGAGGCCAAGGCGGGTGGATCACCTGAGGTTGTGAGTTCAAGACCAGCCTGACCAACATGGAAAAACCCTATCTGTACTAAAAATACAAAAAATTAGCTAGGTGTGGTGGCACATGCCTGTAATCCCAGCTACTCAGGAGGCTGAGGAAGGAGAATCTCTTGAACCCGGGAGGCAGAGGTTGTAGTGAGCCGAGATCGTGCCATTGCACTCCAGCCTGGGCAACAAGAGCAAAACTCAGTCTCAAAAAAAAAAGAAAAAAAGTTAATTTTAAACCAAAACTGTTACTTGCTGTTCATTGAAAATGCATGTATCAGACACTATGCAAAGTGCTTTATAGGCATTTATTTCATCTGAAACTGAAAACAAGTCTCTATGTGTTTTTACTATTCCCATTTTATAGATAAGAAAGCTGAGCCCAAGAGATGATAAGTTATGAGTCTGCCCGGTTTCACTGTCTACAGTTTGCTGCCTTGCTTAGAGATGGCCTGTCTCCTTGACCATGTATGAATCTTTCTCTAGTGCAGATATCAGGAATCTGAATTTCCGGGGCATAACGTGTGCACAGATGCAGCTTCAACAGATTCATCATATCATCCCCTTCAGAGCTGCTGTGACAGTTTACACCAGATTAACTCTCAGTTTCCAGAAAAAGAGGAAACTCTGGCCTAGAAACTGGAAGCGCCAGAATCAGTCCCAGTTTCCCAGTTCACAGTCTCACCCACTTCCCTCCACATACTCTCCATAACGAGACTACATTCCAGTCCTACACTAAGGTTTCACAAATGCTGGAGTTGATGGGGCAATGGTTAACATTCATTAAGTGAGAGCCAAAGGCCAAGCAGTGCTAATCTTCCATTGAATGGGCCCTGCAGCTACTGGCAGTGGGTTTTAATTGGGTTTTCTATTAAAGCAATTTTCTCCTCAGTGATTTATCATAAAGAAATGACACAATTAAGTCTCATTTGGAAACACTAATGAATTATTTAGCATGGACCAGGCAAAAAGAAAACATGACCTCCATTAGCCTCATCTGAGGTGAAGGAAGAAAATCCTGAAGAAACGGACTAATAAGAATGTAGGAAATGGGAGCATGAAGAGTTACATATCAAAACAGCTTTCTACATCATCTCCCTCATTCTATTCAACCTCCCATCCCAATTTATTAAATAACAATTCACAAGACAAATCTTTGTAAAATTGTATCTTGATCTATTTTGTGCCTGTTTTTCACTAACCCAGCTAATAAGGATGGTCCCTTAGTCTGTTATTCAATCCTCATCTTCTCTGGTTCCTCCCTTTCTGGCTTTTATCTTTATTCTCCCTCAGAAACTGGATGTGGCTAAATCCCTAAGCTCACAAATATCTTCTTAAAGATCCTCTCCTCACTCATCCTGAGCACCCCATTATCTCTGCACAGATGGAGACTTAGAAGGAAAACTAGGCTTGGTTTGTCCTCACAACAACAACAGCCAAGATAATGTCCAGATCTAAAATTGCAGCACATTCTTGATAGATTTTAGCTAAGCTCAGCAGTAGCTTCCATCATAAACAAATTTTACTTCTGCCTGTGTGATGAAGATAAAAATGTCACAATTCACAGCAGCCATTTCTGACTCTAATAGTATGAAGGGATGTTTCTCCATACACTCAGCTTTCTGAAGTCTGCTGCTAAACTGGCTCTCCAAATAATGTGTGTGTGTGCATGCACACATGTGTATCTGCACAAACACACACACACATCAACTAATTTGCAGCATTTGCCAATTTCTGTGGTGTAAATACTCCCACTACGACTAACCTCAAACTCCAGTGGGCCGAAGATTCCTGAATATCTAACAACCAATTCTTCAGAGCCAGCACCAGCAGATTCCAGTCTTATAGAAGACTCCAGACTCTTATTGAAGACCCTGATTGGATTCTTTGCATATGGACTGCATATGGAAAGTAAGCCCCAAAGGCAGAAAAACAAACAGCAACAGAACTGTCTACGTGTTAACTGAAATTGGCTGTGAGCTCGAGGAACTAAAGCAGCCAATAGAAGAGTTTGGGGAGGGGAGAACAGCAATGAGAAATTCCTGTAACAGTCTCCTCTAAGGACTTTTAAAATCGGGGTATTTTAATTTGATTTAAATGATTTGCAATGTTGTAATATAAATTCCCCCTGTAAATTGGAGCCTTCAGGGAAAGTCAGGCCCCTCTCAACCCTGTGCAGATAAGTATTCTTGAGAGTAAGAACATATCAGGTGGTTTCTAGCATGGAATAATGTAATAAGGAAAAGAGCAACACACACCCAGTGCTGAGGCTGAGATAATCCCACTACACTGAACTTACTCAGTAGAAGCAGAGAAACAGAGCTAATGAAGGAAAACAGCACATCTCACCACCACATTTACCTAAAAGAGTTGCACAGAGACTTTTAGGTAAATGTCCCTCACTGCCAGAGGAATAAAGGTTCAAGTGAATTCCATTTGACTCTCTCAAGCCAGGGTGATCTCAGCAGAATCTGCATTACAGAGTCAAAGTATATTACTTTCTTCCATGTTCTATCTCTATGGTGACATGTCTTACACACCAAAAATAACGAGGCAGACTGGAAGAGTCAAAACTCCCATTGTCAGCCAGACATAAACCTAGCAGAGAATAAATTTGGATGTGAGCAAAGCATTTAGTTAACAGGTCAGCGGGCATAGTCACGCTAGATCTGGAATCTAGGAGGCAGGCACTAGTGAGCGAGGAATAGGGGATAAACACTTTCCAAATGGCCACGTTAAGGTGCTTTGTCCAGAAAGTCATTACAGTCAAGTTGGACAAAAGTTCAGTGAGCCAAAGACAGATAAGCTGCACTTCCATAACCAGGGGTTCAGCAGAAGCAGGAGAAAGAAAGAGAGAGGCAGTAAATCCAACAGATAATCCAACAGCCAGAAGGGCAGCTTTCTCCAGATGGCACTTGGGACCTTGATTGCTGATGATAAAGACAGCAGTGGAATGCTCTCTGCCCTGGTGTGGAGCCCCCACCCATGTGGGTGAGCAAATGTCAGCCTGTGGCTGCCAGCTGCTAGGAAGAGGAGACCCACTGCCCATGGCTGCAGCTGACAGCCTCCTCAGGTCTCTCATCTCTAGTCAGGTAGGTTTCAACACTGTAGGCTACCAACTTTCTTGATTAAACTATAGGTGGATAACAAGTAGTCATCTTTTGTCATTTTTTTCCATTCTGTGGGACACCAGCTCTCCAGGAGAAGCCCCTGCCAGTTGAATGGGTTGAATTCATCCCCATGTAATGAGTTCTAACTGTGTGACTACCTTTCAGCTTTGGAAACCATAGAGGAAAACACAGTACAACAACTCTGATTGAAGGCACAGTAATATTTTAATAGACAATTTGATGATCAGCAAAATAAAAATTAGGCAGCATTAGCAGACACAAATGTCCAAGGAGCCCAGTAACAGCAGCCATATTATAGACCAGGAATATCAAAGAATACCACCTATGACTCTATAGAGTCTTATTTGCCCCCTTTGCACAGAGAAGAATGAACTCATGGGCAAAAGACTTACGAGAGAACTGATGATCTTTAAACACTTGCACATTTTTTCATAGGAATAAATCCTTTTGGTTTTAAGCATCACGCTGCTCAGAAAAGAAGGAGCTTGGCAATTAGCATGCTGCCTGCACACTAAGAAAATCTCACACAGTCAGATACACCCTGGAATTCATCCTAGTGATTTTATTAAGTCTCACCCAGCTCTAAATTACTGATTCAGAGCTCAGAAACGGCACCACAGGAGGCTGAAAGAAGTCATTTAGATGCCCAACGTTTCTGCATCCTTCTGAGTCGTCTGGCCAACATGCCATTGCCGAGGAAGTTAGGCAAGAATCTAAAGTACCTCACCATCTCTCAAAGCCACCACTTTTCTCCATCCGGCTGGTGGTCCCTAGCTCTAGGCCCCCATTTCTTTCAGGGGGTCTTTCTAAATCCAGTCTCACCCCTTCCCAACTTCTACATAGCATCCCAGCGTGATCTTTCTAAAGAACAGGTCTGATTATGTTGTTGCTCTGTTTAAAACCACACAATAGTTACCCATTGCTCTTAAAATGAAGGATAAACTCGGTAATATAATTTAGAAGGCCCAGCATCGTTTGCCCCTCCCTTCCTTGTTGGCTTCCTCCCTCCCCACCATCCTCACCACAACTCCTTATGCCCTCCTGCTCCAGAAATACTGAACTCCAGAGTCTGGAGCGATGAACTCTCTCCCATTCCTGGACCTTCACATCTGCTGGTCCCTCTGGCTAGAACAGTGATCCCCTTGTGCCTTTGACTAATTAAGTCTGATTCACTCCTCCAGGTTGGATGAGGTTTATTCTGGAAAGTTTGTCTTGACTCCAAGCCCTGAGTGCAGGACTTACAGCTCTGGCCAACATCTGCCACCACCCTTATCACACCCTCATCTGTCACCACTACTGGTTCATCTAGCAGCCCCGCCACACTGCTCTGTGAGTTCTGTGAGGTCAGGCACCGTGCTTGTCTGGTTCACAGATCTATCTCCAGCCCCTAGCATAAAGCCTGCTAGATGGAAAAAGCATTAAGGGTTCATGCAAGTGTTATTGTCTGTATTTACCATAGTTGGGATAAAACACCATGAAGCATGTTCTACTTTCTCAATGACTCTTGCTTTGTTTTATACGTTTAGCAATATTGAGTGCATACTTTCTGACAATTCAATGAAGAAAAATATTAACAATCCATAGATAAATGGCTGAAAGATATGAAACAGTAATTTACGAAAGAAATTAAGAAGCCAAAAAACACACTGTCTTACCAACAATTAAAAAAAATACAAATTAAATAATAAAATATGAACTTTGTCTATAAGTTTGTCAAATGCTTTTAAAGATTATTAATAGCTGTGTTGGCAAGAATGTATGGTACTCACACAGTAAAGTAGTGTAAACTGTAACAATTTTTTAGAAGACAGTTTGACAGCATCTATCAAAATATAAAACATAAATGCCCTTTGTATTAGTCAGGGTTCCCTAGAGGGACAGAACTAATAGGATAGATGTATATAAATGAAAGGGAGTTTATTAAGGAGAATTGACTCACAGGATCACAAGGTGAAGAATCCCATGATAGGCCATCTACAAGCTGAGGAGCAAGGAAGCCAGTGGTGGACCAGTCCGAGTCCCAAAACCTCAAAAGTAGGGAAGCCAACAGTGCAGCCTTCAATCTGTGACCAAAGGCCAGAGAGCCCCTGGCAAACCACTGATGTAAGTCCAACAGTCCAAAAGCTGAAGAACTTGGAGTCTGATGTTCGAGGGCAGGAAGCATCCAGCACAGGAGAAAAATGAAGGCCGGAAGACTCAGCAGGTCTAGCCTTTCCACGTTTTTCTGCCTGCTTTATTCTAGCCATGCTGGCAGCTGATTAGATGGTGCCCACCTAGACTGGGGGTGGGTCGGCCTCTTCCAGTCCACTGACTTAAATGTTAATCTCCTTTGGCAACACCCTCACAGACACACCCAGGAACAACACTTTGCATCCTTGAATCCAATCAAATTGACACTCAATACTAACCATGATACCCTTCAACTTACAACTCCACTTTCAAGAGTCTCATCCTCTACCAACTGAACTAGCCAGGCACCTACAACCCCACTTTTATACCAAGGACAAACTAACACAAATTGACATGGATACATATGCAAGAATTTCCATTAAAGCATTGTTTACAGTAGTGAACAATTAGAAGCCATATAAATGCCCATGAATAGGAGACTGATTAAATATATGATGCTAAATCATATAATAAAATACAATGCAATTGTTAACAAGAACAATGTGGTCTTAAAGCGGCAAAGAAAGGGCTATATGTGGAAAGTTGTCCATGATTAGTAACTAAATGAAAAAAAAACAAGACAGAAAGAATATATATTAAATATTGCCATTTTTAGTTTAGAGCAAAGCAAGCAGGAGCAAATCTGTGCCCTGAGTAACAGTCCCTGATTCCCTAGACTTTCAGAGAGTAAATAGATGATGCATTGGAGCACAGTAAGAACTCCAATGCTGTTTGAATGTTAATTTCAGAAGGGCTAATGTAAACACCCAGCAAGGAGGACAGATTCTTAGCAGGAATCCTGGGTATTGAGGCAAGGCGCTATGCCAGTAACCCATTAAGATATAAATGACAGCAACAGTTATTTGCTTAGCACTTCAGAGTTTATAAAGTACTTTCATAGATATTCTCTCATTTAATTTAATACTCTCAACAATGTCTTGAGATTAGTATCCTTATATTGTGATCAGGAAATCTTCAGATAATTTAAAGGAATAAACTCTGCCACCTCTGCAAAGGCAGAGACCAAGTCTGATCAATTTCCCCATAATATTCCAGGCTCCAGTGCATTATCAAAGAAAAAAAAAAGTGCTCAAAATGTATTTGGTGAGTGAGTGAATGTAAGCAAATTTGCCCCAGCTCTTCCATTTCTAGATGGGGCCTGATTCCACTCAACACGACCACTGCCAGGAGATAGGCAGGCAGCAGGTGACCATATGAAACAAGGTGTCAAGAATAAAAACCACTATGTGCAGTGGCCTCAACCCCATCTCTTAGAGTAGTGAAAGCCAGACTCTTCAGGGCAGAAACAATGGCAGCTCTAACAGGTGCCTCTGCAGTGCAGACTAACCAGGGGCGACAGATGCCAGCAGTGCAGTCCGGGAGAGTACCTGGGGCACTGGGATTTCTGTGAGTTCCAGCTCCCCCACACTCCTGAGATGTCTCTTGCACCAGCATGTGGTGGAATGGTGCACAGACCTGACCTAATGTCTTTGTTCTGCCCCTTACTACTTTCATGGACTAGGGCAAATCCTATAACTTCTCTGAGCCTCTAGTTCCTTTCCTATAAAGTAGGGATGATCATAGTTGCTACCTAGCAGGGATATAAAGGATTAAATAAGATAATGTAGGTAAAGGACTTAGCAGAGCATCTGATACCTGGTGAGCACTCAATAATTTGCTATTCATTTCTAATTATGACATGGTAGGCTAATCATAAAAAGTATGGCTACAGAAAATCTTCAGAGAACATATTAAGCAAAGATGTATGTTTGTAAATGCATGCATATTCATATATGCATATCTGCATGTGTGTTTAAGAAGAGCAAGGAGTCTGGGTCCTGAGCAGGTGTGATTTAATATTTTGATAACAGAAAAGAGGTTGTTTTGAGAAGCTCTCTGGAGAGTGGAATTCTCCAACTGTGTTACTGTCCATTTGGAAAATCATTAAGACAATTAATCCTCAGGCCCAAACCAAAGGCTGAAGTCACCCTAGATATTTCTCCCCTGTCTGGGCAGCCTTTGTAACATCACTTCACACACCTGGGCACAATTGAGATCCTGTAAGAGGAAGGCATTCTAATTGGAAGCATGCTGTTTCAACATTCAGCCCCCCAAGTAGTGGTGTTTTGCTGCTTGATTATTGTTAAAACTGAAAGAGATGCCATAACTTGCTGTGCATTTGTGTCCCAATCACATTTATGTATCAAGAGTCTCTATTCCAACATGGTACCAAGGTGTTATTCCTGCAAATTGGAGATGCCTCCTTTAGCAATTTTGCTCAGAGTCTATAAACATTGAAGAAATAAAAAGAAATCGCTTTTCTATTAGCACTGATCTCCTACCTGAAATTGTTCACATCCCTGTTGTTAATAGAGCAGCACCAATCACTAGAACTCATCACTAGAACTCAGCTATGCTTTTCCCACTGACAATGTTGCCAAAATCCTCTGAACAGGCTACGCAGAGGGTCAGAGCCTGGGCTGGGCCATCTTTCTCACTAGAACCACCTGACACAGATCTTAAGAAATGTGATTGAGGGGCCCAGGAGACAAAGAGGAAGGCCCAACTCCACACCAGCCCCCACCCAAAAGAATAGGAAAATCGAGTATTTCCCCAAGCAAAATTGCTTGTGTACTTTGTGTCTTTCCAGAAGAGAGAAAAGAGCAGTGTGGTATACTCCGCACCCATGTGCCAAAATCCTGGTGAGCTGGCATAGGGGTGGCCTGCACTGCTCAGTGGAGGCTTATTCTCCCTTTCCAGGGATAGCACACCTTGGATGTGGGGTCAGGTGCTCATTGGCCTATTTTAAGGGCACCAGAGACCCAGAGTCAGAATGCACAGCAGGAATACAGAAAGCCTGATGGGTAGGATGCGAGAAGGGAGGGAAAATTGGCTTTGAGTATTACCTAGGTAAAAGGAAACGTGGGTAGTCCCTTCCAGTGGTCCCTAAATGAACTGTCTACTAAACAGGAGTGTCCCAGCAATATTTCTGAAGGCTCAACATGAACGTTTCTGTTCAGTTCCACCAATATATGTAGATCGTGGTCCTACATACTGAGTATATGAACATGACTATGAAAATGAATACAGCACAGTTCTGGCCCTTGAGGAGCTCACAAGCTAACATCAGAAGTAGAAAAATTAACACCTCCTCTTAATATGCTGTAGTAAATTCAAGATCAGTCAAGGCTCAAGTGTCACGAAAGCTCAGAAGGGCTCTTTAACCCATCCTGCGGTCCAGGGGGGGCATAGAGAAAGATAACCCTGCAGTTTCTTGTCCATCATTCCCAAAAGTTTAAACTCTGTGAAGGTCCACCTGCATACCTGCTGCTCACCTGATTCATGCTGGGTTCCAGAAGCTGTGTAAAAAGCAGCTGCCAATCTGGACTCTTAGGAACATGGAATGGGAGAGAAGGGGACACACAAGAGACTCTCCAGCAGCCCAGGGTGGCCAGTACCTACAAGAGGGATCCTGTTCTCAAGCCTGGGTTCTCTGAGGCTGGAGATGGAATGGACAGAGGAGAAGTTTACTCTCCTTATTACTTGGATGCCTTTAACTCTATTTTCTGTCCCAAAGACTGTAAAACTCCTATATAGATGTCAGAAGCCCAGAGCTTGAGTGGTTTGCAAAATGAACTTTCACTCACCTCTACGGAGAGGATATCAGCTTCCAGCCTAGTTCTTAAGCTACATCCCTTACTGGAAGTAAGAGAATTGAATCAATTAATGTGCACACCAACAGTATAAAACAAAAAATGTGTACATTTCTACAAACCATCATCAGAACAACCTAATCATTTAGTTTTTTCATTTTGATGGATATTTTAATTATGCTGCATCCATAAAATGGAATCATATATAGCCATCAAAAATCAGATTTTCAAAAAATGATGACAAACTATGATGTTTGCTTTTATGACTTGAACGGTGTCCCCGAAAAAAGATATGTTGACATCCTAACCCCCAAAATGTATGAATGTGACCTTCTTTGGAAATAGGGTCATGGCCAATGTGATTGAGTGAAACTGACATAAATTAGGGTGTGCCCTGGTCCAATATGATGAACATCCTTATAAGAAGAGAAAAACCTTGTGAAAACAGAGACACACACAGGGAGGTGCCATGTGACAACAGAGGCAGAGACTGGGGGAAGGCAGTTGCAAGCCTACTGTTAAGGGGGAAAAAAGGAGTACATAAAACTCTTTTTTGCTGACAAGGGAATTAATGTTTTCACTGTATGTTTACTGGCCCTCTCAATTTCTTTTGTGTGAATTATTTGTTCACCTACTTGCAGGAAAGATAATTCTTGAGACTGAGGATTACTCCACACTCCAGCCCAGGGATCTGGATGCTCCAAGATGACTCTTGGCCACCCTGAGTCTCCTTTGCTCTTCTGAGAATAGGAGCCCAGTGCTCTGAGACTTAAATTTTGAGCCCCTTTATTGTCCCTTACTTCCTTTTCAAAGTTTTGCCTAGCCTCTCACCTGAGCTTTCTTTTTCACTTAGAAGAGATATAATGCAAAATTATTTTTGCTGAAATTATTTCCAATGTTTAGGACACATTTCCTGTTCCAAGAGTGTAGAATTAGTAGAAGTACAATAGCTTAGCAACATCAAACATTGCATACATTTCCTGATTTGGCTGTTACTGTGATCAAGTTCTTGGCAGAGCATCTTCAGAACTGAAAATGGGCCCAGCTCACCCGAGCCCTCCACCCTCAAAACCCCAACCCTGTGAAGTGAGAATACACAGGTATGAGAATCCCAACCACACTGGCTTCCCATTCTCTCCTCCTGCAGCCCTCATCTCCATCTACAGCAAGCCACAGTCTCTTCCTTCCTTCACAGGGAGCTGGTCACAGGGCTGTTGATGAGAGAGTAGGGTAGAACACTCAGACGTCAGTTGCTTACTGAGTAACGTCAAACTATAGACCTTTCTGATATGTAGGGATTCTTAAATAAAATCTTCACTCACTTTAATTTTTCACAAGTATCCTATTATCTGCTTTAATTTCAAACTAATTATTCTCACATTGGGAATACTCAAATTAGTTATCAAGCATATACCCTGATTCTATTTTAGCCCTTCTCACTTTGAGCTGTTTATGTACTTGCATGAATTTCCACACTAGATAATGAGCTCTTAAATTCAAGGTCATGACTTACTTATTTTTGTATTATCACAGCTTGTATATTACATAGCATATGCTCAATATAGTCAATGTTTTTTTTAAAAAAATAGATAATTGGAAGTTTAATCTGAACCTTCCTGACCCAAGAGTGGTACAGGATAGAGGAACGTGTAGAGAAGGATATGGGAATTACCAGCATACCCTGTAGGGTTTGGTAGTTGGGGCAGTTTAGGGACTATCTGCCAAATGAGATGACCTTTGAATTGGGACTTGGAAGATGACTATAATTTCACCAAACAGGCAAGAAGAAATAACATAGAAACCAACCTCAGATTGTGTGGCTGGAACATATAGAAGGGAGAGGACACAATGGAAACGTGCAAAAAGTTGTAAAAAGTTTTTCCAGATTGTCCCTTTACCAATAATGATCACAATCATTTTATTGTGAGTTGACCTTTACTTTATATTCAATAAGTCTTATTTCTGTCATTCAGCAAACATATATTGAGGATCTACATAATTTAAGCCACCTTGTTAGAATTCAGTGTCTGCCTCAGTCACATCCCTACAATGGGATGTGCTTTGGAAATGTTACTTAGATGTTTTATGTCATTTGTCTTAGTTCTAATCTCATAGGACAAACTAGAAATTGCACCTTTAATTCCTTAATATCTTCCCACAAAATCTGCATAAATGTTTTCTAGCTACCGTTGTTTAATAAATGCTTTTGGAATTAAACTGATCTAAAGTGCAAGGATAGTGGAAGAAAGAAAGCTAAAAGGGAAAAAGGGGTAAAAGAAGGAAACCTAGAGGGGAAAACGTCAGTGCAAGAAAAGAAATAATTAGAATTAAGAAGAAAGGGGCCGGGCGCGGTGGCTCACGCCTGTAATCCCAGGATTTTGGGAGGCCGAGGCAGGCGGATCACCTGAAGTCGGAGCTCGAGACCAGCCTGGCCAACGTGGTGAAACCCTGTCTCTACTAAAA
This sequence comes from Homo sapiens, assembly GCF_000001405.40. Lineage (NCBI taxonomy): Eukaryota > Metazoa > Chordata > Mammalia > Primates > Hominidae > Homo > Homo sapiens. The sequence goes on from NC_000006.12 coordinate 24,115,994, forward strand.
ATACAAAAATTAGCTGGGCATGGTGGCAGGTGACTGTAATCCCAGCTGCTTGGGGGAGGCTGAGGCATGAGAATTGCTTGAACCCAGAAGGCGGAGGTTACAGTGAGCCGAGATTGCACCACGGCACTCCAGCCTGAGTGACAGAGCTAAATTCTGTCTCAAAAAAAAAAAAAAAAGAAAGGGGAATTGATTTGATGATGTTAAAGAACAGAATCTTAGGGCTAGAAGAAATGAATCTTAAGTTTAGATGGATCTCTAGAGGCCACCACTGAGGGACACCCGAATTAGGAAGAAGGATGGGTAGGATTTTAATATTTCCTCCAATGCTAAGATTCCAGGTTACATACAGCAATACTACTTTGACTCATATTTGATGGTAGAACTCTTTAAATACTCCCAGAGATGTGGCCCTTATGCCCATGTTCTGAGCCATCTGGCAAAAGGTGTGATAGTAGCTATAGCAGCTGAACTAACTCTACAGTATTGGGCATATGGATACTTGATGAACTTCTGGCGAATTAGATTGATAAATTTCAAAGCATAAAAAATCATGACACTCTTTTCTCTTATTTCTACAATGTAGTGTCTTGGATATATGAAACCAGAGGACCCTGCCTAGTTAGCATAATCTTTGTTTGTTTGTTTGTTTGTTTGTTTGTTTGTTTGTTTTGAGACAAAGTCTCGCTCTGTCACCCAGGCTGGAGTGCAATGGTGCAATCTTGGCTCACTGCAACCTCCGCTTCCCAGGTTCAAGTGATTCTTCTGCCTGAGCCTCCCGAGTAGCTGAGACTATAGGCGTGTGCCACCACACCTGGCTAACTTATTTTTATTTTTATTTTTAGTAGAGTTGGGGGTTTCACCATATTGGCCAGGCTGGTCTCAAACTCCTGACCTCGTGATCCACCCACCTTGGCCTCCCAAAGTGCTGGGATTACAGGCATGAGCCACCGCACCCAGCCCTAGCTAGCATTATCTAGCCACGTTCATTATACCTGATGAGCCAAATTAACAGCACTGCTCCTAACTTGTGTCAATCAAACTGCTCTTCAAATTTCTTCTGGTAGAAGAAACATTCATTCAAAGTTCCACTTCTCCACTATGGTCTTGGTGGTCATATGGGCATCATAACAGTGACACATTCCTCTCCTGTACTGTTTTTATTATATCAAGCTTGAGTGGACCTTGGGCAAAAGATGACTAATGACACCCCCTTTCCTCTCAATGTGGCACAAATGAATCAGACACCACACCAGGAAGCAGTGAAAATAGAATTAGACTATGAATCAGGAGACGTGGGTCTTAGTTAAGTTTTGTCTGTAACTGGTGATGGAATCTTGCAAAGGTCTCTCTAGGCACCGATGATAACCTCCTCTTCAAAATATGTCCCCATTAAACTTTAACATTCTCTGACTCTTGACTTTTCCCCCAGAATCTACTTGAATTGCTATTTACTATGAAATAGGTTTTATATTTTCATTATCTAAATATTTTGAGGAACAAGCATTTCGATGCTTGGTTTAAAAGAAAGAAAGAAAGTCACCCAGCTTATGCATAAGATTTGTCTCCACGGCAGCAGTTTAGAATAGCAGAAGCCTTTGGCATTGATTCCTCTAGAAATTAGAGGAGTTACTTTATACAAGGTCTACCATTTAGTTAGCTGGACTTTTTTAGGGCTTCTATATGCAATTGACAAAATTGGAGCCAAAAGAAGCTGAAAAAAAGACAAGCTGAGAAAAGCACATTAAGTTGTTTTAAGTTGTAAAAATATTTCTCCTCCAAGAAATCAAAGAATTCATTCATTAAACTATCAGGTTTTACTACAAGATAGAACTCAAAATGAAAGAAATCCTTAGTCATTTGCCCCTCAAGATGTAGGGACATGATCAAACTTTTAGAGCTACCCATTAATCTTGTAAAGTAGAATAATTTGGCTAATATTTGTACTGGTGGTATTTATATTTGCCACAAATAAATAAAGAGAGAGTGAGAAGTTGGCTATCTTTAACCCAGAAGTTCTTCTCTGGTGCCGTCACCTCTGTTGTCATTCTTCTCAATTTTTCTCAATGCTCTTAGGCACTTTATTAACCAACAAATATAAAGAATTATTGGGGTGGGCACAGTGGCTCACGCCTGTAATCCCAGCACTTTGGGAGGCTGAGGCGGGTGGATCATCTGAGGTCAGGAGTTCAAGACCAGCCTGGCCACCATGGCAAAACCCCGTCTCTACTAAAAATACAAAAAAAAAATTAGCCGGGTGTGGTGGCGGGCACCTGTAGTCCCAGCTACTCGGGAGACTGAGGTAGGAGAATGGCGTGAACCCAGGAGGTGGAGCTTGTAGTAAGCCGAGATCATGCCACTGCACTCCAGACTGGGCGACAGAGCGAGGCTCTGTCAAAATTAAAAAAATTAAAAAAAAAGAACTATCAATCCCCTCATGAAGAATTCAACAGGGCTAAAAGCTACCCGCTTGAGGGAGGATACTCTGGAGTATTTCAGAAATTAAACAGAAGCTGGGGAAGGGTTTTTCTTGAGCAATGGGCTTCCCTAGAGCTCCTGAAATCACAGTATTCCAACAAGTAAGCCAGTTTTGTCTCCTGCCACACAAAATTCCATCCAATCGGTGTGATACCAACCAGACATTATGTGATGACTCACCAGGAACTTTTGACATGAACAAATTCTCTATAACTAAGTTCAGGCCCTGCCAACCTTTCTTATAGTTCAAAATTGAACACCTAAGTCTGCAATAGTTTTAGGAGCTACATAAGTCTGTAAGAGTGAGCCTGAGAACTATATGCCTTGCCCAGGTTATCCTTCATGATAAATCAAAAATTACCTAAGGAGCAAAAGATTAGAACAAAGGGAATCAACGCTTACCCACCATTCTACCAAGCAATGGTGTTGAATAAAATCACAAGAGCACCTCTTCTAAGAGCGGAACTGGAGATTAACACATTCTAAATCTTTGATTCTGTCTACATTTCTGCTACTCACCCCTGATAAAATCCCAGAGCTGGGACTTCAGTAATGGTGGAAGTGAGGTAGGCCAGTGTTCAAAGGCTAATCCAGATTCAAGAATGAGCAAAGGATGCAGAATCAGTTCAGCTGTTGCAACTTCATTAACCTTGAATCAGTAAATGGATCATGCAGCAGATTTGCATGAGATCAAACACTCATAGTGGTAATGTATATGTTGATTTTCATCCTTATTGATCCAGAGGCCTACCCAAAGTCTGATGGCCTCAGCAGCCAGTGTGAAGCAAGGAATTCACCAAGGCAGAGGACCTGAAAACTGCAGGCATGCTGCCATGTATACCACGGTGAGCTTGGCAAGGGTAGAGAGGCCAGGTCAGTATTCAAGCCCTTATCATCATAAGATGAAATCCTTGCCTCACCACAGTGACATTCTTCTACTTTTTACCTATTCCTCCATCATTGAGACTTCAGTGCAACAGACCTGGCTACAACCTAGCCCAGAAGGTAAATGAATGGGTTTTAGCTTTTTGAGAAACAACCAAAAATTGAGAGATATTCTGGCCCTGCTTTTATTGAATAATATCCACATACTTCTATGCCTAATCAACATATGTGTATATTTTTTGTCTTAAACAATAATATTATTATTGATACTTAAGACCTGTTATGATGACTTCTCGGTTGGGACCACAAAGCACACCTAAAGCCAAGGCCTGTGTTTAAAACCCACAATCTTAGTGTTCAATAAGATCACACACACACATACACACACACAAACACACACTCCAGTCCATTCTCACATGATTCTAACTGGTTATAAAAGATTCACCCTCCAGACATTAGCCATGATCCAAGATGATAATCTTGACACACCGTGTCTCCATTTTCATGAGGAACATAAAGCTTTAGAAGGCAGTTGTCATTGTAATCATCAAGCATTTACGAGCATGTGCCAGGAACAAAAACTAGAGACACTTGAGAAGCTTCAAACCTGATTGACGTACATAGGACACACACAGAAAGGAAAAAACAAAGCCCGGAGGTAAAGATGCACAGGATTCTAGAGCTATGGGGGTCCACAGTGGGCATTCCTTTGGTCCTTTCAGACTTTCCTTTCTACAGTCATGAGTTTTAAAATATCACTTTTATTTCAAAATCCAGATTATTTATTCAAAATCCTTTTCTCAAGGCTTTCCCAGATCAATGTCATTTCCACCAAATCAGAGTAATTTCTCAGCTCTTTCAACCCCATCAGCAGTTTACCTGTTTCTTTCTCAGGATACTTTCTACCTCATATCAATCATTTATGTATGTCTTATTTCCAAGATTTGATTAGAAACCTCTGGTGTACAGAATCTATGTATCTGTGAATCTCAACATTACCTAGCACAGAGTCTTGACCATCACAGGTAATCAATAGTTGAGGGTTTGATTTCTTATTATAACCTACTCATTTGACACTTTGAAGGAACTAAGAACTGGAGACACCATTGAGAATCTTGTCAGTGAGTCAAACCAATAGGGCTGACGTTCAACCAGGATGCTACAGTATGACCTTCCAGGGTGCCAAACTACACATCCATGTCAGTTGGTAAGTAGCTGCTGATTTCAAATGTTGCCGTGCTGTCCCAGCTGTGCCAGGCCTTCCCTTGGAACCCCCTAGGTCCCCATCTAGCAACTATGAAAGTGATGACCAGCACAGCAGGGGACTTATAAGACCCTGCATCAGTTCTGCAGCCAACATCAATTTTGATTGTTCTATGCTCCTGCTGAACCAGGTATCCAGTATTTTGAATATCAACCCCCATCCCCACCTTCACCCCTGCTGCATACAATAGTTAATTACAAGGTTCTGGGAGAAAATAATTGTCTCATTACTCTTCCCAATATAGTGATGCTAATTTGTCATGTGATAAAGTGAATTCTATAAAAAAGAGTTCATCATAATGAGTTATCAGTGACCAAACTTCTTAAGAGAAATGGAACTAGAACTCAGCATTAAAGAGTAAGCAGGAGTTGAATACACAGAATTATGGGAGGGGATTCCAAGTGGGAAAATGTAGTCACATAAATGCTTGGAAGCAGATATTCATTTGATACATTGAGGGTTGGCTACATAATTTACAGAGCCTGGTGCAAAAGAAATGTGCAGAGCCACTTGCCCTAAAAGAAGGAAAAAGTCATTGTCCTTTCCTCTGTAATCTCTCTCCCAACCCAACAAAGTGGGTTTCTTTGTTTTTTTGTTTTTTTCTGTTTAATGTTGTGCTCCCATTACAAAGGCAGCAGGAGGTGGAGCACATGTAAACTGAGGCTCCAATCCAATAGAACTGAGGATCTAATTCCATCAGACTTCATTTACAAAATGCAAATTCAATGAGAAAATTATTAAGAATTTCAAGACGGTAACCACAGAGCATTAAGCCCCAACTGTGGGCCAGCCTCTCAGCACAGAGCTCTGTACAACTGGGCTAATTGCATGTCTCTGAAGCCGGATGTATCTGGAAGGCAAAAAGCAACAGACTTAGATGAAAGTCGGGGAGGGGGTAATGCAGGGAGGTAAGATGAGGTAAGAGAAAAGAGGTGTAATCTGTGTAGATAGCCACAAGCCATACCATGCAGCACTCAGAATAATTTCTATGTTTCACCAATTAGTTATTTGGGGACTCCAAACAGAAATAAGCAATAGATGAAGTTTATCTACCTCTTCAGGATCCTCCCCTCAACTTGCTTCTCAAAAACATTATGGAAATGAGATCCTAGGCAGCTTTTCAGACTCTGGACCTGTTTTTCTTCTCTAGCCCAATCCTGTTTCCTCTGTCATCCTCAGAATCACTCTGCTGCAAGAAAGAATCTTGTCGACTAATTCACTAATAGCAAGTACAACCAATACATTTTACCTTCCAAAGAGAAACTTGTAAAGAGGAACTATTTCACATGCCAAATATTCTCTTGTAGCAGTGTATTTACAAGATCAGCAAAAGGTCCCATTGATAGTAGTGGAGAAGGGAATACAGAAGAGCATGTACATTTGCGTGGAGACCATGCCCGGTACTCCCTCCAATCAGCTACTCCACCTTGACAAGTCTAAGAGCTGCCACCACTCCAGCCAGCTGCACCCTCTGTACACACTAATCTGCAGAGCAAATATTCCCTGCAAAGGGGAAGTCTGGGCCTCAGAACTGGCCAAGCAGAATTTCTCAGCCACGGTATTTCAAAAAATTTGAAATTGGATCTTGATCACTGAGAACCTGTCTTCATAATTAAGCAGAAAAAAGCAGACAGACATCTGTTCCATCCGGGAACACAGAAAGCATACTAATTACAAGCTTCTGCCTGGTGTGGAACACTGCGGCCTTGGCTTGGACAGGCTTCACGGCCAGACGGGCAGAGGCTGACCAGGCTGCAGTCATCAGAGGAGCAATAAAGGTCACTACGATATGGCTGGAGCCTCTGCCTTTCATCAGCTGAATGAAGGAACTGAATGGAGTTCCTTCTTGACCACTGTCCCATCTTCCTCTTACACACCCTGGATTCCAGGAACGAACCTGGGACCTGAGCTTGCAAGCTGAATCTTGTACTTTTCATGCCCTAAAGCTGTCATAATATGCTTTTTCCCGCCTCCTTCTATCCAAATCTTACCCACCTATCAAGGACTGTCTCTAGATCCACATTATTCATTTGCTAATTTATTCATTTGCCAAAAATAAGTACTTAATTTGTACAAAGCAATGTGCTAGTCATTGCGTGGAATACTAGGTAAATTGTGGGCAAGTCTTTTCTTTGTGATGCTTATAAGCCTAACATCGGAGAGCAAACAGATACCAAAATAATTCCAATATAAAATAAAAGAAAAAGAAAACCTGTTAGTACCCTAACACAGGTGAAACTAGATGCTTAGGAGTACAAAACAAAGAACAAAGAGTTGTACTGAAGCACATCAAAGGTTTTATTGAAAAGGTGACAATTGTGCCAGGACTTGAAGAACAGGTAGCACATGAGGACACAGATATGCAGAAAGAAACGAAAAGAACCACTGAAGTAAATAGAAGGGGGGAAAAAAGCTGCAAAGTGTGCGTGAAGAACACCAGATATGTTCAGTGTGATGAGAAATAGAGATTCATGAGATATGAGGTTAGAAAAGCAGCCTGCCAGCCAGGCGCGGTGGCTCACGTTTGTAATCCCAGCACTTTGGGAGGCAGAGGCAGGCAAATCACCTGAGGTCGGGAGTTTGAGACCAGCCTGACCAACATGGAGAAACCTCATCTGTACTGAAAATACAAAATTAGCCAGGCATGGTAGCACATGCCTGTAATCCCAGCTATTTGGGAGGCTGAGGCAGGAGAATCACTTGAACCCGGGAGGAGGAGGTTGCAGTGAGCTGAGATCGCACCATTGCACTCCAGCCTGGGCAACAAGAGCACAAGAGCAAAACTCTGTCTAAAAAAAAAAAAAGAAGAAAAGAAAAAGAAAGAAAGAAAGAAAAGCAGTCTGACTAATCACAGTGTCCCTTCTGGAAAACAACCCAGGGGGAAACCACAGCCTCTCCTGACCCCTCTTCTCTGGGACTTTCATATGCTTCTGTCTGTCCCTCGCCCTTTGTGCTCTAAATGGCAGACATTCAACAAATGTGTGTTGAATAATAAATTAATAAGCTATTCACTGCTAAGTGTTGCCATATAATATAACCCAAGGAAATTGTATGGTGTGTTCTAAGTCAAAACAGTTGCTTCAAAGTAATCATCTTTGTTCCTTAATGTTTGCAAAACTAATAAATAGAAACTATGATTTGTGAAAAGCAAAATAATGGTGATAATTCACATGTTAAAGGCATCTTGAGGTATGTGAACCATGTTTTATTTTATCTCACCAGTTACTTCGTTGAGAGTGAGCCAAAAGCAGATGTACTGGTGGAATTTAGAAGACCTGTGCTACTCCCAGTTTCCTCAACAGGCATTTCCACATTATTGGAAACTTCAGCAGAGGGGCCAGAGATGGCACAAGTTGGAACCGAATCTGGCAAAAGAAGAGATAAAGCAAATGATAAGTGCCTGGGAAACTTAGAATTCTTGAGACTCCAAACTGGAAATACTCAGCGGCTTTTAAAATGTTTAGCTAAATCATAGTAAAATTAAAATAGCAATAATAATATAACAATAATAGCTAGAATTTATTGAGTACTTACTATGTACCAGATACTGTGATGTCTTATCAATATAATTTCATTTAATTCTAATAACTAGCCTATGAATTAAGTATTATTAGAAACATTTAATAGATGAGGAAAGTGGGGCATAGAGTGGTGAGGCAACTCCAACTGTAAGTCTTAATTAGACTACCCCTCTGAATGAACAGATGCATTACCAATAGAGATCAGGACACTTAGCAGACACCAACGAGGCAGACATTTCCCTTCCTGGAGCCTAATCTCTGATACAAGAGCAGCTCAGAGCCCCTGGAATTTTATATATGTGCTGATTCTTACAGACTTTCAAGGATGCAAAAACATACACGGCCACATTTAAGTGTTCAATGGATCCACACACTGCAAGCTAACAAGCAATATGTTAAAATTCATGAAAGGTGTACTTTTATGCAGGCTGGGAAGGGAGAAAGAAATAAGTGGCACCTATATATTTAAGCTGTGTTGAAGAGGGCTGGGCTAGAGTTGTGGACGCGAGGAAGAAACAAGACAAAGCCATCCCTGTCCTTGGTGGCCCCCTAAACATTGGTTCAACAATTTTCTTTGGTCTGCCCACTGTTTAACAAGACAGAGGTGTTTCTTAGTGTTTTTTAGGCTTTTTCCTGAAACCTATGTGGAAGTGAGGAAATAATGGGCAAAATATCACTTATATCCTTAACCCTTTCCAGGAGATCATCTTGCAGATTGCAGATTTAGTAGCTATATGACCTTCGACAAGTAATTGTGAGTCTGTATCACCGTTGAGTGCGTGTCACTTTTCTGTACCTCAGCTTCTTCTGTAAAATCTGGATCAGAGAATGCCCACCACATTGGGTTGCTGTGAGGATTAAATGATATAATATACATATAATTAATATATATGTAATGTACTTAACACAATGCCTGGCATATAGTCAGCACTATGTAAATGTTAGGTATTATTATTATTATGTGTAGTATAGCCATGCAAATATTAACTATTTTAGTAATTATTCTCATTAAATGCCACTTACAAGAGGTCTGCAGAAAGTCTCCTGAAGCAGAGGTTATTGTATTTATACACTAACTTGCCCACAACTGTGCACATTTTCTAAGGCATTCGCGGGTAATTTTCTAATGTGTTCTTGCCTTTATGCATTTGTGCTTTTTTCTTGAACGTCATAATTTAATTTATTTTCTTCATCTTTCTTTCATCAAACCCATTTGGACTTCCTGACGGTAGGGTAAGGGAAAGAGTGAGGATTAAAACTACCCAATATTCAAAGAGGTGAGAAGGTTCTTCATTTGGGCAGTGCTCTACCAGCAAAGAGAAGCTCCTCACCTTGTGTCCCATCAGGGACAGAAAACATCTCTAATAGGGTGGCAGTGGAAGAAACACACATCATGACCATCTGCCTCTTCACTCATTTTAAAAATATGTACAGTCATGCACTGCCCAGTGATGTTGGAGTCAACGACAGATTCTATGTATGACGGTGGTTCCATAAGGTATTTTCACTGTACCTTTTCTATGTTTAGACACACAAATTCTTACTATTGTGTTCCAACTGCCAACAGTATTCAGGAGGGTAACATGCTGTACAGGTCTGTAGCCTAGAAGCAATAGGCTCTACCATATAGCTAGGTGTGTAGTAGGCTGAACCACCTTGGTTTGGGAAAGTACACGCTATGATGTTAGCAGGACGAAATCGCCTAACCACATATTTCTCAGAGTATCACATCCCCATCATAATGCGACGCCTAACTGTATATTGAACCAGCCTTCTACGACCAAAATATGGTCTGGGCAGAAAAAAGCTTTGAAGAAGCACTAAGGCAGAGAAGGTGCCCATCCTGGGGAGCCTCGGCAGGGCCCAGTGACCAGCCTTCCATGGCCCTGACAGCTGCCCTAACAGAAGCTCCAGCCTCACGGTGCAGGCAGGAACAAGCCTGGCGCGCCAGACAGCTCGGCCCCGCCCACTCGCCGCTCTCGGAAAGCTGGAACCCTGCCCCTTTGGAGGGGGAGGCGGCGGCGGCGGCGGCGGCTGCGCGGGCCTCGGGTGCGCGGGCACGCGGGACTCCCAGCTGTCAATCAGGCGCGGGCTGAGCTCTACGAGGCGGAGCGGCGGCGGTGGCGACGGCGATGGGACCCCAGCGAGAGATCTGCAGCTAGGCTGGCTGCACTTGCTCCACGGGTCAGGGGATCGGAGGGGGTAGGTAAAGCCACGCAGAGTCCAGGGGTGGCGGCTTTCTATTCTCCAAATGTCTTTCTCCAGTTCTCCCTCTCCTCCCTTTCTCTCTTTCCTTCCTCCTTCTTCATGCATAAATGTTCTTTCTCTCTCTCCCTCCCTCCTTCATTCACGTTTATTATATGTGCACCAATCTCCACAAAAAACATGCGTATTAAAATCGGTGAAAACATACAAATTAGGAAGAGCTAGCTCCATGCTTTGGTGGTTTGTGGTTTGTGTTATGTAAGAATTTGGGGGGTGGGGCACGAGGGGCGTACAGCTAAAAACTTTAGAGTTTCCTTTCCATAAGATAAGAAAAGTTGTGTATTAGGAAAGAGTCAAATATATGTATCTAGAGTTTGCAAAGTTGGTTTATTTATCAGGCTGAATTGAGCCCCCACTGGCCCTCCCCACTCCTGTGCCACGTCTGAAGATGTTTCAGTGTTTTGGCGTGATCTCAGGACCTACTTCTTTGTGTTGTTAGACAGGAACATTAGGGTGGGGGTCAGACAGAGTCTGGAGGCCTCAAAGAAAACAGAGCTGGAATTTAACAGCTAATGTTTGTTTGATTGGTTCCTGGCACTGTAACAGAAATGTTTTCAGAACCTTGGAGAGCTCCTTGGGCGCCACATCAGGCCAGCCTTTGGTGAAGGGCATGTGGGGAATCTTCAGCGAAAATGGAGAAGCTGACAGAAAAAAGAAGAGAAATGTAATTCAGAGAGGCAGAGAGAGACAGGAAAGAAAGAGATACAGATGGGGGTGGAGGGCAGGTGTTGGGGGAGGGAAGAAGAGGAGAATGTAGTGAATTTAGTGACCTATGATTGGCTTGTTTTCGTTTGCTTATCCAGATCCAGGAGGCTAATATAATTTGCTTCTTTCCCCCAAATCTGCCCACACACCACTCACAAAATTTGGGGGAAAGTAAATGGGTCTTGACGATTTGGCTTTGGTCCATATAGGCTGACCCTAGAAATGCTGAAAACAGTTTATCAGGCCTCAGCTAGGCTTACTCACCTCAAGTCTTCAGGTTCTCCTGCAAACAAATGGGGACCTGTTCATTAGAAAGAATTCTTAATGATCCCATAAAAAATATGGTCCCAGTTATTATCTTATTTCACATAACTAGAGTAATGTAGGAAACCAACAGCCTTATAGTTGGCAATGGCTTTTTAATCAAATTTTGCATGGGCACCTGCTTTTCTTAGGCAGCTGGAAAGCAAAATGATCATGATAGGAAGAAAACGGATATAGGAGTAAAACTCAGCCTAATAAGTAAATCATCCAAAGAGCCTTACGAAGTGTAAAATGTATGTAAACATATCAGAAAATATAGTGATTATAGGACTCATATATTTTACATTATAAGACCAAGCACCAAAAAAGATCCATTCTGAAGTATCTAGGAAGCAAGGAACTTTTTTAAATTTAGAATTTGTAAAATAGAAATGGACCAGCCTATTTGGAATTACTAACAACATGGAATATGGTTATGTAAAAATGAGAATAGCACATATATAGTGTGTTATAATTTACAAAGCCCTTTTATGTCATCTCATTCACTTTATAAATTATTATGAGAACCCATTGAAAAGTTCTAAAATACAGTTTAGACTTTTGTTTTTTAGAAAGCTATCTCAATTCTTAAACACGAATTTCTTTGTCAATGCTTTTGTGAACATTAAAATGATTCTTTATAAGTTATATGAATGACTTATGAAATTTAGATTTTGATCTGGATTACATTCTGCAGAGACTTTTTTCTTAAATAGGATTGAAGAATGCGCCATTAAAAGGAAAGATCAAGGAGTAAACCAGAAGAAGAAGAAAAAGAGGACTTCAAAGGTAGGACTCAAACCTTATCACATGTAGATTCATAAGCACCCTGTGTATGCATGTAGATAAAGAAGAGATTAAAAGAGAATATGGGTTCTTTTCTCATTTTAGCTTTGGATTTTATGTACCTTTCTAAAAAATGAATCTTGAAGAATTAAAGTAAATGATAACAAGTAAGATAATCTTACATTGTTACTCCTTTTTAAAAATTATAAAAGTGGTTGCATGTCCACTGACTTTGAAGGTATTTTAATAACTCAATATAAAGCCACAATCTCTACCACTGTTTCAGAAAAATAAAATATCTCTGAAATAATCCATTGGTAGGAACACGGTTCAGGATTTAAGAACATGCTTATATAATTTCAGAATGCCTGATTTAAAAGTGAAAAAGCTGTTAGCAGGCTTTCATGCCTTCCTGTATCCCCTATGAGTCTGACTGAATCTTTTAAGGAACTGACCTTTCGGCTTGGTGTTGAATAAGTGGTCTAAATTGTCTATGTGCCTGTACTTTGTCTTTTGCAGCACTGGCCCTGTGGAAAAGTGGCTATAATGGGAACCTCAGTCTCATTATCTCAGAATCATTTTATGGGAGAGAAAAGCAGCATGAAAAATTGAATGATATTTCAAAGAAAATAAATAGAACAGGGCCTGTGCCTGGCCTCACAACTGACTCACACATAGTGTCACAGGAAAACACTCATATTTGTTGCCTCTCTTCTCTCAAGGAGACCTTGAAGACAAAGAATATAATGTCTGTAATGTTCTTAGAGTTTCATGAGGCATAAAGATTTATTTCTGCTTCAAGGCTATGAACATTTATAAAGGAAAATAAAAAGTAACTGCATATATTACACAGAAATTTAAATTTCCAACACATTGATACTACAGTCTATTGGCACACATAGTGATATCACAATAGCACATTCATGAGCTTGTTTCCCTAATACAGGAATTATTCAAGGAATTCTCAGCATTTGTACTCCCTTTACCTCTTGATGATGCCCATTTTGTTATGTTTATTGCTTCATGAGTGTGTCTCCTTGTAACCCAAGAGTCCATTGAGGGCAGACCTGGCTCCACTCATCTTCACAACTATTATTTATCTCACAGGTGCCTGGCACGTAGTGCTTTAAAAACACTGAAGGAAGGGGAGGATGAAAAATGGAGGACTACTCAGGCCTTCATCCACACCAACCCACGTAGAACTCTGCAGGAAGTTTCAAAGTACTGGAGATTAAAGTGGTCAACAGTACAGAAAATGTCCCTGCCCACATGTAGCTTACACTCTATCATGTATATGGTCTATCAGACCATAAGTAAATAAACCACACATAGAATATCAGATAGTAACAAGTGCTAGGAAGAGAAACAAACCTAGACAAGGGGATAGAAAGTAATGGAACGCTGATATTTAGATATATTGATTATAGAAAGCCTCTCAGAAGAATTTGATAGGGAGTGGCAGCATAATTTTTTTCCCTCCTCATGTCTCTGGGTTATGATAGGTGTGCTGAGTTGGTAAGAACTGAATATTCATTTAATGTATAACAGTGCATGCAATTGAGACAGTTGCTATGGACAGGTTATAAAAAGAAGAAATCCATGGATGGATCCTCATTTATCAGCAAGTAGAGCATCCTTCAGAGAGAATAAAAACAACTCTCTCTTCATAGATAACCAAACAATGACACACAAAAGTTGCTTGTGCCCAATCATCATGGCCATGCTGGCAGGGAGGATGCAACAGGCTCCATCAGAGTGTTTACAGAATGAAGACTAATGTGGATTGAATTAAATATAATACTAAAGAGTGTGTTTACTCTGGATTGAATTAAATATAATACTAAAGAGTGTGTTTACTCATCCCCTCTATCCATGTACCTCCTGTGATATTAAAGCTTTCTGTAAATAAAAAAGGCTCTCTAAAATATGTTCATTAACAACAATCATAGATTTAACCTTTTTGTTGTTGCTACTACAGCTATTGAAATATAGACATCAGAAATCTTATGAAACCTTGATCTTTAAGTAAATAATAAGCCAAAGTAAAAAGCCTTTGCACATAGCTTCTGTTTCTGTCTCAATTCTAGTTTGTTATATATAGTTTAATAACTGCCCAGTCTTTAAAGTGACTTTATGATGTGACCTCACATACCTTTTTTATGATACCAGAAGTGTCCATCAATCAAATAAGATTCCAAATAACTGTAACATGGGGACAAAAAGTTACTGACTTCCCTAGGAGATGTATAACTCTCTGTTGAGATTTTGTAGGTCCAAATCTATCACTCTAACATGTTATATTTTAAAATTCATGTTCTTCCAAGTCATTCTTCTCTAGGAGTGAATTCCAGGTAGTTATATGTTTGGGAAGATGTGTGATACCTGTCAGACCCTCGGGGATCCTATTTTAGGCAACATACGTGATACTGAAGTAACTTGTTAAACAACATACGAACATTTAGTCTACCTAGTAGCAAGTAACTAACCTAACTAGTTATATGCCCTTTTTAAAGGGAAGCTGCATACATACTAGTATAAAGTAAGAATTTGAGCTGTCAGTAAGGATATGGAAGGAGGTAGGAAATCAGTAAACCTAGTTGTTCGTTCAATAAAAAAATGATAGAGTCATTCCGTACAGACAAAAAAAATCCTGAAAAGCTACAACTGGAAGGAATTAGAGATTAATCTGGTCCAACCCTCTTACTTTAAGGATGATGAAACCATAGCCCAGAGAGACTAATGAGCTTGTCTGGAATCTCCTGACCAGTAAGTTGCAAATCAAAAAATGGCAGTAAAGTCCATTCTCTGCCCCGTTTAGGTAGCACAAAACAGACCATGTTCTTGTTCATGTTTTGTGCCCCTGGAGGAGAAAGTAAGGCGCTTTGGAATTCCTTTTCTGGAATGTAGCTGACATAGCTAAAAATCCATGGCTTCAAGTAGAGCCTTCAATCACTCAGGCTCAAAAACATGTGTTTTATGACACTTTCTATCTCTTTTATGATTTGACCTATATTGTTTTTAACAAAGTTGGACAACTGGGTCTCATAAAGCAGAAACATTTAACCTACTGTTCTGGTAGCAAACTGTTCAGGGAATGGCTGTAATATATCACACGGTCCTTCTCTGCATCAAAGCTCAATCCTGGGAAAGAACAACTTCAGCATCTAAGGAAACATAACTCTTACTGTTGCTATGAGGGATTTTTTTTTATTCCTATCATATCTATTTTTGTCCCTTTTTCATGTTAAAGTCTCTGATGCTTTATAGAAAATCTGAAAATATATATTTAGAGGAGGTGGTTCTGACTATGCAAGTATATGATTCAGTCCATACTCCTGCTTCTTGTGTTAATTGTCATCTTTCATCTGTTCCCTGACTCATGGTGTAACCTTTAGTAGATGATTTTTCTATGCCTCAGTTTCCTAGTTGACAAAGCAGTTAGTAATACCAACCCCATCTCACCTGGACTGAAATTTGCATTAGAATGCCTTAAAGGAAAATGCCTTTAAAATTATGCCACTTATATACCAATGGTAATAGGCTCTTGTTAATCATCTTCATTGTATAAGCATTAAATAGAAGGTACTGAAGAGATCGTCCTAGTGCTTAAAATATTAAAACTAGGTTAATATTCTTTTGATCTGCCAGATTTTGCTGCTCTACTCAGGCAAAGAACATTCTAAAAACCTTGACTTTTTATGAAATCATATCTTTCTAAATGTTTTAAAGCAAATGTGTTCGTGTGTGGGGGAGTGCAGGTGTGGGTGTGTATGTGTAGACTCTTGCCTCCCTGCACTCTTTCCCTGGGTGATTTCTTTAGATGGTAGCTATACCTGAAACAGAAAAAAGCACAGGAGCTAACAGTTAGTTGGTTTTAATTGACCAACAGCTAAAAAGATGAGGTTATTGGTCATCATTAATAGCACCATTTTTCTAAGACCAGGGCCATGTTTTCCTCAATTTGACTACATTCTTAACCAAAACTCATGTGTAGCTAAGGGCACATATTTAAAGATGTGCTAATGGGTTTACTTTGTGCCCACTGCACAAGGAATTGCTGACTATCCCTGGTTCCAACTTTGATTTTAGCCCCATAATTCTATCCAATCAAACTAACTGGCCACATATAGGCATTTGATGGGACTGTAGATCGATATTTTTCTTTTGTAGATAAACATTACTAGCTGGTTGCTTGATAAGTAATTGGAAACATTTAATATGCCTCTGTTGGCCTGGATTACAGCACAAGCTCTGAGAAAACCTGGCTTAATAGAAAAATAACCTTCTATGTTGTTCCCCACTTTGTCACGTATAGACTATGTCCACATAACTAAAACTATCTACAGGATAATTTTTTTTGGAAGAAGTCTGATTTATTTGAAAACACAAAAATAACCACCTTCATTTATATTCAAACAGTGTGGCAGCTATATTGTGGACTAAAGAGTTCTTTCAGAATTTTATATTTCTTTTATTATTTCCACTTTTTAATATTATACTTTAAGTTCTGGGATACATGTGCAGAACGTACAGGCTTGTTACATAGGTATACATGTGCCATGGTGATGTGTTGCACCCATCAACCCATCACCTAGGTTTTAAGGCCCACATGCATTAGGTATTTGTCCTAATGCTCTCCATCCCCTTGCTCCCCACCCCCTGACAGGTGTGTGATGTTCCCCTCCCTGTGTCACTGTGTTACCATCTGTGTACAGGATAATTTAAAAATCCAAACACGTATTTCACATTTCCAGCTATACATTTATTTGCTTATATGGAGATCAGAAATTAAGACGATAACTGACAATTCCCTTATTCAACAAAATTACTGTCACTCAGTAATTCTTTCTTTTTTTTAACCATGATTAGTAACAAAATCCATATAAATGCCTCTCTCTAAGGGTATCAATTAGGTCAAATAAAGTAGAAATTTCCATCTTAAAAAGGCAGAACCCAAAACAACCTGCCTAGGACATAGTTTTATTTAACAGTTCTCTGAGTTCTTACTTACAGTAGACACTTCATGGAAAATAATAAAAGGTTGTGTCCACTCTCCACATTATACTCTAGCCACCCACATGGACAGATGTATCCACAAACAATGGGTAAAATATATGGTGTTAGAGTTAGTGAGGTGTAAATTATTGGCCAAGCCATTTGTGATTAATAAAGCATGAGGCATAAATTGCTCAGCAGCTTTTTAATAAAGCTTCATACAACTTGACAATTAGTTAAAATGTCAGAGGAAGATACATGAGATCGGAAGGCAAAATTTCAAACTAGTAAGAGTAATGCGGTGTAGATTCCACAAGGAAACATAGTTAAAAATCTGAGAGGACAGTCTAAGACAAACTCCATCTTCAGCAAATGAGAATGCCTGCCCAATTCTTTAACATGTAAGTGCAAAGACAACTAGATTCTAAGAGATTAAAGATTTCTTGTCAAGGCAATAAAAAATCTCAGCTTCTTTGTTGCCATTTCTTGTGTGCTTCATGCTTAAATGTGTACCTAATTTATGTGAGTTGTGCTGTTGTATCTCATTTCATTTATGGAGATGCAGTTCTAGTCATTGAGTGTTTAGGTAATCTTGCATTAAGCAAAAAAGAAGAACAGCTTATAAGAAAGACAGGTTTGTTGTTGTTGTTGTTTGTTTTATTGAGACGGAGTCTCACTCTGTCACCCAGGCTGGAGTGCAGTGGTGCGATCTTGGCTCACTGCAAGCCCCACCTCCCGGGTTCACGCCATTCTCCTGCCTCAGCCTCCCAAGTAGCTGGGACTACAGGTGCCCACCACCACACCCAGCTAATTGTGTGTGTGTGTGTGTGTGTGTGTGTGTGTGTGTGTTTTTAGTAGAGACAGGGTTTCACCGTGTTAGCCAGGATGGTCTCCATCTCCTCACCTCGTGATCCTCCCTCCTCAGCCTCCCAAAGTGCTGGGATTACAGGCGTGAGCCACTGCGCCCCGCCAAGAGAGAGGGGTCTTTAAAAGTACCTTTTCTGTAATGAAAAGAGCATTGTTCAACTAGGCATACATTACTCAGTCTGGTTCTTACCTTTCATATGTCTTTTGATCCTGTGGCCAAAGCCTGTGGCATTAATCCATGTGGATGTTGTCATTCCAGCTGGGAAGGATGAGTTCTTGCAGCAACGTCTGTGGGTCCAGGCAGGCACAGGCTGCAGCTGAGGGTGGTTACCAGCGCTATGGAGTCCGGTCCTACCTGCACCAGTTTTATGAGGACTGTACAGCCTCAATTTGGGAGTATGAGGATGATTTCCAGATCCAAAGATCACCTAACAGGTGGAGCTCAGTATTCTGGAAGGTAAGGAAGGAGCATGTGTTTAACTTAGGGAATGGAAAAATTATTGGACATGGTTAATACTGCAGCTGTGGAGGATGGAGAGGTTTAGTACTCGCTGTGTGTGCATCACTCTTGGTGATACTAAATGCATTTTTCTTACCTTAGGAAAGAAGAATCTAAACCTTGGGCCAAAGAAAGCCTCTAAACACAGCACAACTATTGATGAGCAGATTAAACATAAATAGGTGCAATTGCCATATGAATTATTATTATTGCTACCATTAAAAATGTGCCATTAAATTCACTAATTGAAGCCATCCATAGGCAAAACATTATATTCTTTCAGCCTTCCTTACAGGCGTGGTAAGTATCATCTGACAAGTTGCAACAATTATTAAAAAGAAATCATTAGGTATTTAGAGAGAGTTAATGATGAAATGTAGTACAGTGGTCAGTATACCAGCTCCGTCTCTACCGAGTGTGTGATCATGAGGCTTTCTGACCCCAGCTTCCTCAAATGAAGGAATCTCATTAGACAATGTATTTAGTCCCTCAACAGATAATTAGTGAGCATCTACTCTGTGCCAAGAGGGTTCAAAGTTCTGGAAGTTAAAGTGGTAAACAGGGAAAGAAAAAGTGACTTCCCTCATGGAGCTTACAATCTATCATGGGAAACAGGCTGTAAACAAAGAAACCACATGATAGAATGTTAGGTAGTGATAGTGCTATGGATGACAGGGGGTGATGGAGACTGGTATTTGGATATGCTGATGGTAGAAGGCTTTCAGAAGAGATGCCATCTCAAGGAATACCAGGATGAGTTGAGGGAACAGACCTGACTGAAGGTCATCCTAGACTGGGAAAATAGTAAGTCCAAAAACTCTGAAATGGGAACAAGTTTGGTGTGTTTGAAAATGATCCAGAGGTCTCCAATCTGGTTGGAGTGGGGTGAGAAAAGGGACAGGCAATGAATTAAGAAAAATAACAAGGCACAGATGATTTATGTAGAGCCTTGTACACCACAGTGAAGTCTTGGGTTTTTACTTCGAGAGACATGGGAAGCTACTGGAAGAGGTTGATAAATTTAGAGGGTGTTAAAGTACCCAGGCAAAAGATGCTGGTGGCGTTAGTGGAGATGGTGAAAAGTAGTCAGATTTAGGTAAAGGTTATGCCTATTAGACATCGGAGTAGTGATCTCTAGTGACAATTTAAATATATCAATCTACGGCTCATAAATTGGGAGTTATTGACACATAGAATCTATACAAGGCACTAGACTTCTGAGATCATCCAGGAGAAGAGTGTGGACATAGAAGAGAAGAGGGCATTGGGACATTCCAACATTTAGAAACTAAGAAGGGGAAGAGGCTTCAGGGATACTGAGAAGATGAACCTTAGATAATGCCTAAGGTCTTCCTTAATCTTTGTTTCTCCCAAAAGATCCCAGAATTTTTTGACATGGATATTGACATAAACTTGCAATTTATTGGCCATATAGTGTAACAAGAGGCTGTATAGCCTAATAATTATAAACATAGATTCTAACCTCAGACTACATGAGCTCAAACCCCAGCTCTTTTGTTTAATCATTCTGTAACCCTGGGCAAATTAATTGGCCTTATGGGGCCTCTAATGGTGATACTTATAGCACCAACCACATAAAAGATATGAGAATTAAATGAGATAGTATTTACAAAGAGCTTAACACTGTCTTGGTATGTGCTTAATAAGCATTAGCTATATTAGCTACTATTACTGGTTGCTGTATGAAGCACTGAGTTCTTAAATGGGAAAAAAAGTTGAAATATAGTTAATAAATCAAGTATTAAGTAACACAGTTGTTAACATGGATAACCCAAGACCTGTGTTAATTCAGTGTCATATTGTTGTCACATACTCTGCATCAGAACTGGTCAAGTCAGCATCCTTGCCCTGTAGAAATCTCACCTCTGATGAATCCTTACTGGCTTTAGCCAATGAAATGCACAGCCAAGCTTGGCACATCTTGTATTTACCCAGATATGTGGGTGGTTGTTTCCCTATTTGTCAAAAAAAAAAAAGCATTTGCCTGACAGATCTGTTGTGCCAAGAGCTCAAAATGCCACTGACACACAGAATATTGTAAGTGTTCATGGAACTTCAAAGCACTGGTTGTTATGTGATTTGTGAAGCTGTAAACCCATCAAATAAAACATAGTTATGGGTTTACAACAAATAACTCACAGTGAATTACCAACCCCAGAATTCATATTTCATTATTTTCTCCCTTCTATTTTGCACAAACAAGATCCAAAAATATTTATTTACTGCTGTGCTGGAGTCCTAGATGTATACCTTAGCCACAAAACACAAGAAGCCTAGTGTCAACCTGACTGACCTAGGAATTCACTGTCTTAGAGACCTCATCTCTATCAAGGGATAAACCAACTGTTCCTGGGTTTCCTCCTAAGGAATATGAGTGAATTCATGCCAGTGGATTTATGAAGTGCTTTGTACCAACACAGGAAAAAGCACTAGCTATGCTCATGTTTCTATTATGATTCTTTTTCATGTTTTTTTCTTTCAATCAAATTGCATCTGTAGGTGGTTCAAATTGCTGGCTTCTCCTTTCCCTGCTTCCACTGTAGTGTTGCAAGAGTCATGTTGGCCTCTCACTGGGGGCTGTGCTCACAGTGCTTTGATAGGACTCTGCTCTTGAGGCATCTTTACAGCAGTGGGCAGCATGGCAAGACTTAATGAGAAAGGAGATTGAAATCAAATGGGTCTGAGTTAGAATCTTTATTGCATGCATCTGCATAACATCTATTTCACAGTATCATTCTTCCTCTCTTTCTTCAAATGTGTAGCTGTCCAACATTCACCAGGCTCTGGGATTCTGATGTAAATAAGATCTTCTTTTTCAGAGGTGAACAAATATTCTTCAAATATGAAGAAGATCTTTTCTTCACCTCTGAATAAGATATAGCCCTTGACCTGAAGGAGTTCACAATCAAATAGGGGAGGTGGCCATGTACACAGATTGTTGTTGTTTTTTTTTAATTTTATTATTATTACACTTTAAGTTTTAGGGTACATGTGCACAATGTGCAGGTTTGTTACACATGTATACATGTGCCATGTTGGTGTGCTGCACCCATTAACTCGTCATTTAACATTAGGTATATCTCCTAATGCTATCCCTCCCCACTCCCCCAACCCCGCAGCAGTCCCCGGAGTATGATGTTCCCCTTCCTGGTACACAGATTGTTATAATGCAATATACTAAATGCTCCCCTTAAAGCAGGCACAATACTTACTGGGAGCACAGAGGGGCAGGGTGGAGTGGGTATCTGATGCAGACTAGGGAAGAAATGGCTCCAAGAGGAGGTCACATGTGAGAAAGCAGGAACGGGGCATCCCAGTAGAGAGAAAAGTATTGCAAAAGCTAAGAGTCATGGGAGAGTACAGCATGTTCAGGAGACTGCAAAGAGTTCCCTGTGGCTGGGGTAAATGTTCAAAAGTTGAAGAAGAGGAGTCAGGAGTTGAACCTGGGAATGCATACAAAAGCCAGTTCACAGAAGACTCTGAAAGGCCATGTAATAGAAATTTCTCCGTAACATTTCAGCTTGAATACAGTGAGGGGGCAAGATAATGAATCTAGGCTTTCATAGTTGGGATGTCATAATCAGGTATAAACACACACACACGCACAAACACACACATACACAGAGTGCCGCACACTTTCTCTGTGCTTCAGAGGTCCTAGGTTGCTGCATGACTACCTCAGCCACTTCTAATTTATCCCACTGCCTGCAGCTGATGCCATCTATAAAAATCGATGTAACACAGTCCCATCACCCATTGCTGCTGCCCCAAAATCAATCAGGCTATGGTGGAATTTTTTTTCATATCTTTGCCTTTGACCTTGACTAAGGCTGTTGCCACTTGATTGTCCACGCAGCAAACAGCGTCATATGTAGGTGTCAAACCAATGGGAGCAGTCTTCTCACCCCCAGTCATTCCCTCCTCACCTCAGGGTTATCTTCTTGCCTTCTCCTCGACCTCTCTCAGAAACCTGTACCAGCCTATGTCAGAGGTTAATATGTCATGGAGGCATTTAATGGCGATGTGCAGGTGCAAGGTGTGACCGCCTCCTCCACAGCCTTACAAACTGTGAAAGTGACTCCGGTCCCTCTCTTTCCTCTCAAGACCCAGGTTAAGTTCCTCCTATCTGCCCTGACCTCTCCAGTTCCCCCTCTTGAGCTAAGTCAGAGTTTAAACTTAAGTCCTTGTTTTTTCCTTCAAAGTTTTGCTAGATACTGAGAAGTTAGTTTTATACTAGAGATGAGAGGAGCTGTGGAAGACTCTGCTTTTTAAATCGCAAATAAATATTGTATATATTTGTCATGTACAACATGTTGTTTTGAAATACATATATATTGTGGCACGACTACCTCAAACTAACATGTACATTACCTCACATCCTTTTTTGTGGTAAGAACACTTAAAATCTATTCTTTCAGCAATTTTCAAGAACACAATACAGTCTTATGGACTATAGTCACCATGTTGTACAATAGGTCTCTTGAATTGATTCCTCTTAGTTGAAATTTTGTATCTTTTAAACAAAATCTTCCCAATCCCCTCTCCCACTCCCTCCCAGTTCCTCTCTACCTCTATGATTTCAACTTTATTAGATTCCACATATAAGGAAGATCATGAGATATTTGTCTTTCTGTGCCTGGTTTATTTCACTTGACATAATGTCCTGTGGAAGACTACTAAGAAGAGAAGCCATGTGGTATAATTTCTGTTTATAAAAGATTTCTCAGATTGCCTTTGAAGGATGGAGCAATGGAGATCATCAGGACACTGTTGCAATGATCCAGGCAAGATATAATAATGGCCCGCACCATTAGAGTGGCTGCAGTGGACGAGACAGAAAAGATTCAAGAGATTTTTATGAGATAGAGTGACTAAGATTTAATATCCACCACTATGACTGTGAGGAACAATTTCACGAATGGGTGGATGGGAAGAACGCAAATAGAGAAAATGGGAAGGAAGTGGCAGAGCACCATTTTTACTCTTTTGGGTTTGAGGAGTGTTTGGGACATTTTTCTGTAGATTTTCCTGTTGGTTGTCAGAAATATGGTCTAGAGCTCAAAACAGAGATCCAGGCTGGAGTTGGAGGTTTGGAAGTCACTGGTAACAGGTGGGAGTTGAAACTGTAGCTTCCAATTAAACGCTAAAGAGAACATAGTGAATAAGAATAGGTGGAGGTCAAGGATAGACTCCTGAACCAGACGTGGTGGTGTGTGCCTATAATCCCAGAGGACTCAGGAGCCTGAGGAGGGAGGATTGCTTCAGGCCAAGAGTTCAAGGCTGCAATGAACCATGATTGCACCATTGCACTCCAGCCTGAATGACAGAGAGTGACCCTGTCTCTAAAAAAGGTGGGAAGGGTAGAATCCTGGGGAATACTAATAATTTACAAAGAACATCCAGCAAAGCAGGTTGACAGTGAGTTGTTTGGAGCAGAGATACACAGAGGAAACAGTGTGTCAGAGATAACCACGGGGAAGGGTTTCAAGAAAGTATAAGTGTTTAATATCAATGAACGTAGAATATTTAAGTGAGCCTAAAAAATAAATTAGATTTGACATTAGATTTGACAATTAAGAGGTCCTTTGTAACCTCGGAGAAGCAGGTTTAAGGAAATCGTGGAAGACTAAGCGTGGCTGTCAAGGGTAGAACGGACATTGAGGAGTAGGAAGAAAGGGACGCAGAGCTGGAGAATTGCTTTCGAAGATGGAGGCAGTTGAATGTGTTTATGCGCTGGAAGAAGGAATCTCTGTTAGGTGGAAGAGCTGATGTGATTTCACTGCCCAGGTGAAAGGGTCTAAGAAGATTGTGAGGTCAGTCTATGGAAGGACCTCGATTATCGCCAGGCATCGGTTCTTGCTTCATAAAGCTCAGTGTCAAGCTGAGGCAAGCAGGGACAGATGAGCTACAGTCTGCCACTGCTGCTGGCAGACATCACCGCTCAGAGCTCAGGAGAGGTCAGCACAGCCCTCAAGGGCTGATGCAGAAGAAAAAGCCCATCTTCGCTCTTGATGCGCTTCCCCTAAATAACCTCTAACCCAGATGGCGCCTTGCACATGCAGCTCCATCCAGCATTCCCCGCACGCCAGGCCGTTCTTCCCAGCCACGCAGGTTCGCGCTTCCAACAGTCATTCCTGCCTCGTCTCTGCCAGAACAGCTGCGCCGCGACTGCTGCCAGCTCTGTCTATTGGAGTAAACTGCATTTTCAGGCCTCATCAGCTCACTGGGAAACAATGAAAGGATGTTGGTCAAAATAACAGCAGTCTCTGGCCTGTAGCCCCCACCAGCAGAATTTCTGGCATATAAATAAGTTCTCTTTCCTTTCCAATTTTCCTTTCCAGCAGCAGGAACTGGGTTTTCACACATCCTCCCACAGCCAAGAGTGGAATCGGAAGTTACAGCACAAAAACTGTCCTCGCTGCTGTTTCGGGAGTTTGTCACCACCTGGAGAGGCCCTTCTCTGTCGCCATTGGGATTGGCCTTACCACCCTAAGGCCCCAGGTTGCTCTGCTGAGCCTGGAGGAGGACCCTTCCAAAGCATTCCAACTCTTCTGTGTGGCCCTAAACGAGGCTGCTTTGCTTCCTCAGAACTTTAAACAACCTCTGCATTGCAATTTTTTGACTCTTTCCATTTGGGAGTCCTCTTTCTGTTAGACCTGGGACCAATTCGACTTTGAACTGTGTCCAGAGATAATTTTTATGATACTGTATGGAATTGCTCCCTCAATTTTTATCCTTTCCAGTACTCAGCATGGTACCAAGACTAAGCTGATGAGTCCCAACTGCTCTCCTCACCTCCCATATGCTACTCATGAGACTCCTTCGTACCTATCATCCCACGCTCTCCCTCCCATGTTTTAACATGTCTGGAATTCCCCAATGGGTGCATCTCTCAGAGATTCTCATTAAAGACTGGCATTAACAGCCCCTTCAGAAGCCTTGAAGTCAGCTGTTCACTGTGCTGTCTTCCCCACTACAGAGGGCGAGCCTCTCTCTGATTCTCTGATGTCAATAGAAAAGAGGAGAATGCTCAGAAAGCCTAGCCACGTTCCAGTTCTTCAAGTGAACAGGAATTCTGCCATCTGAAAGCCATGGTTTGCATTTTAGCTTCTGAATGATAGTCCAGGAGTGGATTTTCATCGAAAGCACTGCTCAGCTGAGGAGCAGACTGCTCTGAGAATCAATCACCTGGCTCTGTGTTCAGCAGTCTGATGGTTTAAGTTAGGCAGGCAGGACGGTTTATTGAGTGTCAGGCTGGAATAAGAGCTGTGGGGAGGCAAGACAGACACACACTGGTCTCACTTGCTCTTCAGAATCTCAGAAACTAAGATAACTTTCGGCTACCCTCAATTTTTGATAATTAATGCCAATTCTTCAGCAGGGAGTTAGTTTAGTGACATAGGAAGCATGTCACCATGGATAGTTAAATCAATTTTGCTTGTACATTCAGAATTTTCTGATATGAGTCATTTTCTAAAAGTTATAAATAATGGTTAGTCTTGGAAGGTAAATGTACTTGCCACCATTTTTAGAAAAATGTAGAAAGCAATCCAAAATGTTATATTTTACAGCCCAATTTTTCCCGTAGCACTTATGTCTTATACAGAACAGCTTTTTTTTTTTTTTTTTTTTTTTCAGAAGACATCCTATTGACTCTTTTTCAGTTTCCTTACAATATGAGATACTGGAAATTTGTTCACATATGGTGGCTAAAACTCCTTTGAGGTTCAAATAAAAATAATAGAAAGAAATATACAAAATAGTAATGGCGAAGTATTATGGGCAGAAGAAAAGTCATGGGTAGCAGGAATCACACAGATCTGGGTTAGAACTAGTCACACCACCTGCTATTTTTGGGATCCTCAACTATGCTTTTTTTCTCTCTCTTTTTTTCCCGAGACAGAGTCTCACTCTTGTTGCCCAGGCTGGAGTACAACAATGTGATCTCGGCTCACTGCAACCTCCACCCACCCAGGTTCAAGTGATTCTCCTGCCTCAGACTCCCAAGTAGCTGGGATTACTGGCATGCCCCACCATGCCTGGCTAATTTTGTATTTTTAGTAGAGATGGGGTTTGACCATGTTGGTCAGGCTTGTCTTGTGTCCAGAAGTGGTTCCTCCCGGTGGATTTCTGGTCTCTCTGACTTCAAGAATGAGGCCGCAGACCCTGGCAGTGAGTGTTACAACTCATAAAGGTAGTGCGGACCCAGAGTCAGCAGCAGCAAAATATACTGTGAAGAGCGAAAGAACAAAGCTTCCACAGGGTGGAAAGAGACCAGAGCAGGTTGCGGCTACTGGCGCGGGTGGCCAGCTTTTATATCCTTATTTGGCCCCGCCCACATCCTGCTGATTGGTCCATTTTACAGAATGCTGATTGGTCCATTTTTACAGAGTGTGGATTGGTGCATTTACAAACCCTTAGCTAGACACAGAGCGCTGATTGGTGTGTTTTTTACAGAGTGCTGATTGGTGAGTTTACAAACCTTTAGCTAGCCACAGAGTGCTGATTGGTGAGTTTACAAACCTTTAGCTAGACACAGAGCACTGATTGGTGTGTTTACAATCCTTTAGCTAGACAGAAAAGTTCTCCAAGTCCCCACCCGACCCAGAAGCCCAGCCGGCTTCACCTCTCAGTCTCAAACTCCTGACCTCAGATGATCCACCCACCTTGGCCTCCCAAAGTGCTAAGATTACAGGCATGAGCCACCATGCCCGGCTAAAGTATGCTTCTTTAACCTTATAATCCTCAGTTTCTTATAGGTGAAATTGGAATAAAAATACCTACTTCTCATAAGATGCTTGTGAAGATTAAACAAAAAACACATCTAGCATTAGTGCAGGTCATAATAGATGTTCAATAATACCAGTTATACTTTTCCCATTTTTGCTAGGGTGATAGATTTGTGGATACGTTTTCCTTCTATTAGCCAAGCCTCCTTTATTAGTATATTATCTCAAAAATTTAAATATTAAAGATTAATTTATGTTATGTATCTGGTTATTTTCCTAACCTTGTTATTCTAACTAAAAGCAATTAAGAACAGAAGGAAAGGAAAAATTACTTTAAAAAGTAATGGTGTTAGCTATTCCTTATTCCAAGTGCTGAGCAATCGTAATACTGTTACCAATGTAGCATAACAATTTTTCAAGGGGTGTCTTTCCAAATAAGAAGAATAGCTACTTATTACAATTTATAATTTTGCCAGATACAATGTATAACTTTGCCAGATACAAGGCTAAGTGCTTTTATGGATAGTCTCATTTAGTCCTCACAAGTCCTCTATGAGGTAGGTATTATGAGCATTTGTCATTTTATAGATGGGGAAATTAATGACAAGAGCTTTTAAGTAACTTTCCTTCTATGATTCAAGTGCTAGGTGGTGGTGGTAGAATCGAAGCATGCGTCCATTTATTTCAAACCTATGGGCATTGACCACCAAATGGTACATCATTTCCATCTTTAGTATGTTACATTTCATTAGAACTTGAGCTAATGCAGTTTAACCTCCATCTGCTATTCTGAACACTTCCTAGCACCTGCACAAGTATACCCCAAATAGCTACATGTGAGAGGAGAAAGAACACTGGCCTGGGGATCAGCTCTGTGGGTTCTAACCCTGCCTCTGCAGCTTGCTAGCTGTCCATCTTTGGTCCATGACTTACCCTCTCTGACGCTACATTTCTTTACCTTAACTGGCCATTAAGGTTCCTTCTCTGCTTACTTTGAAAAGAGGTGAGTAGTTACAAAGACTGTCCATGTCCTCCAGCCAAAACCACCAGGAACACACCTATATGTTGAACAAGTTGGATGTATTACTCATTACAGTAAGAAAGAATGTCACCATAGGGGACTGTGGGGCATTGCAATATGAGAGTGTGAAAAGGATGTATAATATTATAGGATGTGGGCTCTGGTTGGGTGATTTTGGGGAGGGTCTAATGAAGCAAGAGTTCACTCTGGATTGTTAGGGACAATTCTATGATTGGATATCTTAATATATCTTATGTATAGAGAGGACAGACTAGAGTGAGACTAAAGCCATCATGAGAAAGAAGTAGGTGTCATTCATATTAGCCAGGAGCGGGGGTCATGTCGTATTTTGTGGTTTTTACAAGGACCTTGTTTTTGTCTGTGCTTAGACAAAGTTATGAAGGGCTACTGTTTTGTCTCACTTCATCATGGTCACAGAATGAGCATGTGTTAATGTTCTGTGAGATGGTGCCTGGCAGAACAGCATGGCCTTGCTGTGAGCTCCTAGCCAGCTTCTAACAATGTCGAGGCCTAGGGGACAGAGTAAGGCCAGCTCCTGGATATCAGGGCTACTCTTCTTTTCCTCAAGACCAAATGAGACAATGTAAGCAAAAGAAGGTTTTGTCAACTGCAAAGCATTGTACAAATTTAAAAAAAAAAGATATTTATATATATATTTACATATTACATATCTACTTTTAGATATATGATATATATTATATATAATATATATCTTTAGGTATATAATATATATTATATATTTTATATATATCTTTAGATATATATATAATATACATATCTTTAGACATATAATATATAATATATATATCTTTGGACATATATATTATATAGATCTTTAGCTATATATAATATATCTTTAGATAATATAAAGATTATATATATCTTTAGATAATATAAAGATTATATATATATCTTTAGATATACAATATATGTATATCTTTAGATATATAATATATATATATGATATATACATATATCTCAAGGCTGAGTGCTGGAGTTTTTGGTTGGCATTAAAATTAGAAAGATCATCTTTCACCTTTTTCAACAGAAAATTAAGTAAGTGTTTCCTGCAAATTTGGGGTAACTGGGAATATTCATTTCTCTCAAGAAACAAGACAAGTGCTGCCCTTGAGGGCTCAGGGGCGAGCCGAAGCACCTTCCTCACTCTATCTTGCTTCTGTCATTATCTACCTGTAGGTTGGACTCATCTCAGGTACAGTTTTTGTGATCCTCGGATTGACTGTTCTGGCAGTGGGCTTTCTTGTGCCCCCCAAAATCGAAGCATTTGGCGAAGCCGATTTTGTGGTGGTCGACACACATGCTGTCCAGTTTAACAGTGCTCTGGACATGTACAAGCTGGCAGGAGCTGTTCTCTTCTGCATTGGAGGCACGTCCATGGCAGGGTGCCTGCTGATGTCGGTGTTTGTAAAGAGCTACTCCAAAGAAGAAAAATTCCTCCAGCAGAAGTTTAAAGAACGAATCGCAGACATCAAAGCCCACACCCAGCCGGTTACAAAAGCTCCAGGGCCAGGGGAAACAAAGATTCCAGTCACTTTGTCCAGGGTTCAAAATGTCCAGCCTCTACTGGCAACCTGAAACCTTTCCCACCCCAGTTCTTCTTGTCTGATTTATGCCCGTGGTTAAAAAGAGCAGGCCAGTTTTCGAGATAAAGAAGATTTGGCGTTGACTGCCCTAGGGCTGTGTTCAGCTGTGGGCAATATAATGGGTGGACTCACACTTGCTCAGTTCAGGCAGCTCTGCTGGAGGGCGGTGCCATGCCTAAGCCTGTGCACATGCATCCAGCTGCTTAAGATGGGTGCTTCCTTGTACCCGGCCACCAGAAAACCCCTGGAACTCCTCTTTCATAGATCGTGACTTTGTGTTATTTTCCGTGTTGTTTGAAAGTGCCGAACAGTTTAGACCAGCTCACCAATGGCTAATGTGGTCCATTTTATTTTCTAATATTGGTTTATCTAATGTTTTCTGCGTGGTGCTGTCTTCCATTCCTGTCTCACTATGTGTAAGATTTTGTCATATGTGTTCATAGAAACATGGAATTCTCTGATTTTGAGCCGAACATGAGTTTTTAGACTGTATCTTGACATGAGGTTCCTGACATTGGATACAAAGTTATCAGCATTCACAAATCTTTTTGTTTTCTCCATTTTTTTTCCCTTTGAGATGAAGTGCTGTTCTTTTGCCTAGGTTGGAGTACAGCGGTGAAATCATAGCGCACTGCAGCCTTGAACTCCTGGGCTCAAGCGATCCTCCCACCTCAGCCTCCCAAGTAGCTGGGACTACAGGCACCTGCCACCACCCCCAGTTAATATTTTTTTTAATTTTTTTTAGAGGCAGGATCTTGCTGTCCAATTTTTTTTAAAAAGCTAAAATTGCCAACTTTAGAATCTTGACCAAAAAAAATTAATTTTAGGAGCATCTATTTATGCAGTGTTCAAAAGTACTGAATTAGAAACCAGGAAGTTTTAGTTCCTTCTACTACCTGTGTGATCTTGGGGAAATTATTTAACCTCTCAGTCCTAATTTTCCCCTTCTGTATAATGGGAGTTCTGGATCACAATATGTCTGGGCTCTCATTACCCAAACATCTGAGATTCCATTTTTGCCATGTGTCATCGAGTCGCTCCCCAACAGATGTTTGTGATGTTTTTGTGGCTGTCACCATGGTGGGATTCTTTCAGAATGAGACTCCTGGAAATTCACTGAGTCAGCAGCCTTCACACCATCTACCCTTAAATATCCAACCCCAGCAATTTATACAACGCTGTCATATTTTTAAAAAAACAAAAGTAAGCCATCCTCAAATAAGGAACCCCTTGGTAGATATTAACCTTAAAAAGGGTTTTCATTCTCAAACAAGATGCTTTGTTCTCCAACAAGATGTTCATCTCATCACTTGCACTTTTGTTTTAATGTATGGATTCAGATTAGACTGAGAAAAATGGATGGTATTTTCTTAAAATTGTGCCACCTTAGAGCCCCCCCCCTTTTTTTTTTCTTCCTTCACTGGATAAATAAAATATGTGAACAAGTGGAACCTGAATTGCATTGTCATTCCTTCAGTGTGGTTATTTTCTCTCCAACATGTAATTTTCCATTCTGAGACTGAATAAGCTCTGATGTTTCCCCGGCTAAATGGAAGAATAAATGAAGCAATTAGTACTCTTTGTGCACAGTGTTTATTTTGCATAGTCCAGCATAAAACACAGGGCAAATCAGTATCCTTAGCAAGGATCATTGGCCAGATTTTGGAGAAATCGTTCCAGTTTCCTCAGGTTCTCTATCTTCCTGTGGAAATACCATTTTAATTGTATTCTTTAAAGACTTATGCAAGCCCCCAAGCATCTGTTCAAGGCAACATCGTTTGAAGCTTTCCATGCTTGCTTCTGTCTTGCATACCAATGAATCTCTGAGGACGAGACCTGACTTGTAAAAGCTTCCAGAATGAAAAATGATGGCTGGTGGGAACTTCTAGGTACAGACATAACAGCAACTATTTAAAAAGCACTCTATTCCTCAGATGAAGGCCTAAAATAAGCCGAGGCGGATAAAGTAGGAGCTGGGTTTGCAAACAATTCAGCATGCCCTGTCTTTCCTGTTCAGCCCAGGCTTCGTGGAAGTGGGTACTTGTAAAGACCCTCCCAGCCCACGAGGCAAGGATTGGGAGTTATTGTGGTAGAGCAGAGAAAGGTGGCTGGATTGGATTAGGAAATACAGTTTGATCTTTGGAAAGAATGCAGGCCGTATATAATCAGAGGCTGGGAAGCAGTGGACTATGCATTTTTTAAAGATATTTTCTGGCCTGGGTTGGGCAGACATCTCAATTGTATGGCAAACAAGGATGACCTTAGAGCTTTGATCCCAGCCTCATTGCTTGCACTAAACCAGTCCTTCCCTTCAGTATTGAAACTTCTAAAACAAAGGGAAACCGCATACCTATAGTGCTGAGATAGCAGCTGGAGAAACTTAGAAATGGTTTCTGGCCCAGAGGTCAGGTACACACAGGCACTTGGATAGAAACCTTAGATAATATGGGCCCACCCAGGCACACGTTTCCCCACCCCTTTGTCAACACTCATTGGCATTTTCTTAGGCACTTCCAGTGATCCCACACCTACTGTCCCACAGGTGAGCTGCTATATCTGATAATGGCTCTGTATGGCTAGAAAACCCATCCCCATGTCTTTCCAAACTCTGCGTTGCTAAACCTTCCACACGTTGGATAAGATTCCATAATTCAAAGTTACCTTGAAGTCTAATCCTCTTACATATGACCAATGAGCTCTTGCTTTCAATCTTATCACCTCCCTGTTTGTTTTCTTCAGAGAGATATTTCTATAAGTTCTTAATGTTCCCAACTTAGTTCATGCCACCTATTAAAAGGTGTCCCCAGAGGTTTTAGAAATTATGTATGTTAGAGATTCCCTAACTCCATTAATAGTGTTACTATGTGAACAGGACCTCAAGCCAGAATACAATAACAAAGGGCTGTGTAAGCAGCTCCTTTGTGGGCTCTCAAGGCCTCCTGGGATCTGTCCAGCTCCTTTCTGGTTTTATTATGGTTTTATTCTAGTCATATGCAACCAGTCTCCCCTCTCTAAATGTGCCTGCACTTTCATGCCCCTGTGCCTTCACTCACAATGCTTATTTTCCCAAGAATAACCACCTGCCTATTCTCTGGTTATGAACTCATCATTCAAGACCACATCAAGAAATAGCAGCAATAACAATAATAACTAACATGTATTGCATGGGAGGGATCATTGAAGCCTTTTATATGTATCAATTCATTTAATTTTCAAAAACCCTATGAGGTCAGGACTAATACCATATCCCCATTTTACAGGAAATGAAATAGGCAAAGAGAGCATAACTCATCCAAGGATAATCAGTAACTGACATATGCAAGATTTAAATTCAAGCAGCCTGACTCCAGAGGCTCTATGTTCCACCAATATGACAATATGTTCTTTTGCCTCTAGAAATGCCACCTTTTCTCTGCAGCTTCTCCTTTATATATATATATCTCACACACACACACACACACAGACACACACACACTCAGACTTAATGTCTCTTCCTCAATAAATTCAGCACTTCATAAAAACACATTCTATCCCACTTATCCCTCTTTATTATACTGATTGTTTACACATCTGTTCCTTCCATTAGAAGCTGACTATTAGCTGCTTGGGTACAGAGAGCATATCTTAATAAGTGGTGAACCCTCAGAATCAAATACATAAAAGCTATGTGTTACTATTATATGGTTATTTAAAACAATTATTGCATTTTTATTCAGAGCCAAGCAATGTGCTGGCACTATAAAGGGATGATGAACAGGGGCACTAATGTTTTTGCATATCGTGTGTGTGTGTGTGTGTGTGTGTGTGTGTGTGTGTAAGGAAAAAAAAAGTATTTTCTAGGGAGGACTAAGCTTAGAGTATGAATATGGGTTCCCCAAAGCAAAACTTCCTTCAACATAACATTTGAGTGGGAGAAACCCAGTCTGATGACTAGCTCACCATTTCTATATCTAAAAGCAAAATCTTCCAGCCAACGAGTCTTGCCCACTGACACAGAGCTATCAGTCATACTTCTCATTCCAGCAAGAGACCGATGGAACAGCTAAACCCACCTAGTCAAGAACAGAGTGAATTGTTTCCAGCAGTCCTGAATAAACAACCTTGTCTTTCATCTTTACATATGAAAGTACAACCTGAGTCATCAGACATCTGTGGAAAATGAGCACGTTGAAGGAGGTGGTATATACACAGGGAATAATAGACTCAGTGGGAAACATAAGGACTTCAGAAATCACAGAACTCTAAAAAGAATCTAATCAGTCTTCAAGAAGAAATTACACCCATAAGATAAAAATAGAATACAATGAAAAAGAACATCAAGTAGTTCAAAATAACAAACAACTAAAAGAATAAGTTGAAAGCATTTCCTGGAAAGTAAAATAATCCCTCATTTTAAAAATGAAAAACATGAGACAATTGGTAAAGACATACAAGTTCAATCAAGGGGAAAAAGATAACAGAAAACAATAATTGAGACGAAATTATCAGTAAAATAACAGAAAAAAAATTTCCAAAGATATAGGATACAAAAATCTTCAGACTGAAAATGCCTGCTGAAGACTGGGTGTGGTGACTCGCACCTGTAATCCCAGCATTTTGGGAGGCTGAGGTGGGCAGATTACTTGAGGTCAGGAGTTCGAGACTAGCCTGGACAACACGGTGAAACAGTCTCCACAAAAATACAAAAATTAACCAGGCATGTGGCGTGAGTCTGTAATCCCCAGCCGCTCGGGAGGCTGAGGCAGGAGAATCGCTTGGACCCAGGAATGGAGGTTGCAGTGAGCAGAGTTTGCCCCACTGCACTCCAGGCTGGTTGCCAGAGTGAGACTCTGTCAAAAACGAACGAACGAACGAGTGAACGCAAGAAAGAAAGAAAGAAAGAAAGAAAGAAAGAAAGAAAGAAAGAAAGAAAGAAAGAAAGAAAGAAAGAGAAAGAGAGAGACAAAGAAAGAAAGAGAAAGAAAGAAAGAAAAAGAAAGAAAGAAAAGAAAGGAAGGAAGGAAGAGAGAGAGAGAAAGAGAGAGAGAAAGAAAGGAAGGAAGGGAGAGAAAAGAAAGAGAAAAGAAAGGAAGGAAGGAAGGAAAGAGAGAGAGAGAAAGGAAGGAAGGAAGGAAAGAGCCTGCTGCATATTCAGCAATATGAATGGTTGAAAAGAAAATCAGGCATGTTTTTGTGAAATTTTTGGACACAAAAGATGAAAGGATCCAAGAAGTATCCCAGAGAACAGCAGCCCACCTACAAAATGATAAAAGTCAGACTGGGGAAAGAGCAGGTATGATCTCTGCAAAAGATAGTAAGCAAGGTAACTGATTCTACAGAAAATACATGTTCCTCTTATCGACAAGAAAAGAGCAAAGCAATAGAAACTCTGGGAAGAAAATTTTTTAATAAACTGCACAAAGAAATGATGGTTGTGACATGATAGGGAATAATTGATAGAGCATAAGAAAAGTGAAGCCACTGGGGACATGGATGAAGCTGGAAACCATCATTCTCAGCAAACTACCGCAAGGACAAAAAACCAAACACCGCATGTTCTCACTCATAGGCAGGAATTGAACAATGAGAACACATGGACACAAGAAGGGGAACATCACACACGAGACTGCTGTGGGGTGGGCGGAAGGGGGAGGGACAGCATTAGGAGATATACCTAATGCTAAATGACGAGTTAATGGGAGCAGCACACCAACATGGCACATGTATATATATGTAACAAACCTGCACGTTGTGCACATGTACCATAGAACTTAACCTATAATTATAAAAAAAAAAAAAAAAAAGAAAGTGAAGCCACTGGAAACTTGACCTTCCCACTAGACACACATTCTATTTCTGTAGAACAAAACCTGGGACTATTGAACCCACAGAGAAAAAAACAGAATCTTGTCACTTCAATAGTTTTGCAGTGATGATCATTACAAAGTCAAAATAATGCAAGCTTTTCTTACTTGTTTTCAACTTTCAGAATCAAACTATAGCCAAAAGTCTAAATTATGATTGTAAAATGAACTGTATGTGTGATAAATCTGATGATATGAAAATGAAGGTAGTGCTAGCAAAATTCAGAAAACAAAATAAAAAAAAATAAGAGGAGATAAAAGTAGGGACACTAATAGCCTCATCTGGTTTAGTGGAGTCAAGAGTACTGTCTTAGTCTATTTGGGCTGCAGTAACAAAATACTATAGATTGGGTGGCTTATGAAAAACAGACATTTGTTTCTCACAGTTCTAGAGGCTGGGAAGTCCAAGATACATCAAGAGCAGATTCAGTGTCTGGTGAGGGCTGCTCTCTGCCTCATCCATGGTGCTTTCTGGCTGTGTCCTCACTTGGTGGAAGGGGGCACATCTGGTTTCTTTAGCCTCCTATAAGGGCACAAATCTCATTCATAAGGGCTCCACCCTCATGCCCCAGTCACCTCCCAAAGGCCTCGCCTCCTAATACTATCACAGTAGGGGTTAGGTCTCAACATGTGAATTTTGTGGGTATACAAACAATCAATCTGTAGCAGTAGCTGGCTGAAGCTTATAGAAATAAATAACGACTTAAGTTTATAATTTACAACTGTAAAGATAACTCAATGAACTAATTAAAAATAAAACATAACAAACAATGGAAAGAGAAGAGAGAATAAAATGAGAGGTAGGGAAAGTAAATTTAACCGCCATCTTTAATTGTAAGAAATTAGGCTGGGTGAGGTGGCTCACGCCTATAATCCCAGCACTTTGGAAGGTCGAGGCAGGTTTATCACTTGAGCTCAAGAGTTTGAGGACAGCCTGGGCAACATGGAAAAATCCTGTCTCTACTTAAAGAAAAAAAAAATACAAAAATTAGCTGGATGTGGTGGTACATGCCTGTGGTTCCAGCTACTCAGGAGGCTGAGGCAGGAGGATCACTTGAGCCAGGTCGAGGCTGCAGTGAGCCGAGGTCACACCACTGCACTCCAGCCTGGGCAACAGAGCCAGACCCTGTCTCAAAAAAAGATAAATTATTATCTCCATTAATAAATCAAGAAATAGTAAATATAGTATTTGAAATTATGGAAGAAGCCACTAGAAGAATTTCAAACAGTAAATGTTAAAAGAGGTTGCCTCTGAGGGGCTGGGGGAAGCCAGGGATAAGGCAGGATGATTTTTACTCACGTAGTGAAGACTTAAGACCGTCCTAGTCACAGCCCCGGTCCCTGGAGTTCTCAAACAGACTTTAAACTAATTTCTATTGTTTAGATGCTACAAAAAAAAAAGGACACAAGCATTAACAGATCCTTAAAACAAAATGATTGATTCTAGTTTAAGGTTCTGGGAAAGCCTCAAAGGAAGTGATATTTGTGTCTTGAAATATGAGTAGAAGTTAACCAGAATAATCTTGCCTTCATGAGGGATTTGTTCTTTTTTGTGGGAGGTTGCACGTCAGAGGTAGTAGATGATGGGAAGAAAGAGAGAAGAGCTTTCCAGGGAGAGGCAACAGCATGTGCAAACACACAGATCCAAGACTGAGTGAGGCACGTTGAAAAATTGTAAGAAGCCTGTCCTAGCTGAAGCAGCCCATGAGCCCTGGGGTGAGTGTCTAGAGATGGCAAGGCCAACAAGCCCTGTCACCAAGCCGCACACCTCCAGGAGGCACCATTTACAGTGACTACAATGTAAACAACACCTCCTAGAGCTGTGTAGCAGGACTATACTGGGGGAGCAGTCTGTGTAGTTGCAGAGGGTTAGGTTTGCTACAGAAGGCCAAGATCAGACCAGAGGTGATGGGAGACTTGAGGATCGAAGACAAGAGCTGAGA
Source organism: Homo sapiens (assembly GCF_000001405.40). Taxonomy (NCBI): domain Eukaryota; kingdom Metazoa; phylum Chordata; class Mammalia; order Primates; family Hominidae; genus Homo; species Homo sapiens. The sequence continues at coordinate 24,153,741 of NC_000006.12, forward strand.
GCAGCCAGCATGGGGAGAGCAGCAGAGACTGAATCAGAAATGAATGCAAAGGGGGCAGAGGAGGGTCCTTGTTCTGTGCCCCAACCCTTAAGGTGTGTTAGCTTTCTCTCCAAGTCCCTGTCTCTACAACATCACCAACTTCAGAATCAGAGGAATCGTTTCCTTTGCCTTCTGAGAAATGGAAAATGTCAACAAGAAATGTTGGGCTTTTGTCATAATGGGACCTCTAACAAATGTTACCCTGTATCTTGCCCCTACACCAATTTTCTATCTGCTCTAGGAAAAAAGGTGAGGTGGGAGAGCCTACCGTCTGTATGTTGCTAGTCAGCCTCTTAAGAGTACTGAATGATGAAACAGAACTCAGAAATGGAACAATGCGGAGAAAATAATTGAAATAGCTAAGATGTGTTGAGAGCTTCCTCTTTGCCAAGTAATGTGACAAATATCATTATGCATTTTTGCATTTAATATAATTTATCCTTGAAAGGATTCTAAGGATGACTACAGTTACTTTCTCCATTTTACAGATAAGGAAATCTGGGCTCAGAGAGATGAAGTGAGTCACCCAAGGTGGTCATGCAGCCAGAAAGTGATTCAACTAGTGTTTAAACCCAGGTAGTCTGACTCAAAGCATTCCCTCCCTGTGAACAGATTCTGTCAGAAAGATTGAGAAAGTAGCTGCAACTCATCTCTGTTTAATATGTCCCAGATTTAACATATCTTTTAGCATAGGGCTCTGCATTTTTACATAGGATGCAAAAAAAATGGGCAAGAAATAATATATATATTATATATATATATTTATTTTACATTTATTATATATGCAATAAAACCACTACATGGGAATTCAGTCTAAACCATTGCAGGCAATAAAAGTAAGATTCCACCGAACTGGAGTGCTGAGCTAATGAAAGATTGGTCCAGAATGCTATTTTTGTCTTCCCAGAAATTTTATAAGAACAAATCTGTAATCCGCAAGCTCCTTGAAGGTTGGTACCATGACTTACTCATATTTCTCCCCAACACCTAGCACAGCATCTAATTCACAGGAGAAGCTCAATGAATGTTTGCTGAATTGAGGTGTTTGAGTTGAAGAAACTGCAATAATTGTTCTTAGTAAACAGACCTCCTTGTGACCTGCACCAATTCATATGATACTGGTAAGAATCATATATTCTCATGCAGCGTGTGAGTGTCTTACATGCTTTGACCTGTCTTAAAATGCATTCACTGGTATTCCTGGAAAGTGTAAGGTGTTAATCTCCCACAAGAGATGTGTGCATTTTTATTTATTTATTTATTTATTTATTGAGACAGAGTCTTGCTCTATTGCCCAGGCTGGAATGCAGTGCCATGATCTTGGCTCACTGCAACCTCCGCCTCCTGGGCTCAAGCAATTCTCCTGTCTCAGCCTCCTGAATAACTGGGACTACAGGCATCCGCCACCAAGCCCAGCTAATTTTTGTATTTTTAGTAGAGACAGAGTTTCACCATATTGGTAAGGCTGGTCTCAAACTCCTGATCTCAGGTGATCCTACCACCTTGGCCTCCCAAAGTGCTGGGATTATAGGCGTGAGCCACCGTGCCCGGCCGATGTGTGCATTTTTAACTATGTGAGTACAGCTCAACTCTGATTGAGGGAGGCAGGATAGCCCAGTGGTTAAGCATGCAAGCTCCGGAGTCAGACTATGCATTCAAGTTTTGGCTCTATCATTTTGCAGACTTGCAAAGGTAGAGCATTGGCCAAATCACGACAACTCTCTGGGCCTCAGTTTCCTCATCTATCAAGAATGATTAAAAATTTGTACCTACTGGGGTTGCTGTTGAGGATTAAATGAGTTAACACAGCTAAAGCAATCAGAGCAGTGACTTACACAGAGCTAGCACTTAATAAATGCTAATTGTTACTATCTGGGGCAAGGCCCATTTAAAACATACCTGTTTAAGGCTCCAATAGAGGCATAAGTCTCCCAGTTTGCCTGTGAACACATTTGCTTTCACCTCTACAGTCACCCCTACTGTCAGATCTGAAGTGATTTTGAACTCACCAGACAGGGCACTGACCTTTTCAACATCAAGTTTAATTAAGCCTAGTGAATAGCTAAAGTGTGATGTTTCATGTCTTTCCATGTAGTTCAGTGAGAAAAATTTATTAACTCATTAAAATGTCGTGCTAGTTATTTTCAGCCTTTCAGAATGACTGTGACTTCCAGCCAGCTATTTATCCCAGAAAAGACCCAGAATAGAATCTGACTTTATGAACTTCCTAGACCTGAATCTATGTTACCAGATCGTGTTGTTCCAACATTAGGGATCAAAAGCTTCAACGAATATGGTGGCTGATTTAGACTCACCTGCCTCGGGTGACATTCAAAAGGCTGCTGATGTGTCACGGTGAGGCTGCGCCAGGCTGGCACCAGAGCCTGCTTCTTCCTTCCATGGAGTGGAGCTGGCTGAAGAGGTTGGGCAATCCGGGTCCAAGGAGCTGAGTCTCTGCCGTGTATTGACTGTCTTGTTTCCTGCTTGACTTCCTTGTTTCCTGTCCCCACCTGCCTCACCCTAACTCTTCATTCAAGTTGCAAATGTATATTCTCCTCTGAGGAGGCTTGCTTTTGAGGAAGACAGTAGAAATTCCCCAAATTCCCTTTTCAGACCCATCCTGCAAAATATGCCTACCCTAGAGTGTAATAATCCGCACTTTTATTTTTGCTTACTCTTTCTAGTATTTTCTGGTTAAATTAGAAGCAGTAGAACATAGTGGCTAATAACATGAGCTGAGAAAGGGTGAATCTAGACTTTTCAATTTACTAGTTGTGTAACTTTAAACCAATTATTTACTCCATGCCTTACACACTTCATCAATAAAATGGAAGTAATGGTGTCTTCCTCACAGGGCTCTAGTGAATTTTTTTCTTAATCCATGTGAGGGCTTTAGAAGTATATCTATCAAGTAAAGAATCACATTCATACTGATATTTTTGTTCTTGCAACTATTTATTGTTCTTGCAGCTAGTTGTTGTCCTCGCCGTTTTTGTTACAATCCTCCTAGTGGGCAGGGACTCAGTCACTCACTCCTAGTGCCAAGCAGACATTCGTACTTAATAATGTTCTTTTGATAATGGCTAATAACGGGAATAAGAATGAGGGAAGAAGATGCCAAATAAGATCTAGGTTTTTAATAAATTAAGGGAGGCAAAAATGATTTCCCTAGCAGCCAAATTTCTAAATGCATTTTCACCATCATCTCCAGCTTCCTATTCGTTAATACAATTTCCTGCTTTCAAATATTGAGCACCAAACAGGAAATTAGTTTGAGGATGATGGTCTCCAGCCAAAGAAAGGAAAGCAATTTCCATGGCAAGTAACCAGACACTTTTTCTAGGATATCCTCGGAAACTGGATGTAACCACCATGGACCTCAAAGTAATCTCAGTGGACCTTAAAGTTTCACTCCTAGAAATGAAGGGCAAAATTGCACTTCCTCATCTGAATAACCCAAATGATCATCCAAATTTTATCTTCTACCCAGAGACTGCCTGTCAGAAATGCAAATGCAGAAGGACGTGACACTGCAGCTGGTGGAAAATGGGTGGCTTTCCGGTGGTGACCCCCTCTTTGTGTCAGGGTCACTTGTGCTCAGGAACAGCAAAGCCAGGATATGGAGCCTGCATTAGACCTGGTTTACTCTCTGGCAGCTGGAGGCATGATGCTCTACATGGCAGAGGGCCCAATAAACCTTTTATTGATGATGAAGACAATGTATAGATCCTCACACTAACATGATGCCCGAACAGGTATCTGGTTGCCCACTAGTATTTTACCAGAAGCCTAACACCTTGAGCACTTTATGGATGATGACAATCACAGATAGAAACTTTCCAATGTACCATTCACATCATCTGTGGCTATTCTATGTGGGCTGCATGGGATGGAATCAGCCATAGTTAAGACTCTAAGGTAGCCATGAAGACAAATTCCCCCAAATTTTACATGTAAACAGTTTTTATGTTCAGTGCTGTGAAGCTTACCAAAGCTAATGTCAAGATGATTACAGAGCACATAGAATGGGCTTGCTCCATCTTACTCTCATACACACACATACGCCATCATCAATGCCAATACCATTTCCCCTCTCTTTCTAAGGGACATCCTAAAAATTAATCAGCAGCTTTAGTTAAAAAAAAAAAAGTTATGAACCTAGAAGGTCAAGGTAATATAAGTACAGCAAGACTGAAAAGAGAGCTCTGAGCAGTATTTTTGTTAATAATGAAAAAGAACAAAGAAAGAAACTGTTCTGGCTCAAAAGTGGGTAGTAGAGAAGCAGAAAGAAGCCAGGGAAGGTTGCCAGGAGTTTCAAAAGAAGATGCCAAAAAACCAAGTAAGAAAAAAACAAGCTAATAATTATAATATCTCACAGCTGCTGAATGCTTACTTTGTGCTGAGTGCTGTACATACATTCGGCCTTAAATCCTCACAGGTGGACAAAGTAGCATATTATTATTATTTCTCTTTTACATAAGGAAGAAAACTGCAGCTCAGAGAGGTTGGAAAAGTTGCCTAAGTCACACAATAAGTGTCGAAGCCAAAACTAAAACCAAGTATCCCTGATGCTGCCTGTGTACTTAAGCACTAGAGACAAGGGAAGGGACCCGAGATTGAAGAGGAAGAGAGCCAAGGAGGTAGCAGGAGCTGGCAAGGCCAGAGTGGTCTGCGAACAAGGGATTCTGACTCAGGGAACCTCATAAAAAGTCAAGCTCGGACGGGCATGGTGGCTCATGCCTGTAATCTCAGCACTTTGGGAGGCCAAGGCGGGTGGATCACGAGGTCAGGAGTTTGAGACCAGCCTGGCCAACATGATGAAACCCCGTCTCTATTAAAAATACAAAAATTAGCCAGGCATGGTGGTGGGCACCTGTAATCCCAGCTACATGGGAGGCTGAGGCAGCAGAATTGCTTGAACCTGGGAGGTGGAGGTTGCAGCGAGCCGAGATTGTACCACTACGCTCCAATCTGAGCGGCAGAGTGAGACTCCGTCCCAAAAAAAAAAAAAAAAAAAAAAAAGTCAACCTCACCCTTGTCTGCTCATGGCATGTATACTACTTGAGTGTTCTTAGAAAGGAGCTGCCTAATGCTTAACCAGAGATGGCATGTCCAAATCCTACCCACACGCCTAGTCTCAGTTCAAATGCTACTTCTTCCACAACATCTTTGCTGATTTCTCAAATGGAAATGGAAATGATCCCTCTCCTTCCACTGAACATCTTTATTTCTTTAATGCCCTTTAGCACTTTAAGATAGTTATTTAAATCCATGTCACCCATTTCAACAAATATTGGTCATGCACCATTAGATAGGAAAATGCTGAACTTGTTAATATCCAATGGATATGAAATTCTAGTGATAGATGGCTCACTCTCCTCTAAAGATGTGAGCTCCTCCTTCATTAAGATTTGGGGGCTGGGTGCAGCAGCTCACACCTGTAATCCCAACAGTTTGAGAGGCCGAAGCAGACAGATCACACAAGGCCAGGAGTTCAAGACTGGCCTGGCCAATATGGAGAAGCTCCGTCTCTATTAAAAATACAAAAATTAACTGGGTTTGGTGATGCACATCTATAATCTCAGCTACTCAGGAGGCTGAGGCAGGAGAATCACTTGAATCTGGGAGGTGGAGGTTGCAGTGAGCCGAGATCATGCCACTATAGTCCAGCCTGGTGACAGAGTGAGACTCTGTCTCAAAAAAAAAAAAAAAAAAGTAGACTTGGGAAGGTGTCTGCCAAGCTCAGGTCTGCATTTTTCAGTCTTTCTTTCATCTAGCTGGAGCCATGTGGCTGAGGTCTGGCCAACCATATGTGGGCAGAAATAATTATACACCTCACCCAAGCCTGGCATTTAGGAAGCTCCCCTGTGATTCTGGTCTCCCTCTTTTGCCATCTTCCGGCTGGATGTCAACAGGCTGGGCAACCTGGGAGCCATGAGTAAAGTGCCATTGCCCCTGTCAGCCTGGTTCCCTAAATAATTGTGTGGCAATACAGTTCCCCATCCCTTGCCTCACACTTTATGTGAACATTTTATATTTATATACATTTATATTTTGTTAAACCACTGAAATGTTATAGTTATCTGTTAAAATAAACAAGAGGCATAAGATTCAGCCACTACTGTGGTAAATTCAGGAGGTATCAGGTCTGCACAGAAACCCTGAGGCCTAGGGCTTTGATAGTTAACACACACAGCAGGGATGGACCTCCAGCCTTATTCCCATGCAAGGCAGAGAGTTGGCAAAAAAAAGACATGACTGTACACTGGAGATGGACCTTATAAGAATGTACACGTGGCTAGGCACGGTGGCTCACACCTGTAATTCCAGCACTTGGGAGGCCAAGGGGGGGTGGATCACTTGAGGCCAGGAGTTCGAGACCAGCCTGGCCAGCATGGTGAATCCCCAACTCTACTAAAAATACAAAAATTAAATTGACATGGTGGCACAAACCTGTAATCCCAGATACTCAGGAGGCTGAGGCAGGAGAATCGCTTGAACCCGGGAGGCAAAGGTTGCAGTGAGCCAAGATCATGCCACTGCACTCCAGCCTGGGCAACAGAGTAAGACTCTGTCTCAAAAAAAAAAAAAAAAAAAATACATGCCTGATTGAAACCCTGGCAGTATGGAAAATACAGGAAAGTTCTCAATGTTAACAATTATTTTTAAAATTATATGAAAACTACTGGAATGACATTCTATAAATATGGAAAACCTGATGCCAATTTTTGTAGAATACTTGAGAAAATTCAAAACATGAACAAAATGTAATATGACTCATAAATGTACTGTGTTTATCAATGGCTCATTATTAAAGAGGGTCTCTGGACTATGGATTTTCACTGCTTTTGCAAGAGAACACTGAGGTGGGAATTCTGTACATGAGCAATAGTACAGGAGTTTAACAGGTAGTGTTGTTGTGTTGAATCATTGTGTGAATTTAAATGTACTTCTTTGAGACGAAGTTTTGGTCTTGTTGCCTAGGCTGGAGTGCAATGGCGTGATCTCAGCTCACTGAAACCTCCACCTCCCAAGTTCAAGTGATTATCCTGCCTCAGCCTCCCGAGTAGCTGGGATTACAGGCGCCCACCAGCACGCCCGGCTAATTTTTTGTATTTTTAGTAGAGATGCAGTTTCACCATGTTCGTCAGGCTGTTCTCGAACTCCTGACCTCAGGTGATCCACCCATCTCGGCCTCCCAAAGTGCTGAGATTTCAAACATGAGCCACTGCGCCTGGCCTTAACTGTACTTCTTATATATAGGTAGGTTCAATTTTTATATAGTTAATTGTTCTGTGATTAATAGGCCATTGAAAAAATGAGTCTTTGTTAATTGTTGGGATTTTTTTTACTCACCTTTGTGACAGGTTCTGGATATCCTTACCCATTTTATATATTCCATCTGTTATTATAACAAAAACTTCTCAATTTGGGTGTATAAAACTTTCTTTGCTAATAAAGAGTTGGTGTTGGCCGGGCGCGGTGGCTCACGCCTATAATCCCAGCACTTTGGGAGGCCGAGGTGGGTGGATCACCTGAGGTAAGGAGTTCAAGACCAACCTGGCCAACACGGTGAAACCCCGTCTCTACTAAAAATAAAAATAAATTAAAAATTTTAAAAACTAGCTGGGAGTGGTGGTGAGCGCCTGTAATTCCAGCTACTCAGGAGGCTGAGGCAGAAGAATTACTTGAACTCAGGAGACAGAGGTTGCAGTGAGCCGACATGATGCCACTGCAATCCAGCCTCAGCAACAGAGTGAGACTCCGTCTCAAAATAAAAAATAAAAAAAAAAAGAGTTGGTGTCAATTTTTAAGTACGTAAAGTTTCTCATGAAGTATAGTTTCATGTGAATTATTACTTTCATACGTTGCCCTTTACTCTTTGTCATTATTTCTGGCTGTTATTTGATATTTTACTTTGAATTAAGGACAGAGAACTGTGATAGGAGAATATGTTGTGTCTAACCTGAGGAAGAAAGCATACACTCTCACCATCAAATGTAATACTAGTTGTGGGTTTTTAATAAATACCTTAACACAGGTTTTTTAAAGTGAGAAAAAAAGAATATAAGACCCCTCCCTAACATAGGTTCCCTCATGCAAGTCAGTTTATGAATGGGGAATTAGAAACAGCCTACTCTCCTAGGCTCCTAGAAACAGCATGGAAACAAGACTTCTTGCTATCCACCCTAGCATCTTGCTAGTTACAAAAAAAAAAAATCAATATAAAGTCAAATCCAATTCTATAACATGCAGGTCTCAAACATATACTACCCAAGTAGTTTGGGACTCCAAAATCAAAAGAATAGACATAGTATTGGTCTAAGAACCATGAAAGCTCTAGGACATTGGCAAAACGAAATGTGAAACCTCCCCAGAAAGACTTCTACAACCCAGAGTATAAACGTGTCATGCAAGCAAAGAATCCAAAGATAAGCTCACAATGAAAAATGTGCAGGCCATACAAGGAAAGGAATCCTGATGAGAGAAGCTCAGCAGACACAACAGATGGGAAAATAGGCACTCAAGGGAACAAATATAATTTGCAAAATTGTGGGTATCTATAACTGAATATTTACATATGTTCAAAATTATTAAAATCATAAAAGAAGGCATAGAAAATGTAATGAAAGAACAAGATCTCTGAACAGACAAAAAAGAAAAAGAAAACCAAATTTGAGAAAACCAAATAGAGCTTCTAAAAATGAAAACCATAATCATTAATCTTAAAAACAAAATGAAAGAAAAAAACAGCAGATTGGATGCAGCTAAAGAAAGATTTAAGGAACTGAAGAAAGATCTGAAATTACCCATAACCCAGAATAAAGATATAAATGAATAAAAATATAAAAGAAAGACTGAGACTTGGAAAATGAATTAAATATCCTGTATGTATCTAAAAAGAGAGGAAGGGGAGAAAAATTGAAATAAGATTGAGGTAATACTTGAAATGATAGTATCTGAGAATTTTCCAGAATTAGGAGAGAGAAAATATGAAAAATAGAAATAGCAAAATAGAATGAAGTCAAAATATATGTAAATTGAATTAACTTCCTATATAAAAGACAATGATTCATAGATTAATTTTTTTAAATCCAGTTATTTGCCATTTACAAGAGATACTCTTATAATGGTACAGAAAGGTTGAAAGAGAATGAAAAACGTTATGGCTATTCTCACACTAACTGAAAAGCGCTGTCACAGTAGTAATGATATCCAAAGAAAAAACATAGCCCTTTAGCAAGATCACAAAATTTGTCTAGCCCATTGAAATGCAAACTGCTTCTGATTCTCCTTCCTAACACGAACTGAGAAGAACGCCTATGCCAGATCAATAGCCACATAAAACGAACAGAGGCTGTGTTCCTCTTTTCTAATAAAGATACTGCATCTGACACAAGCTTTTGTAATTGAGGCTACTACTTTGTTAAGTGATGGTAGTACATTATCATCACCATGGTCCATTCAGTTCTTGCTGCAGCCGGACTAGTAAATTAAAAGGGATGTAACAGGGACTACTACCTTTGCATCCTTTAAATATTTGAGGATAGCACTAATACCTCCCATTCCCTCAATATGTAATATTTTATTTTACTGGCCTGGGAGGGGGCATTTCAGGGGCTTCTACTCAGCCTTTTCTGCTGTAATACCTCTTATTCTATGATTCATAGGTCCTTCCAGTAGAAGACAGCTTAAAATTATAAAACAGAATAAAACCTATAGTTCATAGGGACTAATGTGTGAAAAGTCTGTCAACAGCTAAAAATGGTGATTCTGATTATACATTTGGGACTGAAGGTCCCAATGTCACAGACCACTTGTTGGGTCTGTGAATGCAGAGGACCCACTGTGCTATGGCCTTTGGTAAGGACTCTATTTATTACCTCTCATATGTCCTACTGTAATAGAGGAGACCAGGTGTTATTTTGGGTCTTCAATAATCAGTGTCACCTTGGAATCCAACAGTGCTCAAAAAAGCTGTGCATTTCCCTTATGTCAGTGTATAGATTATCCAAGGAATTGGCTTGTAGGTCACTTTGGGGAAGGACACGGGGAATTACTAAACTGCTCATGCCAGGGTGTTTCTGAGTCCTCCTCATGAGGACCCAGCTTCTTCAGCTGATGGGTGCTGACTAAAAAATAGCTCACGATGAAACCCAGCCAAAGGATTTTCACTGTTTATTGGAACAGCTGACCTCAGCCTTCTGCTCAACCATTCTTTACTCCACTTGATAATATATATTAAGCACACCCATAATAGCTGCCCATACATCTTGACTTTAGAAACAACATATCCTGTTGACCATCTTTACAGATCCTGCAAGTCAAGGCCTTCTGGCTGTCATTCCAATATTGCTGCCCATAATAATTCCCACCTTGTTTCTGATGGTTAAGTGCTATTCTGGGACCCCCGTTATCTTTATTGCTGCTAGAGAACCCAGTTTTCCAATGACATCTCCTACTTTCCACCCTTGCCTACAAAAGTATAGCCACCACTGAGCTTCTCTAAAATGCTGGTGTTCACCAGCACACTGATCACCTTGACAAATGTTGTGCCTGCAAGCTCTCCTAACATTCTCTGTTTTATATAGAAGACTCATTCTGGCATGCTCATATCAATGTGCCTTTTGATCCCCTCCTCCATAGTCTGCCATCACAGTCTGGAATCTCTACTTCATGTAATTGGAACCTGTGCTTTTTGCAATCCTCCAAGAGTCATGCCAGCAGCACACGAGATGTCTTTCAGGACCCTTGCTGGGGGTGTTAAATCTTGTGTCACCAGGGCATGGCTCCAAATTTACAAACTCTTCCTCATCCAGTTATATATTCTTCCTCTAATTGATCCAACTGCCTAAGAATTAACTCTAGGCATGCCACCCTGCTTCTTGCAGGAGAGTAAGCATTGTCTAGTAAGTGGGCTCTGCTCCCATTTGAGGCCCCTGCATAGACTTCAGGTAACGAGGGGCCTCTACCTTCCAACAAAGGAGAACGGGTCATTTCCACACATGCAAAGGTTCAGAGGAAACTGGAGGAGGTTCAAAGTTCTCAAGTGCATGTACCCTGATTGTCCCACACCAAGTCCTGAGGTTCTAATCCTTCCCCATTAAGGACTTGACATTGGGGAAACTTGCCTAGGCTGAGAATTCAGTATCTCTTATTAAGTCCTAGTTCTGATCTTCAGCTCTATCTGCTTTTGAATGTGGGAGAAAGGTATTCTTTTAAGTGTTACCAGTGAAGTCCTCTGAATTTCACACTTGGCTTTGAATTGTTGATTAATAGATTTCAGTCTGTCATTTCTTTTTCAATCCTTAAAGTGTGCTTAGTGAAAGCAACCTAATTCCATAATATGCCTTAGAGTTACTATTTCTCCACCTACCTCCTGTGAAAGAAAAATAAAATCTCAGGACCCCAAACTCACTATGCCAAAGGGAAAGTTAAGCTTGGGAACTGAGTCACACCAAAAAAAAAACAAACAACAACAACAAAAAACTGCTTTCCTTTTGTTCCCAGATAGCTGTAATTTCACATGCTTACTTTATGTAAAATATAGATTTACTGAGTGTGAGACAAATGCCTAATTGACTTTTTCCCCTACTCTCTTTTTCATCGCAAGTAAAATGTAGATTCACTGAGTGCTACTCAAAGGCTCACAAGACTATAATCACTTGCCTTATGCTTACCCTCCCTCCCTTTTTTCTTCCCCTCCTGCTTGCTCTTTCCTCTTAAATACCGAAATTTGCAAAATCCTTTATGGAAAAAACACCAGTCACAGTAACTTTTGTTTCTATTCCCAGGCATGTCCCCAACCTTAGCAAAATAAACCTCTAAGCGACTGAGATCTGTCTCAGTCCCTTTTTGGAATACACTCCAAACTCCACAGGCATTGCACTAGCTAGTGCATCCCTTTCAACCTATATACTGTCCCAGTTTGCCACAGATGAAAATCTTCGCAATCACACTGCTACAACCTGCCAGAGACTATCAAAACTCGATTTACCTCCAGTGATGAGATATCCATTGCTGTCAGGCCAGCAAGTTATCCATTCCCAGAATTCCATCCTGAAAATCTATTTCCAAAGCCTAAGCTATTCTGATACCCTTTCTTAGGTTGGGCCCCCTAGATGCAGAACCTGAGATGGGGATTCTTCTATGATTTATTGAAGGATGGTTCATAAGAGGAGTGGGAGAAGCAGGACAGGGTCGAGGGGAAAGTAAAGCAAGATGTGGCCCAAGATGCAGACTGAAAGTATTGCAAGATGTAGTTGAAAAGTACCAGCAGCCTGATCCCACCTTGAGGCAAAGGGATGCAGAGTGTGCAACTCTGATGCACACACTGCATCAGAGTTAGTCCCACCTTGAGGCAAAAGGATGACATCTTTCCTTCCTTTTAGGTCTGTTGTTGACTGCAAGCTATTAATGCAAGAAGGGAACCTCCTGGCCAAGGCAGCTTCTGTTTGACTGCGGGCAATTCTCTGAAGCAAGTAAACAGTCACTCGAGGGTGATGAAAAAGCATCCCTAGGTGTGGTTGTGGCATCTTGGTCACCTATGTGCCACCTGCCAGTGCAAGGATTTGTCATAGTTATAGTGACCGTGCTAAAGTTAAAGAACACCCATAGCATTTGACGGGTGGACACACCAGCCAAGTGAAATGGGATCTGGGTAGAGCACTCACTGCACGCATTTACCTGTGAGTCTACGAACAAACAGAAAATTACAAAACCTATTTAAAGCCAAATGACCATAAAAGAATAATTTACATCAAAATCTGAGGTTATAGCTAATATGATACACACTAGCAAATTTATAGCCTCAAAAGCATGTTAGAAATGAATAAAGCCAAAATGTAATTAGAAAGGCATTCAACTTAAGGAATTATAGAAAACACACAGAAAGCAGAAGAAAGGAAATATTTGTGATAAGAGCAATAAGGAAATAGAAAAAAATAAACAGTACAGAGGATCAAAAATGTATTGCTTTAAAAAACATTAATAAAAACAAATATCTGGCAATATTGAAGAAATAGAAAAGCAGATGTAAACAATATTGGAAATGGAAAAAGAGAACATTATTACATTTAGGCAAAAGTTTTTAAAAGTTCTAAAAATACTATAAATAACTTTTGGCAAATAAATTTGAAAATATGAAAGAAATTAACAATTTTTTAAAGAAATATAGATTGCCAATTCAATAAACAGAAAACCTGAATAGACAGGTAACCAGAAAAGAAATTCAATTTTAAAAAAGAAAAACCACTTTAATCATACACACACACACACACAATACCAAGCTGAGGCAGTTTTATAAGTAATGAAACACTCAAGAAAGAGATGACTCAAACCTACGAATGTTTTAGTGAGTAGGAAAGAATGGAAAGCCCTCTTCCTTATTTTATGAAGCTAACTCAACCTTACTACTATAACCAGAAAAGAGGATGTATGAAAACAATCAAAATAGATCAATTCTATTTACAAACAGGTATAAAAATTCTAAATATTAGCAAATCAAATCCAGAAACATGTAAAAATTATATATATAACCAATTATTGTCTTAAGAATGTGAGAACAGTTTAACATTAGAGAAAAAAGTAATGTAATTTACAACATTTAAAAAACTAAAGGAGAAACATAAGAATCCTAATGGATACAGAGTTTTATAAAATTCATAGTTCATAAACTCCTTCAGAGTTTTCAAATAAAATAACTCTTAGAAAACTAGGAGCAAATTGATATAAGGCATCTACCAGAAACATAAGCAAACATCACACTTAATATTAAATACTAGAAGCATTCCCTTAATGTTAGGACAAAAATATCTGCCATTGCTGCTTCCATCCAATATGTGCTAGTGGTTATAGCTTGTTCAATAGGAAAAAAAGTAGCTATTTTAAGGATTGAAACAGGAAAAAACAAATGTTACTTTTGCAGATAATATTACAGTCTTCATTAAAGTCCTACAGAAACTACAAACCACTTCTAAGAAGTTCAGGGCCGGGCATGGTGGCTCACGCCTGTAATCCCAGCACTTTGGGAGGCTGAGGCGGGCAGATCACAAGGTCAAGAGATCGAGACGATCCTGGCTAACATGGTGTAACCCCGTCTCTACTAAAAATACAAAAATTAGCCAGGCATGGTGGCAGGCGCCTGTAGTCCCAGCTACTCAGGAGGCTGAGGCAGGAGAATTGCTTGAACCTGGGAAGCGGAGGTGGCAGTGAGCCGAGATTGCACCACTGCACTCCACCCTGGTGACAAAGCAAGACTCCAGTACAAAAAAAAAAAAAAAAGTTCAGTAAGGTACCGAATACAAGATTCACTTATAGAAATCAACAACATGTTGAACAGAAATTTTCAAGAGACAAGAACATTTAAGTTGGAAGTAACTACGGGATATACAACTGAGTGCTGTATACATGGATCTGCAGCTCCCAGGGAGAAGCCCGACCGGGAGATGCAGATTTGGAAGTCGAAAGCACATAGGTAGCTGTTAAGATCATGACTGTGAATGAGATTGCTCAGGGAGATCTTAGGGATTGAAAGAATTAAGAGAAGCCACTAAATTAGCAGCCAGAAATTAAAAGAGAACTAGGACAATCCTAATAGTTATCTGTAGCCAAAAAGAATATAGTGTAACCAATGGGAGTTGCTTCATCTAGTTTTGAACTTAATGTATATTTGTCTTTGCATTTTTAAAATGATTCTGTTACTACTAAAGCAATGAATTTGTTAAATCAACCAAAAGTGAAATAAGTGTAGGATATCCTGTATCATTTCTCTTTTTAATGAAGGACTGAATTTGATTATGAGGGCATTTGAGAATCCTATACAAGGCTTTAATAGACTAGAGTCCCACTAGGGGGAGAAAAAACACTTGGAGACCTGCAGGAAAGCTGTTTATTTTCATAAATAAGTATTTTACAACAAAATGCATGCTAGCAATTTTGCAATACCTTGTAGAAATTACATTGTTGGTGGTAGAAAGTTTCTAATGTCAATTAACCACGTAGTCTAAAGAGATTTGACTCTGGCAATTTAGATGCCTCATTTGTTGTGGAGGCTTTTTTTTTTTTTTAACTCATATGGAATAACAAAGATAAACTGATCATGTGCACAAGAAATATATTAATGTACTCTTAGTCATGGGATTCAATCACACATTTGTTATTATATATCAATAAATCAAAATGCTTGTGCTTAACTGTTTTGGTTTCTCAAACATGCATAGAGAAAATAGCAAAACTATTTAATTAAAAATAGAATGAAAGCAGTGAATATCCACAAACTAAAGCAAGATGTTTTTGGAAAATTGTAAATTGATTCCTATAGACATATGTACACAAAATGCATGTAATATGTGTAATCTATTCTGTTTTAAAATATACCTTTATAATAAAAATTCTGCACCTATGTTTCATAAAAGAAATAATGGTGACTTTTGAATATACCTAAAATTTTTATCAAATAAATATCATGCATGTGAAACTGTAAAAAAATTTCTTTACATAATGAAGCTGAATATCCATGCCAAACAGAAACAGACGTATCTTTTAATGTGCTGAATTTCTACATGATTTTAAGTCAAAAATGTTTCTAGTGTTTGTGAAAAAAATGCCATAAAAAGGATTAATACATGAAATATTAGCAACACAACATCCTAAACAAGCAATAAACCATCTAAACACATTTTGATTATATAAAATGTAGGTCTCCTTGCTCAAAAGATAGAGTGAACTTCAGTCATTTTAGAGCGTGCAATGATACAGAAAAACCTAAATGCTCATAATTGATCAAAATACAAATAATTTTCCTTAAAGAGACATTCTTTTTTTTTTTTTTTTTGAGACGGAGTCTCGCTCTGTCGCCCAGGCTGGAGTGCAGTGGCGCGATCTCGGCTCACAGCAAGCTCCGCCTCCTGGCTTCACGCCATTCTCCTGCCTCAGCCTCTTGAGTAGCTGGGACTACAGGCACCCGCCACCACGCCTGGCTAATTTTTTTGTATTTGTAGTAGAGACGGGGTTTCACCATGTTAGCCAGGATGGTCTCGATCTCCTGACCTCGTGATCCACCCGCCTCAGCCTCCCAACGTGCTGGGATTACAGGTGTGAACCACCGTGCTGGCCTTCAATCTAATCTTTACTTACATCAACAATCACCCATTATCATTGTACCCATTAAAGATTTAAGGCACAAGAAAAAACACTGAAGCAAAAGACAAAACAGGCTTTCTCGAAAATTCTCCTAAGAATGACTACAATCATTCCCTCTTTCCATATGTCATTGCATTCGTGACAATAAATGAAACAAACTATATCGTTCAAGCTGATGAAACTACAGAGAATTCATCTGGTCCCATTCTTAGAGTAAAGCTGAAGTCGTTGTTGGCGTTAAGTCAACAGAGCTCCACTGGTTACACCTCCTCATTTTATAAATGCCTTATGGTAATCCAGGCATTTTTAAAAACTGTCCTAACTCCCCATCTCCTACAGGATGTTATGCCTCTTCAAAAAACAGTATCTTTTTCCTTATCAACATAAGGGAACACTCTTGTATTCCCCATTCATGTCACTCAAACTTCATGGGAGGAAATATACAAATTTCATGTAGGGAGAACAAAAATCAGTCCCATCTAAATGTCCCGATATGTTTTAAAGAGGAAAAATCTTGTGGTATTTACAAAAATGATATTTAATGACAAAGAACTGTATGTGTTCATCATCTTAGAGTAACAGACTAACCTTTTAAAAATGGTTTCATTCCTGAAGAATGCCAAAATGCTTCCGCACTGAACCTGAACATTATATAAACTAATGGACCAATAAGTCAGTCTTTCATTCTATTTGTGATACCCCGGCTAACTGGTATGAAAAAGAGTCCTGACACATCTATGTAAATCACACATGCACACACATGGTCACAAACAGTAATAACAGAATCTGTATTGGTATAAAAGAATCTACACCTGAAATGTATCGTGCTTAAGGTTGATGGAAAAGAACCATGCTCTGTAGTTACTTCAGGAAAACAAGATATGTCTTGGTTTCTGTTTTGGTTTATGTGATATATCACATTTTAAAAACCGGATTTGTTTCAACACCTCCCTAGAATACATTTTTCATTGACATGCTGGTTTCTTATTTGGAGAAGAATTTTAAATCTCTTAAAGTCTTAGGAAATCAAGATTTAAAGCACCATAATATATATCATTTCTTAGCATTTCCTCTCACGTTTTAACTCATTGCTTCTCTCAACTTCACCCAAAAGAGCCTTGTTTTATTAATAACGCTGTGCCTCAGGAGGCCTTTTTAATGTTTTAAAGTGTGTGAGTGCATCTGTATAAGTATTTGATACATATCTATGTCTACATGCTATATTTCTCTTCAGATTGGCCACAGTTTCCATGTGATGCTTTCTGTTGATGAATTAATCTACTTTTTAAACTTTGCTTTTGCAAGGTTTGTTGAACAAAAAATGAAAGAAAGCTTCCTGTTGTCTTGCGGCCACTAATTTAAATGCACAGATTTTTTTCTAGGTGAATGAACTTTATCCTTTGTGTATAAGGTAGGTCATTCAATGACAATGTTTAGGATGTTAGTTTATGAGCTATAAATTGGAAGAGTTGGCAGGAATAATACCATATTAATATGGGTTCACAACTGTGAGCCTAGAGATATCTCACTCTGAACCACGTATGTATGGGATAGTTCTGTCTTCACACACCACATAGCAAGAATTCACACCTTTACAATAAAACAGGAGGCATGATAGCATCACACTTTTCCTATGAGTGTGGCAACCTAACATTCCCCCAAAAACATATAGGAAAAATGTCTTAAAAAAATAAAGTCATCCTAAGGTCATAGAGAAGAATAAGAAGTAAAAAGTTATTTTATGGTCATAGTATCGTATTTTATAAGTCAATGGGCACTCAATAGCTATTTTAACAGAAGTTAACCCAGGTAAAACACCCTTAGCCTCAAAATGACTTTTGTCAAAATCTTCTTTATTTGCTCTGTAAAACTCTTAATGCCCCAATTTTACTAACAAACCATTTGTTTACAAGTGTCTTAAAATCCAGATAAGTTTAACAAAGTGGTTTCATAAAACTATAAAAACTATGTATATAGCATCACAAAGAATTAACATATTAAAGCATTATATTGGTTATCACATAAAAGCATCATAAGTTTTTCGTAGCACTCTCTCTAGAAAACAGTACATGAAGCCAAACCAAGATCTTGTCTGTCCACTCACATAAAAGGTCCCAGGTCTGTCAATGAGTTTCATTTAATTTGGAGAGCCAGTCTGCCACGGAGACCACCATTCTCCACAGAGAAAACTGCCACATTTGTGAGGTGAATGAACTTTCAGCATTTATGTTAAAGTCATCTCTGAAGTGACATCCACAATTTTAATTCCAAGTGAATGGTTTTTTCCTTGGCTAGGCACCTTTTTTTAGTAACATGTTTGCAAAGTGTCTTAAAGTGATAAGTCGTTATTCATCCCCTCAAAGTAGGTCACAATTGTATCTTGTCAACAAGTGGTAAAATATGCACACACAAGGGATGAATATGTCCCCATTTTTAAGTTTTTTTGGTACAGTTATTGTGGCTTATTACCCCCTTGAAGTATATTTAAAATACCAAACGTTATTATTCATGTAAAATATCAATGTTGTGCTTCATTAAAATGACGCTTAAGGTGTTTCCTAAAACCTAAGTTTCATAATATAATGAATAAAAGGACAGGAAAAAAAGAAATATTTTTATTAGAGGAGGAAAAGAGAAAGAGAAACTCTCCATTGAAGAAACAAAAGAGAATCACCTTGATAATTAGTTATAATTTCTTACATTTAATCAGTTATTTTTAGAAACTATTTGAAATCATTAACTCCAGACCCAGTAATAGTGCACAAATTTAATATTAAAAGACCAACTGGGACCGGGTGCTGTGGCTCACACCTGTAATCCCAGCATTTTGGGATGCAAAGGCGGGCGGATCACCTGAGGTCAGGAGTTTGAGACCAGCCTGGCCAACATGGTGAAACATCTGTCTCTACAAAAAATACAAAAATTAGCCAGGTGTGGTGGCAGATGCCTGTAATCCCAGCTACTCGGGAGGCTCAGGTGCTTGAACCCAGGAGGCAGAGGTTGCAGTAAGCCAAGATCATGCCACTGCACCCAGCCTGGGCGACAAGAGCAAGACTTCATCTCAAAAAATAATAATAATAATAATAATAATAATAATAAAGATCAATTGGTCTATTTGCCTACCAACCCAAGATTGTTGCTTATAGCCCACAGTGCTTTATATCATCCCATTTGAAAAAGTAACGCTAGTAGAAAGCACAATTTAGATTTTACACCAGAAACATAGTACCCTGTTTCTAATTCATGCTCCCAGATCACTATATCCTTGTGTCATTATCTCTTCCAAATACTGTTACATTATCTCTCTGTTTACACTTCTGATCTGTGGAAAATACCAAAATCATATTAAGAAAAAACACATCTATTTTCTATAGTATTATTAAGTGCTTTATATAACTGCCAACTCTTTATTCCAAATGAAACCTGGAAGAGAAAAAATGTTTTAAACTTGTAATTGTGAATTTTAGAAAAGCACTAGAAGTTAAAATTTCAAGCTTACAACTTCCACATAATTAAAAATATATCCTTTAAGAAAAATATATTATTTCTATATTTATGGAAGAACATCTCTTAAGAATTCATAAAAAGGACGAAATTATGTTTTAATTATGTTTTTATGTTTTCCCCATACATACCTCACAAGGCAACTATAAATCAATTTAGTCAGTCCATGAAGTTGTGATTCAGGAATTGGTTTCATTATAATAACTTCTAAAGTTTTACAATTTCTATCAGATGCCTTCTAATTACAAAGAAATCTGCTTGAAATTCTAACTATATCATGCTAGGAAAAATAAATATTTGCTGATATCCCTAGGGCAAAAACATAGTAAAACAGTCTTAATAGAAATAAGGCAAAAAACAAGTTAAATTGAGCAGTCACAAACTCTTCATATAGTCTACTTTTTTCTTCCTAATACACTTTTATTTTTGTTGAAAACTATTTGAAAATAATTTAATCTTTGGAATAGCCAATATCAGGTTCTCTAATAACATAAGGGAGAAGAGAGAGATACTATTGGTAAAGATAGACTGGATCAGTGAAAATCCACAGGATTTCCATTATCTGCAAACCATACATCCAGGCTTTATAATATAACTGGGTGCTCCTTTACAATTCCTTCCTGAGTGTGCGCCATTGGAGCCACAAGCATGCAAGCCTGAAAGCATTTAAGTGACGGCATGGCGATACTAGTCACTAACACTCTGAACCAATGCTTCCTCCCACCAAAATGAACGCCTTGCTCTGTCTTTGTAGTTCAAAGGTGGATTTTGGCTAAGGAGGAAGAAAGAAAGGCATGTTAACAAGTCATGGACACATTTTGATCTACTGCCATCTCCAAATTATGTCTGAAAGTAAATCGCAATCTGTTCATTCAAGAGTTTATTGCTTTAAGAAAATAGTACATGCTTTCCTATTACCAGTTCTTTAAAATTCTACGCCTTCCTAGAGAAAAATTATTTAGAATAAACTGCCTTCTAAACTTATAATAAAGCGTACAATAAGAGTGATCCTATTTTTCATCCTTTACAAGTGGCAATTGTCTTCCAGTGCAAATTCTCCTCTGTCCGTCTTATTTAATATTTCTATATGACTTTTAAAACACATGCAATAAAAGTAAGTAATTATCCTTTAGTAGCCATTTAAAGTTATCTGGTCTTTCCACTAGGCTTCTAATGTTATAATTCGTAGGTAGTATTCGACCATAGTGTCACATTATATTCAGCAATAACTATGTGCTTATCTTTCAAGTATGATAACCCTTCATTTTTCTTGCGATCCATATACTCTCTTTTTAAAAATGTTCTAAGCCACGGCAGCATAGTCCTTGTTTTGTTGGTTGTTTTCATTTTCTTCTGGACTGGTAATTTTTACTTCTGGCCTTGGTGGTCTTTGAGGGTCTACATCAGCCTAGAAGAAAATAGATCAAAACAAAGGTATTCAGCTGTTTGGTTCACAAAGGTAATGACATTTATAAAGAAAAAATTACTCAAGATTCTATTTAATTATATAAATATTTAACTAAAAAGAGTTCCTGGGGTTCCCTTTGTTTTTTTGTCTATCATTACCCAGTGGACATACTGTTTTCTCAACACTTGTACAAAAGTCCTTTTGGGGTTCATAATCTACTAGTGCTTGAAAGGCCCTGACTCATTTTGTATGCTGCAGGCTTTATTTTTCTCATTTTTTCTTGATTTCTCTTTGAGCTTTTCTTCAATTTAGTTATACTTTTCAGTTTAGCATTTTCAGAGACAAAGGAAGAAAAAATTCAGGGACATTCTCCTAATTTTAGTTTCCTCCTAGAATTCACAAATTCGTTGTGAATATGGTACCAAGTACCATCAAGTAGCAAGTAGATAAGAAAAAGACAGAAAATCAAAATGTGGAGGCAGCATTTCTCCAACAACAACTATTGCTCCTGCCACTTGGGTTTTTCCTGTTAATAATGACATTGTCTCATGTACAACTCACCTTTCCCCGACTACACTGAAAACTGAGTGGGTGAGATTAGAACCAGCAGGTTTGCAAAGTCTGCTCTATGAAATCCTAGAGGCTCCACAGCCCCCACAAGGGCACCCAGTCTGGGGGACAGAGTAGCTCCAGGTTCCCCAAACCACACAGGCCATGACTGATGCTTTGAAGAAATTATATATATATATGACTGGTGCCGTGTCTTATTTCACACTGTTCCTTTGTGAAATGTCTCAAATGGTATCTTGAATATAGTACAAGTTCAATCTCAATAAATGTCAATTGTTTCTTGTAAATTCTCTGTATTTCCTGGTATTTTCCTACAATCATATCTCGCTTTGTACAAGAATTGTTACATGGAACAAAATGTTACACGGTGAACAGAATTTCTAGTCATTTTATTAGTAGACAGTCCTTCTGTAAAAGTTAACTATTCATTTTTAACTTACAATTCACATAAATTTGGTTTCTCATATATTTCGGTATGCTTAAAATATACCTATACTAATATGTTAGGGAGAACAAGATAAAATATATCATTGTTATAAGTAAGAGATGAGTCAAATAAGATTAAATCTCTTTGTGAGTAACTGCTCTGTTACTAATCCCTAATTAGGCCGGGCATGGTGGCACGTGGCTGTAATCTCATCACTTTGAGAGGTCAAGGCAAGAGGATCGCTTGAGTCCAGGAGTTAAAAACCAGCCTGTGCAACACAGGGAGGGAGACTTCCTCCATATTAAAAAATATGTATATATGGCCTGGCATGGTGGCACCTGTGGGCCCAGCTATCACAGGAGGATGAAGTGGGAGGATCACTTGAGCCCGGGAGGTCAAAGCTGCAGTGAGCTGTGATCACGCCACTGAACTCCAGCCTGGGTAGCAGAGTGAGACCTTGTCACAAAAAAAAAGTCCCTAATTAGATGTTGTCTCAAAAAAAAAAATCACAAACTAGGCACTTCCTTATTTGAATTCCCAAGAATTTAGATTCACTCTCATTACATACCACAGGTCAATGCCAAATTACATAACCTTGATCTTGACGGATGCCCAATTCCTATCAAAAGCCTATTTTTCCCCTTTAAAAAAATATTCATTTGTCATAATTGGCAAATAAAAATTGTATGTTTATAGCATACAAAATGATGTTTTGAAATATGTATCCATTGTGAAATGGCTTGAGTTAATTAACATACACCTTACCTCACATACTTATCTTTTGTGGTGAGAACCCTTCAAATCTGCTCTGTTAGTGATTTTCAAGTATACAATACATTGTTATTATACGTTAGACACCTTACTGTACAATAGATCTCTTGAACTTATTCCTCCTTTCTCGCAGAAATTTTGTATCATTTGACCAACATCTCTCCAACCCTGTACTCAGTCCCTGGTAACCACCATTCTACCTTCTACTTCTATGAGTTTAACTGTTTTTAGATTACACATATAAGTGAGATCATATGGTATGTGTCTTTCTTTGGTTGGCTAATTTCACTTAACATAATGTCCTCCAGGTTTATTCATGTCATTGCAAATTACAGGATTATTTTTTAAAGTTATATTTATGGAAGATGGAAGGACAGGCAATCCATTCATTTCTGTAAAATCTATTTATGTGATATGTTGAATTAAGCTAGACCACTGGAAAAAAATCATGTTGGATCTTACTATCTAGTCCCACACAGAATTACACTTTGATTTCATTTTGTAAGCTTTCATCAAAAGCTACTACAACAAAGAGTTGTATGAAACCTACTATTACAGGTGCCATATAAATGACGCTGAGGACTATGTAGAACTAATATGGGGAATTTCTTATAGAATAGGACTATGATTATCTCACCTTGAGAAAAGATAAGAGACATGCTGAGCATTTTCATTTAGATGTTAAGAACATTTTGAATAACTCATATAGTGGATTGCAGATAACTTCGTACTGTTACTGAAACCTGGCCACCAGAACATTTTGCATTTTGCCACCGCTAAACTTGCTTTCCCTAAGCAAGATAAATCAGATGCATCAATAATAAATAATCAAGTAGACCTCAGTGATCATAGTGGGTATTAGGAATGAGTAGTCCAAGGCCCACTTCAGCAGTTACAGCCTTGAGGGAGGTGGACCTTGAACTGACGGATAGACAGGAAGGGATGGGATAAGCAGATGGTGAGAATGTTATGGAGAACATCCTGCCTCTTATGCTGTGAGACTCAACTTGAGCCTGGCAGCAACAGGATCATATTGTCCCGTGGAAGAATGCCAGGACTGATGAGTATCCAACTCCAGGATCAGACATAGAAGAACAGGCTAGGAAAAGAGAGATTTCACCAGATATTACTTTTTCTGTTCTCTTATTTTCACCACATATTTCTTTATCCTCTCTGTATAATAAATAGAACTGTATACTACCCAAGTGCCTAATGTGTTGAATGCTTAATTTGATTAATCTATTTAAAGTAGAAAAAAGCAAACTAACTTCAGTACTTCTAGAGATCAAAGAAATCACTCATAATAGAGAAAGTATTCCTTATTTCATGTCTAGGTCTCACTGGTCTTGATATTCTTTTTTGGTTTCTACCTTCTCTGGTCTTAACTTATTCTTACTTTTTTATATTTCTTTCTTGGATTATGTATGTTCTTAGAAGGCTCTGTACATTTTCTTGTAAAATTAGGCAGGAGGTAAGTAGATGGATGGGTCAATGGCTAAATGTATGAATGGCAGAAGGGCAGACACAAACTGTCAGGTCAATGGCAGTATTGTTAAATGGTTGAAATAACTAGTAAGTAAAGGGATTAAATGGTATTGGATCTTTCCTACTCAACCACAAGTGGTTTCAATACAAGTCCTAAACACTTGATTAATTCTCTGAATGCACGCATGTACACACACACATATTCATGCATTCACATAAGCAAGCAAAAGCAATAGAAATACCTCATCTTGTCCACTGCCAGCTCCTTGAGACTTTCTTTCCTTGTCTAGGACCAGTTGAAGCTCATTATTAACCTGCTGCAGCTCCTCACCATTCTCCTCATCGGTGCCTCCATTTACACGAGCAGGGCGTGCCTGCTGCTCACTGTGATCCAGAATCTCCTCGACTTGCTCAGGGGCATCTGTAGCCTCCCTACCTCCTTCCTCTTCAAGGTCACCATTCATTCCTGAAAAGTCTTCTTTCTGTTCTGCATCCTTGTTTGCCTTCTCTCCATCTTCTTCCTCGTCTACTATTTCTGCTGGCCTCTGATGGATCAAAAGGAATAATGGATAAAAGTAAGAAGCATAACAGAACATTTCCACTGCACATCATAGTAATGTAATACTTATATTACAGTCAAGTAAAACATTCTTACATTTGCATAGTACTTTACAGTATAGAACGCACTTACGTTTACTGAGTACCTACCACATGCCACATGTTACAAGCATTCCCTCATTTAATCCTCACAACAATCCTTTGAAATTGTTATCATTCCCATTTTGCAGATGAGAAAACTAAACAGGTGGAGCCCAAGATCCCACAGAAAGAGCCAGAGTTTGAACTAGGCCTGTGACTCCAGAACCAGTGCTTGTAACCCCCATGGCAGATAGAAAGCCAAACCGCAAGGTCCTTGGCCACTGTCTAGTGAAGCACCTGGCCCAGAGGAAGAGGTTTAAAAAAAAAAAGTCTTTGTGGAAAGATTGTCATCCTCAAGGCTAAGGATGAGGGCAATGGCACCAGGCTGTGAATTCATGTTTTCTGACGTGGAATGTAGACAGCTTTCCCCACAATGCCTAAGGAAGCTGACAGCTTCTCTCTAAACACAATAACTGATTTTCCTGCAGATCTAAGGTCAAGAAACTATATGTCCTCTCTGTAAGAATAATAAATGCTGAGGGCCAGGCACAGTGGTCACACTTGTAATCCTAGCACTTTGGGAGGCCGAGGCGGGCAGATCATGAGGTCAGGAGATCGAGACCATCCTGGCTAACATGGTGAAACCCCATCTCTACTAAAAATACAAAAAAATTAGCTGGGCATGGTGGTGCACACCTGTAGTCCCAGCTACTCGGGAGGCTGAGGCAGGAGAATGGCGTGAACCCAGGAGGCAGAGCTTGCAGTGAGCCGAGATCGCGCCACTGCACTCCAGCCTGGGTGACAGAGCAAGACACCATCTCAAAAAAAAAAAAAAAAAAAAAAAAAAAAAGAATAAATACTAAAGTATTTCATAAACCTTAATCAAGCATTTCACTGTTCTACTGTTATTTTGATACACATAAATCTGCTTCAAGAGGGAACAGGAGGCCAGGCACGGTGGCTTATGCCTGTAATCCCAGCACTTTGGGAGGCCGAGGCGGGCAGATCACGAGGTCAGGAGATTGAGACCATCCTGGCTAACACGGTGAAACCCCATCTCTACTAAAAATACAAAAAATTAGCCAGGCGTGGTGGTGGGCACCTGTGGTCCCAGCTACTCAGGAGGCTGAGGCAGGAGAATTGCATGAACCCGGGAGGCAGAGCTTGCAGTGAGCCCAGATAGTGCTACTGTACTCCAGCCTGGGCGACAGAGCAAGACTCCATCTCAAAAAAAAAAAAAAAAAACAAGGGGTGGGGGAGGGAACAGGAGGCCAGCTTTCAGAGCCAAGACTTTGGAGAAAAACCCAGGTTCAAGTCCTGACCAGGCACTTACTGGCTGTTACCTAACTTTGGTGAGTTTCAGATTCCCCATTTGTAAAATGGGAACGTAACAAAACTTCCATGAAGATTAAAGAAAAGTTATATAAAGTGTCATAGTTTCTGGCACATCACAGATCCTAAAAAACATGGAAATCCCTTCCCATTTGTTACAATACATTCTCTCCTGGAGCCACCATATTTCTTCAATGCTATCAATAAAATAACACGGTTTTTTTGTTGTTTTTTGGTTTTTTTTGAGACAGAGTCTTGCTCTGTCGCCCTGGCTGGAGTGCAGTGGTGCGATCTCTGCTCACTGCAAGCCCCGCTTCCCCGGTTCATGCCATTCTCCTGCCTCAGCCCCCCGAGTAGCTGGGACTACAGGCGCCCGCCACCACGCCCGGCTAAATTTTTTGTGTGTTTTTTAGTGGAGACGGGGTTTCACCATGTTAGCCAGGATGGTCTCGATCTCCTGACCTTGTGATCCACCTGCCTCAGCCTCCCAAAGTGCTGGGATTACAGGCATGAGCCACCATGCCCGGCCCAGGGTTTTTTTTAATGATAGGGTAGAATGATTTATTTGGTGTTAAGATCTCATTATTGCCTCTTTCTAGCTACCTGACATTGGACAGGTCACTTAATTCTCCTTCCCTGTAAAATGAGAGTTTGGAACCCAGTTAGCCCTGACCCCCCTTTCCAACTCTAGAAGCCCATCTCTTCTAACTGACCAAACAACTGACCAAACTTTTTGTCATTACAAAAGTTAACATAATGCTTTCAGTTTTGGAAGTAAGGAAGGAAATGAAGGGGACAAGACTAAAAGTTCAGAAAAAAATTCCACACATTATTTTTAAGAAGAAAGAGTTGGAACTAGTAATAATTCTTATCTTCTGTCAAAAATAAAGTCTCAGATTTAATTACATGATACCAAATGTGTATTTTTTAAATGAAGGAAAAAACTAGTTGTTCTTAGATACTGAAAAAACCACAATGTTTGTCATTATGCAGATTAAAAGACACCGTGAGCCTAGGCTGTTCAAATTTTATTCGGATGCTTAAGGTCAAAT
This sequence comes from Homo sapiens, assembly GCF_000001405.40. Classification (NCBI taxonomy): domain Eukaryota; kingdom Metazoa; phylum Chordata; class Mammalia; order Primates; family Hominidae; genus Homo; species Homo sapiens. The sequence goes on from NC_000006.12 coordinate 24,181,111, forward strand.
AGCGGAGAGTCCTAACTATCCCTCAGCATGTCGTCAGGGTGGGTCCCTCACAAAGGCAGAATGATGGACAGAAACTCAGGTCCAGAGGGGAATGGATCTGCCAGCTGGTGCTAAAAGGCAAAAGATTTATGAACATAACTCACAATGCTTGGTAAGAAGTTTCTGGTGTTTAATGTATGTGACCTAAATGACTGAAAGTGAGAAAAGTCTCCAATCTCTAACAAAGAGAATAACATTTCCAATCTGCCCCACCAGACCCATCTCACCCTCTCCTCAAAGAGAACAAGCTAAGTAAGGCACTGAGATACAGACACTTGAGGTGATAAGGAGAGGAGGGCTTGGCAAGGGAAAGATGGGTGTTGTCATTATAAAAACAGAACGGAGGAGAATACATCACACATGAAAATGAGTTGCATTTCTATACACTAACAATGAACAATCTGGAAGGAGATTACAGAAACAATTTCATTTACAATAGCATCAAAAGGAATAAAACACTTAGGAGTTAGCCAGTGAGGTGAAAGACTTGTGCAATGAAAAATACAAAACATTGCCAAAAGAAAATTTAAAAGACATAAATAAATGGAAATATGTCCCATGTTAATGTATTAGAATACTTAATATCATTAAGAGGTCAATATTATCCAAAGTGATCTACAGATTCAATGCAATCCCTGTTGTTTTTTACGGAAATAGAAAAACCCATCCTATAAGTCATATGGAATCTCAAGGGACCCTGAGTGGCCAAAACAACTTTGAAAAAGGACAAAGATGGAGAATTCCCACTTCTTTATTTCAAAGCTTACTGCAAAGCTACAATAACCAAAACCAGAGTGGTCCTGGAATTAAGACAGATATATAGACCAATGGAATAGAACAGAGAGTCCAGAAATAAACCTTCACATATACGGTCAAATGGTTCTGATAAGGGTGCCAACACCATTCAGTAGGGAAAGGACAGTCTTTCAACAAATTGTGCTGGGAAAATTGGATATCTACATGCAAAAGAATGAAGTTGTATCCTTACCTAACATATGTACAAAAAATAGCTTCAAATGAATGAAAGACCTAAATGTAAAACCTAAAACTATATAACTCTTAGAGGAAAACATAAGGCAAAAGCTTTTTGGCATTGGACTTGGTGGTAATTTCTTACATATGACACTAAAGACACAGGCAACAAAAAAATACATAAATGGGACTTCATAAAAATTTTAAAATTTTGTACATCAAAAGACAATACCAACAGAGTAAAAAGGCAACCCATAGAATGGGAGGCAATATTTGCAAATCATTTATCTGATAAAGGCTTGATATCTAGAATATATAGGGAACACCTAAAACTCAACAACAAAAAGTCTCATTCAAAAATGTGCGAAGTACTTGAATAGACATTTCTGCAAAGAAGATATACAAATGGCCAATAATCACATGAAAAGATTGTCAACTTACTAATAATTAGGGAAATACAAATTAAAACTGCAATAAGATACTACCTAACACCCATTATGATGACAAGAAAAAAAAAAAAAAACAGAAGAAAACAAGCGTTGACAAGGATGTGGAGAAACTGGAACTCCTGGGCATTTTGGGGGATGCAAAATGCTACAGCCACCTGAAAAACAGTATGGTCATTCCTCAAAAAGTTCAAAATAGAATTACCATATGATCTAGCAACTCCACCCTCTGGGTAAATACCCAAAAGAACTGAAAGCAAGGACTTGAAGAGATATTTGTACACCCAAGTTTATAGGAGAATTATTCACAATAGCTTAAAATGTGGAAGCAACCCAAGTGTTCATCAAAAGATGAGTGGATAATCAAAATGCAGTATATCCATACAATGGAGTATCATTCAGCCTTACAAAGAAAGAAAATTCTGATGCAAAATGCATGAAACAGAGATATTATGCTAAGTGAAATAAGCCAGTCACACAAAAAGACAAATACTGTATGATTCTACATGTGAGGTATGTAGTCAGAATCATAGAGCAGAGAGTAGAATGCTGATTGCCAGGTTGAGGGAGGGCGAAATGGGGAGTTCTTGTTTAATGGGTATGGAGTTTCAGTTTTGCAAGACGAAAAGAGGTTTGGACCTGGTTGGTGGTGGTGGTTACACAACATTATGAATGTGTTTCATACCACTGAACTGTATGTACACTTAAAACTGGTTAAGATGGTAAATATGCCATTATGAGTATATTACCACAAAAAGAAATAAAATGGAGCAGAGGAAATGTACTGAGCCAAAGATTACATTCTGCATCGCTGAAGAGCAAGGATTTCTAGGGAGTTCAGGAAAGGAGCCCACACCAGGAAGTCGAGAGTTTTCCTTTACCAAGACACTAAGGCAGAGAGGGGACTTCCAAGGGGGAAGAAGGTATAATAAACCAGCTCAGAGAAAACATGGCGGATGGTTCCCCACGAACAAGTCAGAAGAAGCCAGGAAAAGCCCTGTGGACCCTTGGCCCAGAGACAAGTTTCCTTCCATGGACTCTGCAGAATAACATACATGGTCATTGTGGGACCCTGAGAGACACATAAGGGACTCTCACGCCTTATGACTTCAGTGATTGGGCCAAGGGCACCCATCTGTGTTAAGCAGTACTGAGAGTTCCCGGCATTCGGAGATAAATACCACTGTCTCCGAGATCAAAGAGCGCAGAGCAGAGCACAATAGGCAGGAAAGATGCGTAAACAAATCACATTACAATGTGGAATGAGGCGAGAAGCAGTTAAGGGCATGTGTCGGGAAAGGAGTGGGTTGTTTGGCCATAGAGACTTCTACAACTCTGTGTCTACAGTGTTTGCAGGTAGTGACAGGTGAGAAAGGCGGGGCAAATGGAAGTGCAAAGGCTGAGCACCGCTCTGTGCCAAACATCACACGCAGCATTTCATGCAACTCTCACAATAGCCCTATGAGTTGTTTCTTATACCCATTAGACAAAGAGAGTAAATGAGAAATCGCATCACACTTCCCACATCACAGGGCAAGTGACCAAGTAGGGCTAGGGTGTAAACAAAAGGCAGTCTTGTCCCAAAGTCCTAGTATCTTTCCTTAAATTAATAACCAAACAAGTCGCTACAATAAGGACACTCACGTGTACTTTCAATGGCCAGAACATATGAGATCTGCAGTAGGCAACATTACTTTTACTGTTTAAAGAATTACTGACCTGAGGCTGGGCATGGTGGCTCACGCTTGTAATCCTAGCACTTTGGAGGCTGAGGCAGGAGGATTAACTGAGCTCGGGAGTTCAAGACCACCCTGGGGACAACATGATGAAACCCCGTCTCTACTAAAATACAAAAAATTAGCCGGGCTTGGTGGTGCATATCTGTAATCCCAGCCACTCAGGAGGCTGAGGCAGAATTGCTTGAACCCAGGAGATGGAGGTTGCAGTGAGCTGAGATTGCACCACTGCACTCCAGCCTGGGCCACAGAGAGAGACTCTGTCTCAAAAAATAAAAATAAAAAAAAAAGAATTACTGACCTGAAAACAAAATATTTTGGGAATTTCTATCACTGACTTTTGGTGTGATCTAGGAAAGAAACATTATTATAAGAATTGTCTAGCAGAGTACCTGAAGCAGTATATAACAAAACTCCCGAAATACTGCAGTACTAATGGCCAATAGGAACAGATTTCTTTTTAAATTACCTCTGAAAATTGGATAATTATACATCACTCTCCTAGAAATGGTTTTGATCCTTACTGTGCCTAAACTTGCCCTATTATTCAGAACAACTTTGTTTTAGTTTTAAAGAGAAGTTGTGTAGCATTTAATAAAATAACAAAAAACTCATAATTTACTGTAACTTTTTAGGATTCTGGATATGGTCCTCGCCTCTCTGAGAACATATTACCAGTGCTTGCTGAAGTATGTTAAGACAATCACACCTAAATAAGAAAATGTCTATTTTCCTCTTCTGACATCTGGATTTATACCTAAAAATGGCAAAATAATAACATATTAGTATTTAGTTTTGTATTTCTCAGCCTTACCTCTTTCTTTATCCAGAATTCCCAAACACTTATACATTTTTTTCTCCTTTTAATGCAAACGGCTGGTATATACCCTAATTTCTTTCTAGGAAAGAAGACAACTGGCCCTAAATTCAGGCCCTGTCTCATAGTCATTATTACCACCAGTACTAACAAGCAGTATTATGCTTTCATCCCATTATTTCTATTAGACTTTCCCGGCACAGCTATTTTAGTAGTCATCAAATGAAGCCACATCTGGTTAGTTCAACTTTAAGAAATGCAAGATTATCGTGTTGAAATGCCAATTTGATCAATTTAAATAAGACGGTAACATTAGTTAAAAGGCTTATAAACCTTTAAAATATCCTGAGTCTGGAACAAAATTTATTATTACAACGACACTACAATTCAGGGCAAAAAAATAAAAATGCTGCTATGACAGATCTGTAATGAATAAATGAAAAGCAATGTGCTTTTTGGTGTAATCTCCTTTGAAGCAGACATTAAATTATTAAAGATGTTTCCAGTGTACACATCAATCAAATCATCCCCAGAAGGAACACCGGGTTTTACACCCATCCATACACATACACACACACACACACACACACACACACACACACACACATATACACACAGATAAAATCTATACCATGGTGACAGTCTGCAAAGAAGGAAAAGGGCACTCCCTCTATGTAACTATTCTTTAGGATAAAAAAGAAATACAAGAGGCAAAGGAGGAACAAGTTGCACCCTTCCTCCATCCCCTTCACTCCTCTCTCACTGTGCTGTAGCAAAACTACTGAAGAGGAATCTGGTACCACTCACACAAACTCAGAGCTATCACCAGCCCTGGGAACTTGTAGTCCATTAAGACTGTTGGGTCTGATTCATATGGACTAATCATCCTCACTCTCAGTTATGTTTATTCTTTGCTTCCAAGTTCTTTGGCATCCATTTTTCACAACACATTTACCATCCAATAGCTTTTTGTTGTTTCCAAACTGCTAGCTATTAATACTTGCAGAAGTAATACGAATGTACAAACAAGACATACTAAACAAGGATAATTTCCATAAATTAGTATACGCGCTTAAGCAACAAATGACTCTATCTTCCATTGGAATGACAGGTTGGCAGTAGCCAGTTATGGATGTAATATGTAATGCCAAACATTTAGGTAGCATATTGTGCTTCTTAGAGCACTTTCACATGCAGTTTCTCATTTTATCTTCCCAACCTGTGGGCAGATGTGATTATTATTTCCATTGTATAGAATGGGAAATTGAGCCAGAGACATAAAGCAAGTTGCCAAAGGTTACATGGCCAGTAGATGAAAATATCTTTCATCAGCATCACAAACACACATACCTGCGTGCACATGCGTGCATGTGCGCACACACACACTTCTTATTGAAGAACAGTGGTCCCCTCAGTAGCTGAAAAACTGGTCGCCATGGTAACAAGGCACGTGGCTAAGGCCAACCTCTAATCTATAACCAATGGATAATGAGGCAGAGGGGCTGCTGGGCTGAGCTGGGAGCCATGTCTCTGCTTTTCTCCCCGCTCTACTCATCACTGATCATGTTTCTTACGGACTCAAACTTGAAAAGCTGACTCTACTCCCTGAATATTATCCATCTGTTAAGCAGCATCAAATTAGAGACAAACCCCATCTTCTCACTTTTGGGGGCTGAACTGTACCCTCCCTCACAATTATTATGTCGAAGTCTTAACCCCAGTACCTCATAAAGTGACTGTATTTGGAGGCAATTTAAGTTAAAATTAGGTCATGAGGGTGGCCCTAATCCAATCTGACTCATGTCAAGCCAAGAGAAGCCTGAGAACAAACCAACCCTGCCAACACCTTGATCTCAGACTTTGGGCCTCCAGAGCTGTGAGAAAATAAATGTCTGCTGTTTAAGTCCCCTAGTCTGCAGTGTTTTGTTATGGCAGCCCTAGCAAACTAATATACTAATACCTTCCCTCCCCAGCCCCACACATGCTCATACTAATACTCTTTCACCTCCCTTCCCAACACCCTCACTCTCCCATCCCTCCTCTATTTCCTTAAAAAAATAGGGAAGTTGGGTTCCTCAACAATGGAAAGAGGGATGGCTGGATGTGGCAGGGAAAGAAGGCCAAACCCAGACCTTCCCAGACATAAGTTTGGAGTGGGGAGAGTCCTCTGTGGAAGAAACTGAAAAGAGCCCTGGGCCACGGGCGGTGCCATCCTATTACTCATGCTGTTCCTTATACCTTCATCCAGGATGCCCTTCCTTCCCCATGGGTAGAACCACCTTCTCCAGAAAGCCTTCCTGCTCCCTCAGGTGGCCGTCACTCCTCACCTGTGCCCTCCTAATACTTGCTAAGATACCTCTAGTACATTCTAACCACACTGTGCAGTTATTCTCTATTTATGTGCAAAAAAAATAGTGAACATAAATTGCTATTGAGTAGATACCCCCAAAATATTTGGAATGATTATAGAATAACGGGGAAATATCAGCCCTGGCACTATGGAGGTCTTCTGGAAGTTTCTTGAAGTAAGGGCTTTTTGTTATTCATCTTTGTTCCCAACACCACTGACTCTGGATATTCGTCTTAAATAAGACACAAATGTGCCTCCCACAGATAAAAGTCAGCCTCATATGTGCCTTCAGGAAGGCACTGATGATAAGGCTCACACTTATCCAGAGCTTGCCAGGTACCCAGTGCTATGGCCTAAGCACGTCATATGCATAATCATATTTACACTAACCTCACAACAATTATTTAAGAAAAACACGATGATGATCCTAATTTGCAGATAAGGAAACTGAAGCACAGGGAATTAGGTAAACTTGTCCAAAATTCTCCAAGTAGTGACAAAAGGATTTGAATTCTTTGACCATTGGATTGTAATAACTATTTTCCTAAGATAAAGTACAGAGCAAAGACATATTTATGTTAAATTCAATGTATGTTCAAGAGTTACTTCCAGCCTAGTGGCTCCAAGACCAGTGCCTCACTGTCACCTGGGGACCTTGTCAAATGCAAAGTGTGAGTCATGAGTTCAGAGCCTCTGCATCTCTCTCAGCTCCTGTGATGCTGACAATGCTGGTCCCCAAATGACACTGTGCACAGTAGGGCTGTAAATCACATATAATGCAATATGCTCATGAATATGCCACTTAAAAAATCATTTTGGGTTAACAGTTCTCACTGTAATAGTGCCCTGAAATCATGCCTCTTTAAATGAAGGTGGTGTTTTTATCTTAAAAGTTACCAATTTACTGAAAGTTGGAAGACAATGGAAGGACTGACTGTTGACAAAATGATTTCTGGCCATAAAGACAGTTCTACAAGATTTATTCTAATTACATCACCATGCCACTGTTTAAGAGTCAATGTCATAAAAATAAACCCATCACTGCAAAAGCAATAAATCAGAAAGGTTTTTTTATATTTTATATTTTTATATTTTATGCTCAAAGTCTTCATCTCCCTGACATTTACGTCAATTTTCAGTCAATTTTGTGATGAAAATTTTTAAGAGAACCTGTTTTCAGATAGAAATTGTTTCTCTAAGGAGTACATACATCTTGAAATTTCAGGACTAGCTCATGCCTATGAGTAATTGTGGAATGCTATACTCTTTATAAAGCACAATTCTTCTGTTTCGCCGGAGGCAAAAAAGGGTATTCATTATACTCTATCTTAAATCCCCATTAAACTGATGTACATAATAGTATAAACAATGATCGCAGAAGTCATTTAAACCTAGATGATTCCAGCCTCACAGCCTCTCTGGCACGCATCCAGAATGCAACTAGATTAACGGGCATGTTACACATATTAAAAATATATGTACGATTACAGACAATATGTACCCTTAAACAGAGAGGTTTTTATAAGACAGGACTTCTACCTTTAAAAAACACATTATTAATTATAAGTAATTGCTCGTAATATTTATTATTAGAAAAGCTGTACCAGCTTTTCTCCTCGACACCAGCGTTGGCATTTTGAGTGTATTTTGCCTGAGTTTGCCTCCATGTGTATCTTGCTATTTATTTTGTAACTGACATTCTGAGAAAATGGTTGATTTGTATGGGAAGACAGAAAAGGTCTGGTAGTTGTTTCCTCTGGCTACATCCTAGCAGGGATGGGGCTCAGGGGAAATCGTTAAGTATTCAGGTTTTCTAGAGAATATGCATGCAGTTACTAAGGTTAACTCAGGATTCCTGAGTGGTAAGGGGAAAGAAGATGGAATATGAAAATTATATGGAAATAAGCCACAAAATACTGAAAGCATCAATTACTTGGAAGGTATTTCCACAGGCAGATGGGGCTGCCCAAATGACTTACACTTTAAACTCATATCACACCTCTGACAGTAACAGCAGCAACAAAAATTAAAAACGGGGAAAGCCATCTAAAGAGAGACCACAGCTCATGTCCAGCCCACTTTAGCAGTAAATGTGATATTTCTTATATTTACATCAGAATTCCTGAGGGATATTATTTTAATGTTTAAGGCATATACTATCATAAATAACAGCACAAATTAGAATTTTTTAGTGAAGATATCCTGTCTCACCACCCAACCCTCCTCCTCATTGCCACCCATTAGTTCTCTCTCCCTAAAATAACCTAGACCTAGAAACTGGAGATCAATAAAAATGAAAAAGACTACCTTAGATGTCCATTTTTTCCATGTAACATTTATGAAGTTTCAAATTTGGGAAAGTGTGTGGATTTGTTACAGGTTTTGGGGTAGAAGATATTTCTGTGGATTTTATGGCAGCATTCAGGCATAGATGTTGAAAATACAGAAGTTATCGTACTTGTTTTTATTATTTCTGTTCCCATGGAAACTAAAATCATCTCCTATCCAAGTTGAATGAGGTGTTTTGAAATAATCAGTTTCAATTTTTTATGATGGCAAAGTACCACTTCTTGCTTTCAGCTTTCAGAGGCTTACTTTCACCGAAAAAAAAAAAAAAGGTTTAGATATGATTTGAAGCCACAAAGACCTACAAAAAGGGTGGTTATATTCAGAGACATGACCCTGTAAGTACAGAAGAAGAGTGAAGCTGTGGCCAGTCACCTGGAAGCTGTCTCACCCGGGTCCCTTTAAGCCCCACCAGTTCCTGTGACACCCAAATGAGAATATATGATAAACTGAAAACATACTTAGATGGCATGAATATATTTAATCATCAATAAAAAAAATTCTCATTGTTCAATTCCCACCTATGAGTGAGAACATGCGATGTTTGGTTTTTCGTCCTTGTGGGGTTGGGGGAGAGGGGGAGGGATAGCATTAGGAGATATACCTAATGTAAATGATGAGTTAATGGGTGCAGCACACCAACATGGCACATGTATACGTATGTAACAAACCTGCACGTTGTGCACATGTACCCTAGAACTTAAAGTATAATAAAAATATATTTAAAAAAAGAAAAAAGTTCCCCATTAAATTTTCTCAAGTTAGAAGTAAATGTTGATTTTCTTTCATTTATATCAGAAATCCCTGATGGCTACATTTTAATGTTTAACACCATTTCTATCATTTAAATACAAGTCTACAAACGTGACGCCACAAAAAGCCTTACTGACAATGCATAGATAAATTAAGAACTCTGATCATTCTCATTCTAACCCTTCCAGCCATGAGCAATGTTTGTTAATGCCTAATGTGAATATGATTCAATAAGAGTATATGACTTGAAAATAATGATAAATATACCATTTACACATAATCCCTTTTAGTTCAGAGACAGCAGTGAAGGTTGAGTGGCCCTCAGAATATGTTGCCATTTATGGGCTAATTAGAAGCCCCTCATCTTCTCACTTCTCTTCTTTAAGATGTACAGGGAGAGGACCAAACTGGAAGACAGGACCGCTGTGCTAATTCTACTACCAACGGATCATGTCTCTGAGGGAAAATGGCTTTCTCCACTGTGGGGTTTTGTTTCTTCAATGGCAAAATAAGAAGCTTAGGTCAGGTTCCCTTCTGGTTCTAAATATTTTATAATTGTTTAGTAAATGCATTTCATTGAAGTCGATTTGGGGAACCTGTCACAGAAAACAGCCTCCTTTATCTTTCCGCATATTTTATCGTATATGGAAAAGCAAGACAAGAAGTTCTTCATCTTACTTAACTTTCACAAGAGGAGCTGCAGGTAGCTGCTAATTCTCCATTAGTTGGGGGTAGAGTCAATGATGAGACCAAGTCAGAACATGGAGAATAAAACTAGGGCAACAGGCATATTTGGTTTTTAAACCTATTTCTGGTTACAGCCTCTAAGCTGCAGTTTCTTTAAAATCACATTATATTATGTATGTGTAGACCAATGGTCACAAGTTCAAATGATCCCAGGGACAGGTCAAAAAACATAAATTTATAATTGAAAACAGATGATAGGCATAGGGAGTGCTACAGCCTGTGGAAGTCTGAAGAACACATGGCCTGCTAAAGAGATACAGATGTTGTTAGCCCGGTGCCAGCCAAAGAAGATTCCCTCATAGAAAATCTGCCCACAGGCTACCATCCCTATTGCGGATTCTAGGAAAACAGCTCTGATGGATCATTATGAAAGTGGTTTCTGGTTGAACACAGCAGATTGAATAAATGGGAGTTTTTTCTTAGCTCCCTTCTGATGCTCCTCTGAAGCATCAGTTAAGACAACTTTAAAATGATGAACCCATAAGGACACAGAAGAGTGGAAAGGGAATATCAACCACAAAATTTGGGAGAGTAAAGCAAATGGATGTGGGGCAAATGGATGGATGACAGCAGACCTGAGGAAGCTAAAATGTGAGACTGCAGAAAGGGAAGCCAAGAAGCAAGCCTTTGCGTGCTTAAAAACCTAAAGAAGGCTTGGGGATGGAGGCACCATCTGCCTCTGAAATAAGGGGGATAGATAACTGTGGCTAAAAATAGGTAGATTGGCTCAGAGTCTTTAAAAGAAGCAAATAGATCCCCTGAGATCACCTCCCTTGAGAAATATGGGAGGTTTATTATCTGGAGATGTTGAACCTTAGGGAAACGACTCAAGTATAGCTCAGAACAAGGGGACTATACTGAAACAGAGAATAAATCTCTTGATCCATGCCTCTTTCTCACAGTCAGATCCCAAAATGTTGACAGCTAGGTTCTTATCAACAAGGCAAAAGACTGAAAGATTCCTCTCAAAGGATATAGACCCCAAAAGAGCAATACTTACAGATACTGAAACTTGGAGGAGGCCTGCCAATGAAATGGCCAAAACGAATCACCCTACAGGACACCTCCCCTACCTATGCACACAGTGTGTCCTTAATACCTCACTCTCAAATCTAACCAGACAGCCAAGAAACGACTCTGACATGGATACAGAGATCAAAACATAGAGACAAAGAAAACAAAAAAGAACCTCAGAAGAAAAAAACATAGTGCAGGAAAGGAAAGTGTAAAATAATAGAACATCAATCCTCAGAGAAGAGGGAAGATATCACATTTATAAAACAAGAACAGGATGCTAAAAAAGGAACATTCAGAGAATGTGAAAGAGCTCTTAGATGTTAAAAATAAAATGACTAGGAAATAATCAAAGGAAGATAAAAGTTGAGGCTTTTATTTTTTTTCAGTGAGAAAGTTAAAAATCCACAGAGATGAAAAGTAGGAGAGACAATTAGATAATCACTTGGGGAGGTCCTATATTCAAATACCTGGACTTCTGGAAACAGTAGGGAAAGGAAGAGAAGAAAATTATCAAAGAAACAATTTTTTTCCAAAACTGAAAGCACATATTTTAAGAATTAAAAAGCCCATTGAGTATCCAGTCCAATAAGCAAAAAGGCCCATACCAAGACACATAATTGGAAATTTCCAGAACACCAGGAACAAAGAAAATAGTCTAAAAGCCTTCAGAGAAAGGAAAAAGGGTTACATTTAAAGAAACAGAATGCCAAACTTCTCAACTACCATTCTGAATGGAAAGGAAAATTGAAGAATCCCCTCACAATTCTGAGAGAAATTATATCAAACCTAGAATTGTATACTTCACCATACTTACAGTCAAGTTTGATTAGAGAAAAAAAAAAGATATTTTCAGACATGCAAAGTCTCAGAAAAATGTGTCTCCCATGAAGCTTTTCTCTGAAGGCAACTAGAGGTGAGTTCCACAAAAATTGAAGGTGTAACCAAGATAGAGGAAGACATAGAATCCAAAAAAAGAAGAGAACCATCCACCAAGGAAGCAAAGGAAATTCTCAAAATAATGGTGAAGAAAAATACCAGGATAACTCTGAAAAGCAGATCTAGAGAACAACTTACCAGCTTGAGGCAGCTGACTGGAGGGATTGAGAAAAAAATAAAATGAAGATTTCAGTATCACTGAATGTATGTGAATGTATCAAGAGGACAGTAAGTTCTTGCAGAGTTTGGAGATGGCTTAGTAACAGGTACATATAAAACAAAGCAAGTGAAAAAATAGGTAATTATTAACCTAGGCAACAGGGAAAAAGGGTTACCCAAGAAAGGAAATGTAACTAGAGTACACCTAAATGGTTCAACTAAGAATAACATTTACATAGTAGAAATAATGTATAGATATTAACCAAAAGTATTACAAAATTATAGTGGAAAGAAAAAAGAAAGGGAAAGGTATCTGTATGTGTTTGTATGTATGTGGCCCTATTTTTGATAGGGGGAACGAGTTTGGGAAAAAATCTAAATAATCATCTTCCATAGTAATTACATAAAAAGTTAATAAATCAAGATAAATACAAAGCAAGATAAATCCAGAATGTTAATAAATCAAAACAAAATCAAAATTTATTTTATCAAATTTGAGATACCACCCAATGAAAGGGATCTCCATTCTTTTATGTCATCTAAAATAAAAGAATTTTTTAAATTAAAGTTTAATTAAAATCATTTTTAAAATAATTTTAAATTAAACTATGAGATGCCATCACTTGTAAGAACCAAGCACCTCAGATGTATTAAAATGGGAGAGGGGATTAGGAATATAGCAGTACTCCATGAGAAATAGCTAAACTAGTTCAAATCAGGTAACTGTATGAAACAGGAACTGTGGTGAGGAGGGGTGTGGCAAATGGCTGCTATTTTGTTACAATCTTTGTTGAACTGATTGACTTTTAAAAACTTGTACAATTCTGATTAAAAATAAATTTTAAATAAATAAGAAAATAGTATATATCACAACCTCCAGTTTAAAAAAATTATTTTACTGTTTTAATGTTCATGATGCTGGGTTAAATGCTATTTAATGAAACTACTTAGCATAAAAACATTTTTCAATTCTCATTATTTTATTAGTCAAAATCAACTACAAATAGGAAAAGCAATAAAACAAACCAAAATCACTCCAAAGTTACTATCTCCATCTTCCACTCGGTTCTGTCAAATTAAACAAACTCTAAAAATACAATTGTGTATTTGGTTATTTCATAGTTACTGGTCTGTGTTTCTGAGATGGTGAATTCTCTTGCCTGATCCTTTATTACTAGGGGCAGTTTACTTAATTAAAATGGAGCAGACTCATTTCTTACTTCCTTAGCTTGGAAAAGCACCATCATATAAATGGGGCGTATTGACATAGGGTCATCAGTGCCAGAGCAATCACAGGCATCTGCTAATCAGGCACTTGTTCCACTGCTGACAGCCAACCCCAGATTGACTTGGAACATGCATACACAAAACAGGTTAGTTTTGAAAGAGTATCTTAGGCTTATTAGACCTAAACTCACCTCTGAGAAAACACGTTTGTTCTGGCCTCCCTAAATGCATGCAAGAATGTGAACATTCTTCTGTCTTTCCATGGGTTTGGAAGTACTACCAGGTCCATCATCATTAATTTGTCTGTAACTAATGAAAAGAGTCTGGACCTTGGGGCAGAGCTCAGACTCTTTCTTAGCTGGAATTAGTCCACAATGCGTAACATACACATGCAAATACCCCTGTATGTGCACACACAAACATGCATGCTAGATGGTACCAGGAGAGGCTATCAAGGACTATGGAAGGTCTGAAGCTGCACTCTGCTAGCAAGAGACAAGTTAGCATGCCACAGTTTCATGGGTGCTGGCAGGAAACATGAGACCAATGAGTCAGTGACAAAGGACTTTATTGCTCACGCAATAGCAGTAGCCAAAATAGCATTTGCACCCAAGACCCAATTCCCACAATGAGAAGGGGGCTAGTTATGCACACATTAGTTTGCATTTTAGGAGAAGAACCTCAAGCTTAGGGAACCCAAACTCTTTTTTTCAAATATTGTTATTATAGTAAAATACATATTACATAAAATTTACCATTTTAACCACTCTTAAGTGTACAAATCAATGGGATTAAATCTTTCACAATGGGAAGTAAACTTGCCTGACCTTTGCACCATAGGGAGACATTGTCTTTATCATACTGGACAATAAAGAAACCCAGCCTTTGTCCCAGAACAGAGTTTCCCAATCTCAGCTCTACTGACATTCTGGGCTGCAGAATTTTTTGTTGTGAAGACTGTCATGTGCATTACAAGATAATTAGGAGCAGCCCTGGCCACCACCTTCTAGATGCCCATAGCACTCCCCCAGTTGTTACACCAAAAGTGGTCCCAGAAATCACCATATATCCCTTTGGAGGCAAAATCACCACAAGTTGAGAATGATTGTTCTGGAAGACATCACTCTCTCTGTCTTCCAAGGCCATTCACTATACAAACATACCTAAAGAGATGGTCCAGAACAAAGGCCAGCAGTGCCTCTGCTCACAAGATGGGCAGAATCACAACAGACCCATGGAGAATTGCCTCCCAATGAAAGCAAAGACTTCTAAAACTTAATCTGCTTCTCAAGAATGGATAAATAACTTGGCCAATTTGCACAAGATACTTACATATAGACATATACACACACACAGGCACATACAACTTCCTTCTTCAAGGCCCTCTGACTAAAATTACAACACAGATCATTTAGATGACAGGAAAACAGTCCAAAGACATTAACTAGCTAATGGCCTTAGAGAGAGTGTATTTAAGTATCTTTTCTAGCTAAGACAAGTAGTATACCATGACTATATTTCCTTTCTTAATTAGGATTTTTTTTTTCCTTTCTGGGTTAATAATTGGCTTTTTTTTTTTATGCAATACTCTCTCCTCAGATCACTTGTCTGCCTTTAAGTTGGATAGACAGCATTTAAGTCCCATTTCCTCTAATTAACATGGTACAGCCTTGAGCAAATAATTTCACCTCATGAGCTCACTTCCTTTGTGTATTTATAGATAGGTAGATAGATAAGTAGGTAGATAGAATAAGACTGATAAGACTTATCCAGTTTCTTTTTTGAGACAGAGTCTCGCTGTGTCACCCACACTACAGTGAGGTGGCATGATCTCTGCTCACTGCAACCTCCGCCTCCCAGATTCCAGCAGTTCTCATGCCTCAGCCTCCCGATTATCTGGAATTACAGGTGCCTGTCACCACACCTGGTTAATTTTTTGTATTTTCAGTAGAGACCAGGTTTCACCGTGTTGGCCAGGCTGGTCTCGAACACTCCTGACTTTAGGTGATCCAGACCACCTCAGCCTCCCAGAATGCTGGGATTACAGGCATGAGCTACCACACCCAGCTCCAATAAGACCTATCTGACAGGGTTGTTTTCATAATTAAACGAAAGAAATAAAAATCCTTAGTCCAGTGCCTGGCACTCAGTAGTTACTTAATCAATGGTAGCTATTGTTTAATGCAGATCACCATTGTGGGCTGTTGCAGAGTTGGTCTTACTATAATGAAACTAATGGGCTTTCAACGAATTTCTCCACACTTTTAGTTTTCCATATTTATAATATAGCTGCTTAGGATGTAAACGTCAGCAGACCATAGAGAATGGCTGTAACCTGACTTCATAAGCACCTCGTATCGAACAAATAAACTAGGCAATCCCAATGTTATGACCAAGAGAGTCCAAGAAGAAAGTACCTTTGGTTACCTGGCTTTGGTTTCTTCAAGCACATACCAATTTGTTGATATTGCCCAGCTTTTACCAATCTGTTTCTCAGTATCTCCTGCATACCTGCATTTTGATAAGCTAGCACTCACAAGTTAAATAAGAAATCAAGCCCTGCAGATGCATCCAAGGCTGTTCGAGCATTATCAGAGATCAATTTTCCCTCCCAACTCCCCTTCCTGAGGATCATCGAATGTCAAAGTAAAGAAATATCTCACAGATTTGCAAGTTGTTAAATAAGTGATTAACAGAGAGATTTCTCCTTTGCTAATAAGGCTATGATTTTCTCTTAATATTTGACATTTTGACTTTGGAATATAAATTAGTCTTGGTTTCTGCAGCTATCAGGTGTTGTATATACATGATGATCACTCTTCTTTGTCTTAAAATATACTATTTAATTATGGCTTCACAGAAGACTTAAAGTTTCACTTTCCCTCAGGAAAAAATACCTATAACTGGAGTTTATGAAAAATTATTAGTTATAGCTAATCCTGGATAATAAATTGGATTTTTGAAATCTGCGTGATTTTTACCACGTTAGGCTTTTCATCAGGAAGACGACACTTGCAGAAAATGCCTGTGGAATCATCAAGCAGCAATTTCACTGCTGCACTGTTAAGACAAATACAATTGAGAAGATCATCTATGGAATTTGTCAGATGGTGAAATCTGCTTTTAGAAAAAAAATATCATATAGTAGTCAGAGGACAAGTGGTAGTTCCTAGTGACTTCTCCCCTTTCCTGAGTCTGGGATTATCATTTCCCCCTCCTCACCTAAACTCCAATCCTCCACTTAGAATTGTAAGGAAGCTTGATGTATTATATTAAAAAGCATAGCTGACTTTTATTTCTTCCATCATTTAGAGAAAATTAACACTACTTAGTCCATTCTATAAGCACATGTGAGTACGTATATACTCACACACACACACAACTCCTAGAAGTACAGTGTTCTACTGGCCTAAGAAAGAAAATCAATACACACAAAGCAAATATTTGACTTACATTTATACAGGCAATTCCTTTATGAAAAACAAATTCCAACCAAAACAATCTCAAGGACCCTAAAGGCAAGAATATACTGGCATTTTAAAAAAATGCTTTTCTGAAGATGGCCAAATAGGAACAGCTCTGGTTTGCAGCTCCCAGTGAGATCAACACAGAAGGCCAGTGATTTCTGCATTCCCAACTGAGGTACCCGGCTCATCTCATTGGGACTGGTTAGACAGTGGGTGCAGCCCACAGAAGGCGAGCTGAAGCAGGGTGGGGGGCACTGCCTCACTCAGGAAGCACAAGGGGTTGGGGAACTCACTCCCCTAGCCAAGGGAAGCCCTGAGGGACTGTGTCACGAGGAATGGTGCATTCCAGCCCGGATGCTACATTTTCCCCACAGTCTTTGTGACCCGCAGACCAGGAGATTCCCTCAGGTGCCTACACCACCAAGGCCCTGGGTTTCAAGCACAAAACTGGGCAGCCATTTTGGGCAGACACCAAGCTAGCTACAGTTTTTTTTTTTTCATACCCCAGTGGTGCCTGGAATGCCAGTGAGAATGAACCGTTCACTCCCCTGGAAAGGGGGCTGAAGCCAGGGAGCCAAGTGGTCTAGCTCAGTGGATCCCACCCCCATGGAGCCCCAGCAAGCTAAGATCTACTGGCTTGAAATTCTCACTGCAAGCACAGCAGTCTGAAGTCGACCTGGGACACTCAAGCTTGGTGGGGGGAGGGATGTCTGCCATTACTAAGGCTTGAGTAGGTGGTTTTCCCCTCACAGTGTAAACGAAGCCACGGGGAGCTTCGAACTGGGTGGAGCCCACTGTAGCTCCTCAAAGCCACTGGAGCCAGACTGCCTCTCTAGATTCCTCCTCTCTGGGTAGGGCATCTCAGAAAGAGAGGCAGCAGCTCCAGTCAGGGGCTCATAGATAAAACTCCCATCTCCCTGGGACAGAGCACCTGCGGGAAGCAGCGGCTGTGGGCACAACTTCAGCAGACTTAAACATTCCTGCCTGCTGGCTCTGAAGAGAGCAGTGGATCTCCCAGAACAGCGCTCGAGCTCTGCTAAGGGATGGACTGCCTCCTGAAGTGGGTCCCTGACCCCTGTGCCTCCTGACTGGGAGAAAATTCACAGGATGGGTCAACAGACACCTCATAACAGGAGAGCTCTGGTTGGCATCTGGTGGGTGCCCCTTTGGGACAAAGCTTCCAGAGGAAGGAACAGGCAGCAATCTTTGCTGTTCTGCAGCCTCTGCTGGTGATACCCAGGCAAACAGAGTCTGGGGTGGACCTCCAGCAAACTCCAGCAGACCTGCAGCAGAGGGGCCTGACTGTTACAAGAAAAACTAACAAACAGAAAGGAATAACATCAACACCAACAAAAAGGACATCCACACAAAAACCCCATCAGAAGGTCAGCAACATCAAAGACCAAAGGTAGATAAATCCACAAAGATGACAATAAACCAGTAAAAAAGGCTGAAAATTCCAAAAACCAGAAAGCCTTTTCTCCTCCAAAGGATCACAACTCCTCACCAGCAAGGGAACAAAACTGGATGGAGAATGAGTTTGATGAATTGACAGAAGCAGGCTTCAGAAGGTGGGTAATAACAAACTCCTCCAAGCTAAAGGAGCATGTTCTAACCCAATGCAAGGAAGCTAATAAGCTTGAAAAAAGGTTAGAGGAATTGCTAACTAGAATAGCCAGTTTGGATAAGAACATAAATGACCTGATGGAGCTGAAAAACACAGCAAAAGAACTTCGTGAAACATACGCAAGTATCAATAGCTGAAATGATCAAGTGGAAGAAAGGATATCAGAGATTGAAGGTCAACTTACTGAAATAAAGCGTGAAGACAAGATTAGAGAAAAAATAATGAAAAGGAACAAAGCCTCCAGAAAATATGGGACTATGTGAAAAGACCAAACCTACAACTGATTGGAGTCCCTAAAAGTGATAGGGAGAATGAAACCAAGTTAGAAAACACTCTTCAGGATGTTATCCAGCAGAACCTCCCCAAACTAGCAAGGCAAGCCAACATTCAAATTCAGGAAATACAGAGAACACCACAAAGATGATCCTCAAAAAGAGTAACCCCAAGACACATAATTGTCAGATTCACCAAGGTTGAAATGAAGGAAAAAATGTTAAGGGCAGCCAGAGAGAAAGGTGGGGTGATCCACAACGGGAAGTCCATCAGACCAGCAGTGAATCTCTCTGCAGAAACCCTACAAGCCAGAAGAGTGGGGGCCAATATTCAACATTCTTAAAGAAAAGAATTTTCAACCCAGATTTTCATATCCAGGCAAACTAAGCTTCATAAGCGAAGGAGAAATAAAATCCTTTACAGGCGAGTAAATCCTGAGAGACTTTTGTCACCACCAAGCCTGCCTTACAAGAGGTCCTGAAGGAAGCACTAAATATGGGAAAGAAAAACCAGTACCAGCCACTGAAAAACATACCAAATTGTAAAGACCATCGACACTAAGAAGAAACTAACGGGCAAAATAACCAGCTAGCATCATAATGACAGGATAAAATTCACACATAACAATATTAACCTTAAATGTAAACGGGCTAAACGCCCCAATTAAAAGACACAGACTGCCAATTGGATAAAGAGTCAAGACCCATCGGTGTGCTGTATTCAGGAGACTCATCTCATGTGCAAAGACACACATAGGCTCAAAATAAAGGGATGGAGGAATATTTACCAAGCAAATGGAAAGAAAAAAAGAAAAAAAAAAACCAGGGGTTGCAATCCTAGTCTCTGATAAAATAGACTTTAAGCCAACAAAGAACAAAAAAGACAAAGAAGGCCATTACATAATTGTAAAGGGATCAATTCAACAAGAACAGCTATCCTAAATATATATGAACCCAATACAGGAGCACCAAGATTCATAAAGCAAGTTTTTAGGGACCCACAAAAAGACTTAGACTCCCACACAAAATTAGTGGGAGACTTTAACACCCCGCTATCAATATAAGACAGATCAACGAGACAGAACATTAACAAGGATATTCAGGACTTGAACTCAGCTCAACCAAGCAGACCTAATAGACATCAACAGAATC
Organism: Homo sapiens; assembly: GCF_000001405.40. Taxonomy (NCBI): domain Eukaryota; kingdom Metazoa; phylum Chordata; class Mammalia; order Primates; family Hominidae; genus Homo; species Homo sapiens. The sequence continues at coordinate 24,201,174 of NC_000006.12, forward strand.
CACCACCCCAAATCAACAGAATATACATTCTTCTCAGCACCACATCACACTTATTCTAAAATTGACCACTTAATTGGAAGTAAAACACTCCTCAGCAAATGCAAAATAATGGAAATCATAATCAACAGTCTCTCACACCATAGTACAATCAAATTAGAACTCAGAATTAAGGAACTCATGAAAAACCACACAAGTACATGGAAACTGAACAACCTGCTCCTGAATGACTACTGGTACATAACGAAATGAAGGCAGAAATAAATAAGCAATTTGAAACCAATGAGAACAAACACACAATGTACCAGAATCTCTGAGACACAGCTAAAGCAGTGTTTAGAGGGAAATTTGTAGCACTAAATGCCCACAGGAGAAAGCAGAAAAGATCTAAAATCTATATCCTAACATCACAATTAAAAGAACTAGAGAAGCAAGAGCAAACAGATTCAAAAGCTAGCAGAAGACAAGAAATAACTAAGATCCAAGCAGAACTGAAGTAGATAGAGACACGAAAAACCCTTCAAAAAATCAATGCATCCAGGAGCTGGTTTTTTGAAAAGATTAACAAAATAGACCACTAGCCAGACTAATAAGAGAGAAGAATCAAATAGATGCAATAAAAATAGATAAAGGGGAGATCACCACTGATCCCACAGAAATACAAATTACCATCAGAGAATACTATGAACACCTCTATGCAAATAAACTAGAAAATCTAGAAGAAATGGATAAATTCATGGACACATACACCCTCCCAAGACTAAACCAGGAAGCCAAATCCCTGAATAGACCGATGATAAATTCTGAAATTGAGGCAGTAATAGCCTGCCAGCCAAAAAAAAAGCCCAGAACCAGGCAGATTCACAGCTGAATTCTACCAGACATATAAAAAGGAGCTGGTACCATTCCTTCTGAAGCTATTCCAAACAATAGAAAAAGAAGGACTCCTCCCTAATTCATTTTATGAGGCCAGCATCATCCTGATACCAAAACCTGGCAGAGACACAACAGAAGAACATTTCAGGCCAATATACCTGATGAATATTGACACCAAAATCCTCAATAAAATACTGGCAAACCGAATCCAGAAGCACATCAAAAAGCTTATCAGCCACGATCAAGTCGGCTTCATCCCTGGGATGGAAGCCTGGTTCAACATACACAAATCAATAAACGTAATCCATCACATAAACAGAACCAATGACAAAAACCACATGATTATCTCAATAGATGCAGAAAAGGCCTTTGATAAAATTCAACACTCTTTCATGCTAAAAATTCTCAATAAATAAGGTATTGATGGAATATATCTCAAAATAGTAAGAGCTATTTATGACAAACCCACAGCCAATATCATACTGAATGGGCAAAAGCTGGAAGCATTCCCTTTGAAAACTGGCACAGATCAAGGATGCCATCTCTAATCACTCCTATTTAACATAGTATTAGAAGTTCTGGCCAGGGCAATCAGGCAAGAGAAAGAAAGGGTATTCAAATAGAAATAGGAAGAGAGGAAGTCAAATTGTCTGTCTTTGTGGATGACATGATTGTATATCTAGAAAACTCCAAGATCTCAGCCCAAAATCTCCTTAAGCTGATAAGTAACTTCAGCAAAGTCTCAGGATACAAAATCAGTGTGCAAAAATCACAAGCATTCCTATACACCAGTAATAGACAAACAGAGAGCCAAATCATGAGTGAACTCCCATTCACAATTGCTACAAAGAGAATAAAATACCTAGGAATACAACTTACAAGAGATGTGAAGGCCCTCTTCAAGGGGAAGGACAAACCACTGCCCAAGCAAATAAGAGAGGACACAAACAAATGGAAAAACATTCCATTCTTGTGGATAGGAAGAATTGATATTGTGAAAATGGCCATACTGCCCAAAGTAAGGTATAGATTCAATGCTATCCCCATCAAGCTACCATTGACTTTCTTCACAAAATTGGAAAAAACTACTTTAAAGTTCATATGGGACCAAAAAAGAGCCCATATAGCCAAGACAATTCTAAGCAAAAGGAACAAAGCTGGAGGCATCATGCTACCTGACTTCAAACTATACTACAAGGCTACAGTAACCAAAACAGCATGATGCTGGTACCAAAACAGATATATAGACCAACTGAGCAGCACAGAGTTCTCAGAAATAACATCGCACATCTACAACCATCTGATCTTTGACAAACCTGACAAAAACAAGCAATGGGGAAAGGATTCCCTATGTAATAAATGGCGTTGGGAAAACTGGCTAGCCACATGCAGAAAACTGGAACTGGACCCCTTTCTTACATCTTATAGAAAAATTAACTTAAGATGGATTAAAGACTTAAATGTAAGACCTAAAACCATAAAAACCCTAGAAGAAAACCTAGGCAATACCATTCAGGACATAGGCATGGGAAAAGACTTCATATGAATAAAACACCAAAAGCAATGGCAACAAAAGCCGAAATTGACAAATGGGATCTAATTAAACTGAAGAGCTTCTGCACAGCAAAAGAAACTATCATCAGAGTGAACAGGCAACCTACAGAATGGGAGAAGATTTTTGCAATCTATTCATCTGACAGGGCTAATATTCAGAATCTACAAGGAACTTAAAAAAATTTACAAGAAAAAAAACAAACAAACCCATCAAAAAGTGGGCAAAGGATATGAGCAGACACTTCTCAAAAGAAGACACTTATGCAGCCAACAAACATAAGAAAAAACGCTCATCATCACTGGTCATTAGAAAAATGTAAATCAAAACTACAATGCGATACCATCTCATGCCACTTAGAATGGCAATCATTAATAAGTCAGGAGGCAACAGATGCTGGAGAGGATGTGGAGAAATAGCAACACTTTTACACTGTTGGTGGGAGTGTAAATTAGTTCAACATTGTGGAAGACAATGTGGCGATACCTCAAGGATCTAGAGCCAGAAATACCCTTTGACCCAGCAATCTCATTACTGGGTATATACCTGAAGGATAGTAAACCAATCTACTATAAAGACACATGCACACTTATGTGTACTGCAGCGCTATTCACAATAGCAAAGACTTGGAACCAACCCAAATGCCCATCAATGATAGACTGGATAAAGAAAATATGGAACATATACACCACGGAATACTATGCAGCCATAAAAAAGGATGTGTTCGTGTCTTTTGCAGGGACATGAATGAAGCTGGAAACCATCATTCTCAGCAAACTAACACAGGAACAGAAAACCAAACACTACACATTCTCACTCATAAGTGGGAGCTGAACAATGAAAACACATGGACACAGAGAGGTGAACATCATACACTGGGGCCTGTCAGGGTTTGGGGAGCTAGGGGAGGGACAGCATTAGGAGAAATGCCTAATGTAAATGATGGGTTGATGAGTGCAGCAAACCACCATGGCACCTCTGTAACAAACCTGCACGTTCTGCACATGTATGCCAGAACTTAAAGTATAATTTTTTAAAAATGCTTTTCTAAGTGGGTAAGTACTTTTATTCCAGATGAAAATCCCAAACCAATACTCTTTTTTATATCAAACTTTATCACTTTATCTCATACCTAATCCCATCCCATCTTGCTCTTCAATGCTCTTTATTAAGGAAATACCATTTGCTGTTATTTAAAAAGACTTGGTCTAAATGGCTATTCTTCACAGGAATACTAGGAGAAAGAATGGTGTTTTGTTATGTTTTTAAGGTTGATCAGCCACATAGTACCTTAGAGGGTTTAATTCATACAGGTATAGGAACAATTTGTAGGAGATAACACAAAACTTGGAAAAAAAACACTATAATTGTCTTACACATATTTTTTAAGGCATGGAGATTACCTGATCGACTGGAACCTCAACCTGAGTATCTTCATCTTCTTGGACTTCTGCTGCCCCCCGTGTTTCAGACCTCTCTGCTCCAGCTTTGAAAATGCCTTCATCTATTGAGACAAACACACAGTGAAAATCAAAATCCAATTGTGACATCGTGTGGCTGAATGCTGGAATTACAATCAAATGCTTATTTTTAATAGACATTTGGATTCCCTTTTTAGTTGATAGTATTTTTGTGCACCCCCTCCTCCGACCACCACACCACCCCCAGTTGTTCCACATTTTCATTGAGAAAACATTCAGTGGTCAAAACAAGGCTGACCCAGCAGGGTAAAGTTCTGTCGAAGCTCCTGTTCACCCTTTGGCTACTGATTTACTAACATAGCCCTTTGTACAGGCATTGAGATGAGAAGAAATTCACAAGTATCATCCCAGTTCTCCCCTCCTATTCACAAAACAGTGAAAATGCTTGCTGCTTTAAAATACTACTTTTAGAAATTTACCTTTCCCAAGAGAATGCTATGCATTCAATATAACGTATTGGAATAATTCTCTCTATTCAGAGTATTATAAAAAATGTTTTTACTGCAGCCAAATCATAGAGTTGACTTTCCATATCTCACCAAAAAATCAGTATCATTTATTCTGCAGATCTCCACAAGATTTTCACAACCTATGACTTTAAATCCTTAACTATCAAATGTAAACTCAATCTCTGACTTTAGGTTAAGCTCCTTCAACTTGCTTTCCTCTGGAAAGCAATAATAGCTGTTTTTCATATTTGAAGTAGTTTTAATGTCTCCCCTCAGCCTTCTCTTCTTCAGGCCAAGTAATCAAAGAATTGCAGAACCATTTGTCATTCTGTCCATCTACTTGCCTCAAGACAGGTTTAGTGCTTTGGCCATTCTCACAGATGTTTTCTCTGTCCAATTTTTAAGGCTCTCCAGGGATGGCGATTTTACCTCCTTCTCTGGTAATCTATTACAATATTTGATTACCCCTACAGTCTAGAAAATATATTTTTATCTTTTGCCTTAAAACCCCCTTTATTTCTCTAATGGAAGCTTATTTCCCAGAGCATAATTATTTAACCTATTTTATCTAATAATCTTTCGTATTGCTAAAGCTATGAAGTCACTCTTAATTAAATGTAAAATATATTTTTACACTTGTTGAGGACCAATTATATGCAAGGCAGGATGTGAACCCAGGAGACAGCCTAAGATATGAATGAAATGTGGACTGTTCTCTCAAGTTGCTTCCAGTCCAATGAGGAGACAGAGATAAACATACTTCCAATAAGGTGAATGATGAGGAAGGGCAATAGCAGAGTATTATGGAAGCTGAAAATATACAGCCCAGTGAGGAAGGAATGAAGGAAAGAAGGAAGGAAGGAAACAGGAAGGGAGGAAAAGAGTGAAGAAAAATAGGTATGTTTGACATTCATTTCTACCTTCTGAAATTACCTTGAAAAACAACCATCATAGTCAGATGCTAAACTCAGTAGACTACAGTTATGACCTATGCACATGACTTTTTGGATGACATTTTGTGTCCAAATGTTGCACTTGCTTACTAAGAGACTACAAAGGCAGGCCTATAGATACAAAAGGAATACAGTCTTAATACTCACATTCAATGAAATGTTTAACTGTATCCAAGCGGAGCTACGAATGGTTTGCAGATGTGTTTTAGAATAAGCATTTTACCAGAAAAGAAGAATACAATCGATAACAACAAATAAAATAAAATTGAAAGGGCACTGGAATGGAAAATGACAACCATAAGGATATAAACAGCAAAGAGACAAATCAGCAAAGCTCAACGCTGTGCACAGTGACACAAAGAGAATATAAATACTTTTTTTAAATGGTTGCCTCAGGTGTGGAGGGAGGATGTGTTTATCAGTGAACCAAAATGTTTAAGCCATTGCCATTAACAGCACAGAGCAAGAAATGAAGATCAGAAAGGAATTCATAAGAATAAACAGTGATCAAAAAAAGGCAGAACAGCTAGAAAGGCCTTTGTGATAGGCCTACTAGAATTTTCATTTTTACCATAAACATTATATAAAATTAAAGGCAGAATATTAATTTTTCGAGAAAACTATTTTAAATAGTATTTTTGATTATAAATTGTTTATATGCATTTTAGAAAACTTGGAAGGTGAAAAAATAAATATGTTTAATCTCATGACCCAGAGACAGCCATCACTAATATTTTGACAATTCTTTCCTTCCCTCCCTCACTCCATCTATCTTTCTCTCTCTCTCTCTCTCTCTCTCTCTCTCTCAGACACACACACACACACAGACACATGCACTCGTAAAACTGGGATCTTATTGTACATATAATTTTTAAAATCATTTCTTTAAAACCATATCATGAGCATTTCTCATGTCACTAAATGTTACTTGAAAACATAATAAATAGCTGCATGTTGCAGTACCATGCTTTAATTAATGGACAATAATGAATAGTGCAAAATAGGAATTTTTAATGAATAGATACTATTCATCTGATTGATGGGTAAATATGCACTAAGATCTACTGCATAATAGTCACTCTGGAAAATATGAAAGCGCTGCTGGTGAGGGTTTTGTATCCCATGGAGACCATCACAGAGACATGCGATGTTTACTCTTCCACATTCATACCCTGTAGCTCCTTTCCTATCTTAGGAGTTTGTTTTCCAAGAATAAGCATGGTGCACTGCAAAGAGTAAGTCCTCAGTTAATATTTATTAGATGTAAGACAAAAGACAAGCCCCGGTTTAATCTCTTTCTCACACGTTGATTCCCCTCCTGCTGTATACACCCCCTACACCCACGTGTCCTCACCCACCCTGCTCAGTATTAAATTCTCTCTTCCAAAATTATCTCATGGGCATCCTGATTTTGATACAATTAATTCAAAAGAATCCTTGGCCTCTTCTTTGAATGCTTCTTCTACTTCATTTTAAAGGAAATCTAACCAACCCTGTATGTCACCATCTGAGTAACTTCAACACCATGTGATGAGCCACTCTACACCCTTAAATACCCTGACTCTTCAACTCCATTGACATCCCCTCAATTTCACCTTGATTTCGATCATTTTCATCAAATGGAGCGATTTCAGTCACAGCCCATGTGCAGTTAGGACCAAAGAACCTGCAGGTCACGGACCCGCTATGCTTTTTCATGTCTCACCCTATGCCTTCCATGTCTAGTTTGCCACTTCTACCCTGTCCCTGGGTGGTGGCCCAACAGCAGACTTACTCATGGCTCAAATCTTACTCAGCTGTCAATGTTTCATGAAAATCTCCTCTGATCTTATCCTGTAACCCCACAACAAAACAGAACCAACAGCTCCCTCCTCTGTGCTACTTTTTTTTTTTTTTTTTTTTTTTTTGAGATGGAGTCTCACTCTGTTGCCCAGGCTGGAGTGCAGTGGCGCAATCTCCGCTCACCGCAAGCTCCGCCTCCCAGGTTCACACCATTCTCCTGCCTCAGCCTCCCAAGTAGCTGGGATTACAGGCATGTGCCACCACACCTGGCTAATTTTGTATTTTTAGTAGAGACAAGCGTTTCTCCATGGTGGTTAGGCTGGTCTCGAACTCCAACCTCAGGTGATCCACCCTCCTCAGCCTCCCAAAGTGCTGGGATTACAGGCATGAGCCACTGTGCTCAGCCCCTCTGCACTACTTTTTCCTCCCACATACTGCGTTTATTCATGATCACACTTACTTTAATCAATTTCTTTTACCAATTCTGCCCCCTTCCCTGCTAGACCACAAGCTCCTTTAGGCATAGACCACAATTTTTGTCCTGTGCCTAGCACAATGTCAGCCTCCTAACAGGTTTTGACATGTTCTTTAAACTGAACTAACAATACAAAGCATTATATAAACACCAAATTTTTGGCATTGTCTGCAAGTATTATTTGTAATACAATCTGTATTCATATACACTTCATCCAGGGCCAAGATCCGTGGGCCAATGTGAGTGTTCAAAAGTAAATTAGGCCTTAAATTAGAAAATTAAAATCATTTGATGCCAAAGAATTGCCAACAAGGCCAAAATACAATGGAAAAGAATCCGAATGATATAATAAGAATATGTTTCCCCTCTGTCGATGCCATCGTAAAAAGCAACTGAAGACACATTTCATGGACAAAGTCAAAGATAAAACATTGAAAATTTAAAACACCTGCTTGCAAGTATAGATTCCATGAGAAATTTCCAAAAGTATTACCCTTTTTATCAAGGGCAACATTATTTGAGCACTTCAAAACCTTACCATATTCCCTTTATTACTACTAATTTAAACTTGCACAGTAAATTTGTGGATTTAGACCATGACAGCGTTATTATGTGCCATGGTTGTCTAGTTATTGCTACAGCAACATCAGCTATTCTACCACGACTCATGAAGGGTGAGTGACAACTAGGGCTGAGGTGTTTTGTCCCCAATGAGACACAGAAGCAGTTTTAGTGTCACTTGGGATTTTCATAAAAACAGGAACTTAGTGTTACTACATACTAATGTCAACAGGTAAGTGATCCTTTTTGCCACACACTGCCCACCTGTGAACTTTTTAGTGTGCCAATAATAGTTCTGCACACATTCAGGAGTTCTGAGTCCCCTTTTACTGAGCATTAGTATAATTTTCAACTGCTCATGAAACGTCTTGAGTTTTAGCAATTTTGCTTCCTCTAAAACTAATTGGGCACAGCAAGTATAATAACAGAATGCCTGTGTATCATATAAAAGTAACTCTTCTCTAGGTAGTAAAAGTGAGCTCTTGGGAAAAGTAATAATGGGATGGCGCATCATCTCAGAATGCAGAGCACCTGGTGCTTAGCTGTCTAGAGTCACGGTCTCATCCTCACCCCCACACTTTCCCCAGCTCTTTCTAATCTATCTTCTATAACAGCACCCCAGAGAGATTATTCTTGTCAAAATTATCAATGACCATCATTACAATATTTATTATCTCATTTACTTGATCTTTTAGCAGCTTTTAATGCAGCAGTATCAGGGTGTGTGTGTGTGTGTGTGTGTGTGTGTGTGTGTGTCTGTCTGTCTGTCTGTCTGCCTGCCTGCCTGTCTGTCTTCACCCTCCTGGTTTTACCAGAAGTTTCTCCTAAGTCTCCTTGGCCAATCCATCCTCCTCTGTTCAACTTCTAAATATTGGCCCACCTCAGAGCTGCATTGTGGATCAGGTTCTCTATCTACACACTTTCTAGATTAATCTCATTTGAGTACCATCAATGTGCCAGTGATTCTCTAATACGTATATTCAGCCTTGACCTCTTTATAGATCCCAAAACATATATATCTATCTAACTGTCTAACTTGACACTTCACCTTGGATGTCCAATAGGCACCTCAACCTTAACATGGTCAAAACACAACTCTGGTTCCCCACCCTAAACTGCTCATCCCCCAGATTCCCCAACCCAGGAAATGGCACCACTTCTCAATCCCAAAATCTGGGAATTATCTTTATTTCCTCCTGGCCTCAGTTTCTATATCCATTCCATTGTCAATCTTCTCAATTCAATCTCCTTTTAAAATGTATCTCAAATATATTCATTTATTTCTATCTCCACTCCCAACTTGGTCTCATCACCATTATCTGTTGGATGGGCTGTTAAAACAGCTTACAAACTAGTGTCCCTCTTCTTCCACTCTTGCTAGCTCATAATCATCCTCCATACAATAGCCAAGTGCTCTTAATAGATCATTTAAAAAGTGTTTAATTCCACAGCTTAGAAACTCTCCAACATTGTTCCATCACATATACAATCCAAGTTCCTTACTATGGCTTACAGAGATGTGATCTGGCACTTAACTCCTCCTCAAACTGCATTTCGTATCTTTTTCCTTGCACATTAAACTCAAGCTCCACTGACCTTCATTCTGTTTCTCACTAGAAAACTCTCTCCTGCCTCATGGCTTTGTTCTTCACAGAGTCTCTGCCTAAAAAGTTCTTTCCCCATTTTCACACCGTCAGCCAGATCTCAGGAAACCCTCCTTGTTCCAATTCCAGTAGCCACTCATTCATTCATAGTGCCCTGGTTTAATTCTCTGCCTTGCACTTACTGTGTTTGTCAGTTTCCACCAAAGTGTAAGCTCCAAGAGATCAGGCAGTTTGTCCGTATTTTTCACTGTTCCATCCCCAGCACTAAAACATATTTGCTGTATTGAAGTAGAATGTAAGGAGCCAACAACTTAGCCACTAGCCCAGTGCATTAATTCTTCATGTTCTTACAGGGTGTTGCCCCAATCTGGCTACACTTGGCAGTATAGCATTTGGATGGAGGGTAGAGAGGAGAACAAAGGGAACTGACGAGAAAGAAGACAGATTGAGGTACAACCTACAAAGGGATCAACAAATTACGTTATTGGTGGTAGGTAGAATAATGCCCCCCACCCCCAAGATGTCCACATCCTGATCGTAAGAAACTGTGAGCATGTTACATGACATGGCAAAGAGGAATTACGGTTGCAGATGGAATTAAGGTTGCTAAGCAGCTGACCTTGAGATGGGAAGAGAATTGTGGCTTATTCATGTGAACTCAATATAATCACAAGGGTCCTTGTGAGTGAAAAAGAGGAAGGAGGCCCAGAGTGGGACTGATACAGTGCAAACAAGACTTGAGCCACCCTTGCTGGCTTTGAAGATGGAAAGGCCACAAGTCAAGGAATGCAGGCAGCCTGTAGAAACTGGAAAAACCATGGACATGAATCCTTGCCTAGAGCCTCCAGAAGGAACACAGACCTGATGACAGCTTGGTTGTAACCCAGTAAGGCCCATTTTGGAATTCTGACCTCCAGAACTGTAAGATAATAAATCTGTGTTGTTTTAAGGCACCATGTTTGCGGTGATTTGTCACAACAGCCATAGGAAAATGATACAACATGTGTCTAGAAATTATGTGCATGAGGAGGGGTCCCCAACTCCCAGGGCCACGGACTGGAAGTGGTCTGTGGCCTGTTAGGAACTGGGCTGTACAGCAGGAGGTGAGCGGCAGGTGAGTGAGAATTGCCACCTGAGCTCCACCCTCCCATCAGATCAGCAGCAGCATTAGATTCTCATAGGAGCACAAACCGTATTGTGAACTGCACATGCAAGGGATCTAGGGTGCACGCTCCTTACGAGAGTCTAACTAATGTCTCATGATCTGAGGTGGAACAGTTTCATCCTGGAACCATCCCCCGACGCCCCTGAATAAACTGCCTTCCACAAAACTGGTCCCTGGTGCAATAAATGTTGGGAAGCGTTCTTCTGGAAAGAACATCTGCAGTGGCCACCACAGATCCACTTTCTGAGTCCTGCAGATACCTGCTGGGCAAAAACAGGCCTTTCAGATACCCTCTGCTCCTCCTGCCAAAAAGACAGTGGTCAGAAAACCCTCCTTTGAGCCTCCTGCCTTTTGTTTTCTTTCCCTAACTGTAAATACTTCTCTTTCTCATTCTCCTACCAGGTGCAAAACACTACCACCAACCCCAGACACCCACACATCTTCCAGAGGAAAGTGATTCTATTTTTTTAAGTCTTACCCTGCCCTAAAAACCTTTGTAGTAAAAGCCATTTGCTAACAAACTAAAAAGCAAGGATAAATTTGATACACAATACTGCTCTCATTCAATTACTACGTGAAGGATCAAATTCAATGCTTGAATGCACACTACACCCAAATTCAGCTCTCATCTTTTTTTCTTTGAACGTGAACAGACATTTTAGTGTATATTACACGGTAAAGCCATAACAAACACTCTAGTAAAAATAAAAGTGCTCCTCAATTATTTTTCACTTATCCCTTATGAATTTTATTGCTTACAAAATGAAAGCAGAGCTGCTGAGGTAGGGAAGTCATATCACCACTGTACTGTTCATAATAAATAGGAATCTGCTTCCCCTACTGAAACATGAAATAAATGCTTTGTGTGTTTTTAGCTTTTCTGCAACTAGGACAGCTGAAATGAAAGCATTTCCTTGTTTCAATTTATCAGTACTTCAGTTTAACAATATTACAATTATTTAACATTCTCAAATTTTAAAAGTTACCCAATAATTAATGATACTTTCAAGTAAAGATAATCAGAATTTAAGCCTACCATTCTTGCTTTCTCACCAAAATTACTAAAAACTATTCTTAAATGGTATCATAATCCATATTTTAATATATTTAGTGTTTGAAACTGATTGAGATTTATGAGGATGAGTAAGAAGAAAACTAATATCATAATGTCCAGTTCTAAATACTTTATAAAAATCTTAGTTATCTATTAACTAGAAGCTCTTTTACTACGATTTATCACTAAGACTGCCTATCATAATAAAAATGTTGAATGAACTTTAAAACAAAGTGTTAATTTTTAAAAGTAGCTCTTTAAAACCAGCATGGTACTGGCAAAAAATGTGGGGAACAAGGAGTTTATGACATTCAATATATAAAATAATATCCTAAGAAGAAAAAAAAGTCAATCCATTTATAAGGCAATACTCTTTATGTGTCACCTCAGTCACCAGAGGCAAAATTAAAATTAAAATTGGTAAGAAGGTGATATAAAAATAATTTTCATTAGCTTAGTCTGATGTGAACTACATTCACATGTGAAATATATTGAATTTTTATACAACTTTTTACAGATATAGATTGTTGTCATCACAGCATCTTGTTGAAAATTAAAGAAAGCATTTCCAGAAAGGTGACCCAGTAGGATAGGGTCTTTATGAAGCTTAGCAAGTAATGAGGTAGAGAGGAAGGGCAGGTTCACATGTAATAACACTTCCTTATGAAAGGGTATTAGCCAACTCTCCTGGGATCCCTGTCACAACTTATATAATACCCCTCTTTGCATCACCTTTCTGGATTAAATATAAAAAAATCATCATAAGGAAGACTGAAAAACTAATCAAATGAGAGCTAATGTTCTGAGTGCCTCTAATTGAATACAATGATACAACCCAAATGTCCAAATTTTTTTAATCACTAATCTTCTCCACATGTCTTATTATGTCCCATCAGCTCAAATGGAAGCTCTTTACAGAAACAAGAATATCACAAGTCATATTTTTCTCTGGCAATTTTTAATAACACATAAAAATAATTTTATCCGCACATTTATATGGGCTAAGTATTCTTAACTGTAGTTTGAAATATTTGGCTTCTTTCTATTCTCCAACTCCCATTTCAGGGTATTAAATCTCATCTGTTATGCAATTGATGTATACATTTGACTATTAACTGTTTGCATAGAATTGATTTTAATCACCACAGTTATTTAACCTTAACTTTAAATAGGTGTAGCAAAATATTCTAAGTGTAGACAGAAAACAAAAGTAGGATTATTATCATTGATTTCCCAGATCACAGGTAATTTTGTTCTTATTCCTACACTTCTGTTATTTTTAGATACAGATATTTCAGATTCTCATGAAAATCAGAAATATTCAGAGTACAAAGAATAAAGCACATTATTTACAATATGTATAATAATGCTTATTTCCTAACCTATATAAATTATGATACAATTTCTAAAGTCTATATCTGATAAGTGGGACTGAAAATAATTAAGTACCTCTGAGTAGGTTTACCTAAACCAACAAGTGTATATATAGCTTTAATTCTTCATTTCTAATTTTGCATCCTTATAAAAATTACACTGCAAATTAGTTTTAGTTCATCAGAATAATTGAATTGTTCCTTTTTCCACCCCAGTGACTTGCAGTTACTTATTTGGCCTAAAATTGACAATTTCTCTTCTTAATTCTGGTTAGTCCAACTTCCTCCAAATGACCTTGTATCAGAAGAGTTAGCCATACTTCTATACGCTAGATTTATCATCATAACAAATGAAGTATCTGCCTGTAACAAAAACACATAGTACTGTTTTAAATTCCTTTAAAATTCTGTGTTCACTACTTCCTTATTATGCAATGTTTACTGAGCTTCCTCATGCTCCCACATGTGCTAGACACCAGCCACAGAAAGATGAACAAGGCACTGACCTCAGGATACGTATTATCTACCGGGGGGTCACATGGAAAAATCAACTGCACAGAATACGCATAGCATGCAAGTCTATGTAAGCTGTTAAGACAGTGCATAAAGTAGGAAAGAAAAAAAATGGGGAGAGGAGAACAAAGAAGGCTGTGAGAGACGGAAGCTACAAATCAAAAGACAAGACAAATTAGTCATTAAGGAGCAAAGGAAGGCACTCTGGACAGAAGAATCAGCATATGCAAAGGCTTGGAGGCATTGCAGGTTGTATTCCAAGAACTGCAGGCAGATCCGTGTGGCTGCAGCAAGGCTGTAGGGATAAGGAGTGGCTGGGTATAAGGCTGTCTGATGTGACCAAGAATTTGAACTTGATCATGAAGATAATGAAGAGCAACTAAGGGACTTTAAGCATGGAGTGGGGTGCATGGGGCTGAGGGAGCGTCCTGGAAACAGAGTTGCCTGGACAGAAGCAGGTGAAGATTCATGACAGGCTGTGTGGAGGGGGAGATCATGGAAAGTGTTATCACCCACAGCCACCTAGGACTGATATTGCTGAGGTGGAGATATCATGGCAGAGTGAGACCAGGCAAGACTGTAGAAAAGAATGCCTGAAACTGGGTCAGACTGAAGCCACCAAAGGCAATACATATTAAAATTGGAGATCAGTGAGGCTGGTAGCCAGGAGATTTCAAAGCAATGAAATGGGAAACAAAGCATGCCATGATGGGTCAGGACGCTCCGAAGCATAGGAGTCTGCATCAGCACCACTCCCGGCTGAGGGGGCGGCACTGCTTGGTGGAATCTCAGCACTGCTCTGCACACCGCAGGTCCTGGATGAAGGCAATGCCAGGATTAACAGAATGCAACAAGAGACATTGAATACTTGTATTGGCAGGACTCCGTGACTGCCAGGATGTGAGAGTTGAGGGAAACAGAAGAGCTGAAGAAGGACTCTCAGGTTTATGGCTTGGTTGTCTACATCGTTAACAGTGTTATTCATCAAGACTGGCCAGACGACAGAAGGAAGGGGATGGGGGTGGTTAGAAAGGAGGTGATGGGGTCTGATTTTGATATATTGGTTTGGGCCTCCTGTTAAGCATACTGATAGAAATGTCCAGCAAGTGGCTAGAAATGTAAGTCTGTTAATTAGAATAAAGTTCCAAGATAAAGATGTAGACTTGGGAACAGTCAGAATACCATTGATAAAGTCATGGGTTTCAGAACTTGGGGTGAAAATAGAAAATGGTTAGGGACAGAGTTCTAGGAAACAACATTTAAGGGATGGGCAGAAGAGAAACTCACAAAGATCGAAAAGAAATAGTAAAAGGTAACAGGAAAAAAAAAAGAGTAGGCTGTCAAGGAAGATGCGGGAAAGTGGAAGTCAACACCAAAGGAATAATCAGTATTAAAGTGTCCCGCCATTTGGGGATCCCCTTGATCTGGTCACCTAAGTAACAGTAATTATAGTACAGTATGAAAATCAGATTACACGGGGTTGTGGTATAAGAAAAGAGGTGAATTAGTGAAGACAAGCAGTACAGACGACTCTTTCAAGATGATTGGCTGTGAAGTAAAGAGAGACCATAGTCTTGTCAACCTAATTCAGAGGCCTGAGGCCATCAAGACAGTCAGGGATGAAAGGGGATTAAATCCCATCTCTTCTGACTCCTGCCTTTATCACAGATGTCAGCACCATAAAGCTTTTGCTAAACCTCTGTCTCTAATGCACAAGCATGTCTCATGAAATGCAAACATTTGTACAGAAATTTAAACAATTCCCATTCACTCATGGCCAAGTTAAACCGATAGAGATCATCTTCATTTGACAATATCAATGTAACCAGAATTGTACTTCATGAATATACCATTCTTGCTATGCAGATATTTATTAGAGTTTGAACCTTAGCTAAAATACCAAAACAAGTTACAACATAGAAATCCATTGCAGGAGGTCAGGGGCTGCGAGGAAGTAGAAGAAAGTGAGAAACCTGCAGAGCAGCACACATCCAGGCAACAAGATACCTTCTACTTGCACGCCTGAATGAAAGCATTCAATTTACTATAATCACTAACAATCATTTCAGACAGAGACATAAAAAACTCCTTAGCTTCAGAAGGCTTCCTAAAAATTCATACAAAGAATCTTAAAAAAAAAATAGCCAAAGAGAAATCAGGATTGTGAATTTTCTAAATCTATCTTCAGTTGATAAACCTAAGATAGAAGACTGAAATCATTCTCTAAATATTTACTTCCAAATTATATATAAATATATACTTAAAGGATTAAATACCTAGCTCAAATATGAAAATCAAAATGGACTGGATATGTGTTTTCAAAAGTTATTGATCCCAATTATTACCGAGTAACATCTCTAATAATCCAAGGCTCCAACATTCACTTTCAACTACTACCAATAATATGTTTCTACTATAAGTATAAAGCAAGTATCAACCACTTTCAAAGCCAATCTAACTCTCAGACAAGTGCTAGTGATTCTGTAAACTGTGGTTCTCACTCAAGGTAAAGTGGTTTACGGTGTAAATGTGCAAATCAGTGCAAATCAGTCATCCTGAATAAAGGGATTGGATTTTTTTCACCTAATCTAAATTGGCACAGGTAATAGGCCTGAATTGCTCATTAAATCTGAGTGAGGGTGTTTTCAATTTAACTGTTCTAGAATTTTACAGATTAATGTGCTTTGACTTGCTTTAAACAAAGTGAGATCTCTTGAATCTTAGCATTTAAGGTGTTTATATTTGCTCCATAGTAATGTTTGAAGAGGATGATAAATTTTTATCAGAGTCGATACCTTGCTCAAGATATAATAACTTTAACTGGTGGTTAATCTTCCATCTTAACATAAAATAGAAGTTATAATGTACTCAGTTTAGCATATCTGTTCTGACTATGCATAAAGTCTGCAATTCAAGGAACTGCTGCCAATAAAAGGCAGATAAAAACAAATTTTCCGTAAGATACATTTCCCTGCAATATCTATCATGTTCCAAATTTTATTTAAACAGCCTAACATAAGCCCTTTTAAGCAATTCTATTGGACTCCATTTTAAGATGATGACCTAACACAAATATGCCTATATCAGCAATTGACACAAACACAACTTTTGTACTCAGATACAAAATGACTATATGTTAATTTAGTGCCCAATTTGAGAGAATCAAACATGAAATATCAAATCAATGGGAAAAGAGATCTCAGTAGCCTCAATTAATGATAGGAAATATTCAAATGAGCCATAAAATAGTACTATTTATTACAAAATTATCAAGGAAGAAGATTCAAAATAGATCAAAACAAACCAGCCAGCATTTTTTTCACTTGGATTAAGGTTGCTCCAACAACAGATATTGATTGAGCATCCACCAGATTCTGTGTTCTTTTCATGTCATGACTTGTAGATTTGTTCTCTATCTATAATAAAAATGTATGTATGCTGTATTTTAGAAAAGATAAAATACATACCATTTTATCTGTCAGTTTTGTTTTGCTTTTTTTCTGATACAGGGTCTCACTCTGTCACCAGGGCTTGAGTGCAGTGGCACAGTCATAGCTCACTGCAGTCTTGACCTCCTGCCTCCATCCTCCCACCTCAGCCTCCTGAATAGCTGGGACTACGGGCATGCATCATCACACCTGACTAATTTCTTTTGCTTTTTGTAGAGATGAGGTCTCCCTACATTGCCCAGGCTGGTCCTGAACTCCTGGGCTCGAGTAATCTGCTTACCTCAACCTCCCAAAGTGCCGGGATTAAGGCCTGAGCTACTGCATCCGGCCTATTTTAAAAATAAATAAAAATAAACCTTTGGGGAAAAAAAGAAAAGATAGAAAATATTCCTCTCAAGCATTTTAACCTATGATTGGGGTTCATCAAATAATTTCATTTGAAAAGGAATAATTCTGGCTTCTTAAGTTCAACAGATGGTATCTTCCAGATATCCTTGCTTCTTTCTTAACTGATAACTATGAAATACTAATGATCTACTTGTTTTAATCTGGGAGGAGGAACAGAAATAAAAGTAGTCTTTTATTGGATTTCTTATTGAACTATAATTTTTAAAATATTTCCATTGTATTAAGTGCAGTTGAATTAACTTTTATTTTGTTGTTATATTTTATATACTTCCAGACACAAGAAAACGCAGATGTTGGTAAACTTAAGAAAATATCTGTTTTAGGATAAGTGGGAATGCTGATATAGTCAAGAAACATTTTTTTATTCAACATTTACCTACAGCAAGATATAAGTTAATAATGATGATGATGATTAATACTTAGAGGATATTTATTGTATAATGAACACCACTTTAAGCATATTACATGTATTTAATAATTTAGTTCCCATAACAACTTTATGAACTACTAGAACCTGCATTTTACACGAGAAACGGAGATATTTTCAAGTTCACAGGCAGCAAGTGGTAGAAGCAGGACTCTAATACAGCAGCCTGACACACAGTCCATGCGTTTCATGAATTTACCAGTGTTTTCTAATCTGCCAACCATGACCCATTAGTAGATGGTAACATCAGTTTAACGGGGTGCAACTAGTGGGGTTATTTTTAATAAAATAGAAGACAACAGAAAATCAAATGCAGTACCCGGGTTGGCTGTGTGGGTATACGACCTGTGCGGTCACACAGGGCCCTGCTCTGAAGGGCCCTACCCATTGATTTAATGCTCCACTATCACCAACCACGTTAAAATTCTTAATCATTTTATCCTTGAACTTGTGTGCTTTGTAAGTGAAGTTCAATGAAAAACTGGAGCAGGCTCATGAGAAGACATGGGTGCAATATGTGTGTGTTTGTGGTTACCAAGCAAGCGTGTTAGGTCAGCATCTGAACAAGGGGTGAAGGAGTACAGAGGGTGCTCACAGCCCCTAGAGGCCACACTTTCTATCAAAACCAGAACTTGCTTCCGAGGAGGAAAGGAGACAATGGCATTCTAAGAAATAAAGATGACCAAGGATAATTCTGTCCTGTTCTTTCTTAATTATATCAGCCAACCTCTTACACTGAAAATGACAAAAGAGAAGGAAAGTGAAATATAAGGCTACCCATCGCTCCTTTTCTTCAGTCCTTACTCAACAGTAAGCCTAAGGTAAAGAGGGTTGGTAGAATGTATACCTATCAAGAAGTAAAATAAAAACAGTTGAGTTAGCTTTGTACAGTATTTCCATTCTTCTAATAAGAACAAGATGCATATGCAGGTACAAAATAAGAAATACCAATTGTGTAATTTCATTAATTTCATGCTCTTAAGTTTTGCACTTAAAATTGGCATTGCACAATAAAAATAGTAAAATTAGTATTAATAATGGACATTTTTAATTTTTATTTACTCAGAATGACAGTAAGTAGCAAACAAATTAACAACAACAAAAAAACAAATCCATGACAGGTCAAGAAGCGGAGAAGAAATGGAAAAAGACATATGTAACTACTTTTAGCAGCATTCTTCCCTACTTTTTGAACATGAGGTCCTACATCTTCATTTTGCTCTGGACCCCACAAATTATGCAGTCAGCCCTGGAAGGGTAACTGTCATTTCACAAAATTTTTATTTCATGAAACAAATACAGTATATGTGAGTATTCTGGATCAGGATGTAAATTTTTATCATATTATGTATGGGTCACAGTCAGAAAGCTGAAAAACCACTTCACTACTACATTAGTCTGTTTTCATACTGCTATGAAGAACTGCCTGAGACTAGGTAATTTATAAAGAAGAAAAGAGGTTTAATTTACTCAGAGGTCTGCACAGCTGGGGAGGCCTCAGAAAACTTACAATCACGGCAGAAAGCGAAGGGGAAGCAAGTCACATCTTACATGGCGGCAGGAGAGAGACAGAGAGCAAGAGAGCGAGAGCGAGAGAGTGAGCGAGCGAGCGAGAGAGTGAGCGAGCGAGCGAGAGCACATGCAGGGGAAATGGTCACTTTTAAATGATAAGATCTCATTAGAACTCCCTCACTATCATGAGAACAGCATGCAGGAACTGCCCCTATGATCCACTCACCTCGTGGGGATGACAATTTTAGAAGAGATTTGGGTGGGGACACAGAGCCAAGCCATATCATCCACACTGGAGAAAACAAAAGGGGTACAGACCTTCTCTCTTCATCATCCTAAAGGATAATTCACTTAAGAGGGCACCTTGATTACCTGAGTTTTAGCTCCTTGTTATGTTCTGTGTCATAACTAAACTCCTCTGCCCAACTTCTAAGACCGTCAGAATTTGGCCTCACTTCAGCCTTAACAACACGTCCCACAGCTCTGCAACTAGACCCCTCAACCCCAAAGGGACTCGTGATGTCTGCTCACTTGCCTGTCCTCCTCTTCTCTGTCCCCAGAGCTCCTTCTCACCTCTGCACTCATACAATCTCCTCACAGCCATGTTTTTCCCTTCAAGACACAACGTGATGGCCACCTCCCCAGAAGTCTTCCACATCTCTGAAGTTTTTACACTTATTCTCTGTACCCTAACAGTACCACATGACAGACAATTTAGATGTTGCTACAGAGAGGAGACGACACTGTTTCATATCCACTTCCCCCAAAGCTCTTCACACACAACATGGTCAGGTTACATACAGCACTCCATATGGAGCTAGGACAGGGAAAGCAACCTAGTTTTGTTTTTGTTTTTAGGATGTCTACTACGTGCTAAGTCCTTGCCTCACAATTACCTGTGAAGTGGATATTTTTAGCCTACTTTATGGATAAGGAACTTGAAGTTTAAATAACATGCCTAAGGCGGCATAGGCAGGAAGTGTTTGAGCCAGGGGTAAGGCCCAAGTTTCTCCCTCCATGATGCCTTTTATTACACCCATCGTTATCTACAGAACCTTGGAGGAAGCATCACCACTGTTAAGGCACTCAACTGCTAAGTACACCAACTAGACCAAATCTGAACACATGTTTTAAGAGTCATAGGGGAAAGCTATGTTACTTTGAACTTTTAGGCTGCTTCTGAAGTCATGGATGAGAAGAAGCAAATTCGAAAGTTAAAAATGGAAATAGTAGGTCTGGGTGGAGAGATGGCAGGGGCAAATGAGGGTGAGTAACTTTGAGCTCATCTGGGGAAAAGGTGAGAAAAAGACAAGAGAATATTCTTTACAATAAATCACAACTGTAGGGCAGTGTACAAATTAAACTTTGGAGGAACAAGAGAGAAGAGAGCCATTAATTTACAAAGGGAAACTCAGGCATAGAATATAAGGTGTGATGAGTTTGAGTCTAGCGGGCGCCTTGAAGAGACTTTGGAGAAAGAAAAAAGCTTCATGTTTTTTGCTTAATGAAAGAACAGTCAAGAACTTTACCTGTGAGCTTTTCTTTAAAAACTGCAAACTATTATTGAATGTTCTAACCATCTTTTAGGATAATTTTTTTCCAGATGAAGTCAAATTATATTCTTTTTTCCTAACTTAGGGTTTAGCTGTTGGAATCCTTCTGTAAAAGGCATAATTGCCAAAATAACCACAGGTTTAATACCTGATTATATCAGAAATCTCAGTGGAAATAAAAATGTTAATGTGGGATATGGGTATAACATGCACTAATACACAGTATGAGAACATCTGTAACTTTGTTTTTATTCTTAGCTCAAAAGTTAAAAGCAAGGGGTTTAATTTCAGGGTAAAGAAAGTGAAAAACCATCTGTTTTCCTTAGATGTTCCTAAAGCTTATGTATATTATTTCTCGTTAAAAATAAGAACATACTAAAAAGTTGAGCTACAGATATAACAATAGCATATCCATAAGGCAATAGAATACGCTACAATACAAAATAAAAACAAGAATTGAATAACTGTTTAAACAGCGAAGTTACAAAGTTCTATTATTAAAGCCATTATTATTTCCAATCATATTTGCTTATTTGAATATATTTTCCTTTTTTAAGCAGTATATTTCCTTTTTCAGCAAATAGCTGAACTTTTAAGAAAAAAAGACTGATTAAAGTGTATACTCTTATATGGGTATGTGTGTATAAAAAACCTGATTTTCTCCTTTTCAAAAAGTCAGTGGCCAAATGAATTTAGCACACAATAATGAATTCCACAGCTGGGTTTAAATGGAACATGGCAAACCTATATCAGAAAACTTTTGGAAAAAGCTATTAAGATGAAGCTCATAATATCATTGAAACTGTGCCTGCCTGAATTGACTTCATTATGAATACAATTCTAAGAATATTCACACAGTCCAATTTTACATTTAAATGTATGACACATTGTTCTTAAGTACATTTTAAGCTGCACATTTTAGAACTAGATGATGAAACCACGTGCAATTTTATGGTGTGGTCACAAAGGACACCTAGGAGAGGCTGACATTTCTGTACACGAGTGAGTGAGGCTAACTCTACGCAAACATGAAGAGCGCTTTGTGGTTCCTGCTTCAAATGGCATCCAGAAAGTCATATTTTGTGTATCGAGCACTCTCTCTCACTTTCCCAGTTTATCTATTTTGTGAGACTCATGCAGGTTGCAACAATTTTACTTTAACTTTGGAAAGGCCTTTGAATTGCTGGAGGTGGTACACTCTAGCAAATGAATAACTGAATAAATGCATAAATGATAGATAATCCCCAAAAGAAAATTCTACATTAAGTAAACAATCCATGTAAATTTTTTTGCATATCCGACTTACCTCTTTGAATTTCTTAGCTTATCAGAATAAGCCATAAATGGCATTGGATAAGGATCATGCCAACCAGTCTTTA
This sequence comes from Homo sapiens, assembly GCF_000001405.40. Classification (NCBI taxonomy): domain Eukaryota; kingdom Metazoa; phylum Chordata; class Mammalia; order Primates; family Hominidae; genus Homo; species Homo sapiens. The sequence goes on from NC_000006.12 coordinate 24,223,737, forward strand.
TAAATTACCATGTGTCTGAGGATCTGCAGCTAACAACAGTTGCCACTTTGGCCAGTGTAACCACCAAAATGGTACTTACAAAGAAAAGTACAATTGATGCAGAGAGCAGATGTCTATGACCATTACATATCTGAAAGGGCTTAACAGTTCAAACTGTTCTTAAACTTCAGTGTGCCGAGCTTTCCCATCAATGGGAAATAAAAGTGAAAGTTTCTATTTCTAATGACCTTGACCTCATCCTTGGTCTTTCTCTTAACACTGAGGATTGTGACAATCTGGATCAACTGCAGATGCCCACCAGGCGCACAGATTCCCGCCAACCCTCTCAAGACAGAAAAAAAAAAGGAAGATTCAGGAAAGTTTTCTCCCTGACAGTCAGAGGTGGTGTAAAACTGGCATCACCAGAGTTCACCGGGAATGGGCTCTCTATCCAGCTTTGCAGTTTATAAACACTTTCATCAGTTCATTCGTTCATTCATTAATTCATTCATTCATCCATTCATTCATTCAGCTGTTCATTCTCTGAGCACCAACTCTGTACCAACCACTGCCACTGCTTCTTAGACTCTAAAGATACAAAGAACCAGAGCCCTGCGCTTCAAAAGGAAATGGCTATGTATGCAACTGGGCACACTATGTGTTCTCATGGTCTAATAGACATCTGCCAGGGGTACAATGGTGCACAGAGGACAGAGCTGTTAAACACCTAAGATGAAGAGCTTACTAATATGATCTGCTCAGTGCTCTTTAACTGAAGCACTTGGTGAGCGTGTGTGTGCATGTGGTGTGTACATGCATGTATATGTACACACACATATGTGGTGTGCACTGGTGCTCAAAACTCAAAACTGGGGTGGCAGAAGCCGGAAGGTAAAAGGCTTTGTAAGCCCCCTCTCAGGAATGTTGCCCAAGGATGAGAGGGAACCACTATGGAAGATGAGCTCACAATGACCTTCAAGCATTCCTTTCTCCAGGAAGCCCACCCTGGCCTCCCAGTCTGCTCTCAGCTACCAGCTCCCTCTTCTGTGATCCCACAGCATGCTGGATCTGCCTCTATCATAGGTAGCACTTACCACCCAGACTATACAGACTGATTAACTCCTCTACGAATGCCCTGACTCACTTAAATTCTAAATATTACTTTAAAAGAGCCTTAAAGAGGAAGTTTTAAGGGAAGGGACCACGTCTTATTCATCTTTATATCCTTAGCATCTAACAGAGTTATGCAACCAATTAAAAACATAATAAATGTGTGGGTGCGTGTTTCCATCAGATTGGTGCTTTAGAAATACTCCTCTCAGAGCCATGTAAGAGCCAGCATAAAGAGCAATGAGAATGAAGAGGTTTAAGTCTACTCCCAAGTCCCCTCCTCCAATTTGGGGGTCCCTCCCATACCCAGATTTTTATAAGTGGTTGCTAGGTCTAAGTCCCAGAAAAAAAATGTGAAATTGCATAACTGCTGTGGGACTCTGGGTGCTTTTTTTAAATTTCAAGAATGGAACTAAAGGTACCATTTCAGTTAGATATACGATGATAATGAAGCTGTCAGAAGTAACTCCTGAGCACCTGCAACATGTTCAACAATTTGTTAGGTGCAATCCATCTAGGAGAAGCAGTAGACACAAATAAACACATCTTCTCCTGACCAGAAAAACATGCAGTTAAACTTGATACACACACACACACACAAATATGTGTGCATATCTGCATATACATACTGAACGTAGATATGAAGATGGATAGAAAGCTCACAAAAGAACACTAAAAACTGAATATTAGCCTGTGACTATAAATCAGTCAACCATGCTCAATGTACTAACCATCTCCCCTTCCTAAGCAGTCCTCAACACCAGGCAGTCAGATTGTTTTAACTCTTCACTTAAATGGTATGAAATTTCTAATGTCAGCAAGCCTATGATTTACTTACATTTTATATATTACATTAAAACAACTCTTAGAAAGTTTTCACACACACACAGACACACACAAATATAATGTCCTGAGACTATAGCTCTTTGATAGGTCTGAAATTATTTTTTGTTTTTTAATTTGACTACCTAATTCAGCCTAAATGAATTATTCCCAAAAAATCATAGCAACTGATTTATTTTAAAAATCATGTGCTTCCATTAATATCAGAACAGTAAAAACAGTCAGCATATTATAACAAAATCTAATACAGCAATTATTCACTACTACACACCATTGTGAACCATTTACATCTAATATTTTAGCCTACAAGTCTGTCTCCTACCACTTTCTCTTGCTTGCGTCCTTATCAAAAATCAGTCAGCAAATATTTATTCCTTACTATATGTGTGATCAGCATTATGTAAGGATAAAAGATGTCTAAAACATAATACTTGCCCACAGTGGATTTATATTTTAATCGGAAATAAACATCCATTGATTCATAAACTTCCACAGAAACCTATGCCTCAAATCTCCAAGATTCAGGTATTGTGGTAACATTTTGGATGCAAAGATTAACAAAAGACACAGTCCCTGGCCTCAAATAGATCATCTTCCTAATACATAATAATTTACATAATAGATGCCACAATAAAGGTGTGTACAAAGTGCTAATAGTACCATAAGAAAAGAATGATTCTTTCTAAGGGCTCAATGAAGTTTTCCCAGAGAAACTGAAATCTGACCAGGCTCCCACAAGGCTTTCACAAGCTGTGTGGTCACTACTATGGCTGGACCATCCCCTATGTGAGCATGAGGGATGAAAACTGGAGCAGACTATGGCAAGACTTGCATCCAAAAGAGACAGGCTCCACTCTTGTCAACAAGAAGCCACCAAAATTTCTAAGAATGATAGGACTGTGATCCTATCTGTGTTTCAGAACAATAATTTGTGACAGTGTCAAGAATAAATTAAAGGAGAACAAAAGTGGAGGCAGACAACCCCTTAAGCAGGAATGCTCATGGGCAGAGAGAATATGATCTAGGGTAATGGCAGCAGAGTCAAGAGGTGGAAACTGATTCCACAGCTATGTTGGAAATAGACCGAACAGTATCCTGTGGGAGGTAGCAAGGAAGAAACACAAGCCAAAAGGTGACTCCGAGGTTTCTCACTTAGGCATCTGAGTAGAATATACAGGGAAGATATAATTAACAATGATCCACAAAGAATGAATTTGATTTAAAATCTCTTAAGTTTGAAAATCCTGTGACATCAGTTCACATACTCGGGAGGCAGCCAGGATGTCAGAGTAGTGTTCTGGGAGATTTGGAGTGTAGAGATACCGAAGAGAAACTGCTTGTGATATAAATCTTAGAACATGACACAAAGATACACAGAGAAGGGGATTGATCTTTCTTCTCCGACTGAGAAAGAACAAAAAGATGGAAAAGCAGCAGACGGGAGTATGACAAAAACTAAAGGAAGGGCATTTGAGAAGATGGCAGTGTACCCACAAAATATCAGCATCATGTACTGAGTTAATTAGGCATTAAATAACAGAGGTGCCTTTTTGAGAACTTCTGGATGAGATGCCAGTTTTGTGACTCAGTAAGTAAATGTGAAAGGTTAAGATCAGAGAGGGTGAAAATTACAAAGTCTTCCCAGGGAATTTGTACTCCCACTGGGCCCTTCTATGTGGTCTGTAGAAAAGAGAGATGGGAGAACAGGACATTCCAGGTAGGAATTAGAAATAAGAACAAACCACTGAAGAAGCAGGGATTATCAAGAAATCTAACTAAAGAGACCCATCTTCTGAGATGAATGTTGAGGAATGAGAGACGAAGCCAGACCCGTCAAAAGAGTTACACTGTGGAGCACCCTGAGGGTTAATCAGAGACCCTGGACAGATCTGAGACAGGCCATAGCCATGCCCACAGGTCCTATCTGCCAGGTGTTCCCTGCTCCTAGAAATAACCGACCACAGCAGCCCCAAATTATTCCTGGCAACTCTTTCCACACTAGCCCCTGAACTGCTAACTGGCTGGGAATGACAGAATCCACCTGCTGGTTTTGCTAGCAGCACATGATGCAAACAACAACCGTCTGCCCGTTTATCAGCTGACCCTGCCTGACCAATATTCACAATGACTGTCTCCCGATTAATCTGGTAAACAGAAGGGGGCAGGTCAAAGATGTCCAGGGGCTTACCTCTCAGAACATTCCAATTAACCTATCAGGACAGGAAGGAAGAGATTAAAGACCTAACTTTCTCACTGCTTTCAAGTTGCTGGAAGATGGTGATTCTCCTACTTGCTGGTTCTATCTTAAAAGCCTGCCACCTCCTTCCTTCTCTTCTGCAGTTTGTGCAAAATTACTCTTGTTTTAATTCATAGGTGGAAAGTTGGCAAGCTTCAATAATTTTCTTTCACAATTTCTACCAAACACACATAGCAGCAGATGAGGTGTGAATTATCAGTATCTTAAATAACTGAAGCTAATGAACAAAAAGAGTTTAGCTCTTAAACAATTAGGTATAAATCAGCTCTGGCTTCTTTTTGGAATCTGGAAGGCTCTTCTTACTGCAGACAAGAGCAAAAGGTTACAGCAAATTTGTAGAAATGTCTGCACCCAGCTTGCAGAAATTTACTCATTGGTTTTTTAAATGAAGGCACTGTTTACAGCATTAATTGGAGATTTTAAGCAGCAGGTGGTAGGATTTCATTTTATTTTGTAAAGTTAAGTCTAACGGTTGTCAAATGGCCTGGGTCGAAGTGAATTATTTTGAGTTTTTTCTCAAGCTCTCTGAAATGAAGCTTTTACTGCCTGCCAAGTAATGGCCTTCTTTTGCCATGTAAATGTGGGATCAATCTAGTTTTAAACAGAAAGATTTTTCTAATGCATTTTTGGTATTTTTCAAGCTGTGATACAGCTGATAGGAGTTCTGATAAAATGTGAATTACAGGAAATTCATATTTATAAGCATTTCCAAGTCATTTTAGAGCAGTGACTTTTAAACATCTGCTAATGAAGAATCCTGAAAGCAGCACTGTGTACTAACTTCGAATATTTCCTACCTCTGTTTCTTTCCTTAACCCAGGCTCTGATGGAATAATCACATCTTGGGTCTTGCCATCCTGAGTCTGGTTTTGTGAGCTCGTGGTCACTGTCCACAAAGAGGATGTGACTCAGAGTGGAGAGGAGAGGTGGGAGTCATAGGTCATAATCTCTTGAGGGGGCTGGTTGCCTAGTAGTTCTAGTTCTGTTGTGGCCACTGCTAGATTTCACAATCATACACTTCTGAAGTGCTTTCTGGTTCTGTTTTTGGCTTTTAATTTTCCCCCAAAGAATACCAGAAATCATAGCACTGCTAAGTAGATGCGTTGTGAAAACATATAGACAGGTCTCCCCTTGCTCTTTCTGTATTGGTTTCCTACAGCTACTGTTATAAGTTACCACAGACTTGGTGGCTGAAAACAACACACATTTATTGTCTTACAGTTCTGGAGGCCAGAGTCTGAGGCACATCTCACTGGGCTAAAATCAAGGTGTTGGCAGGACTATGTTCCTTCTGGAGGCTCTAGGGCAGAATCTGTGACCTTGTCTTTTCCTGTTGTAGAAGCCATCTTCACTCCTTGGCTCATGGCCCCCATCCATCCTTAGAGCCGGCCATGGCTCGTGGTCGAGTCTTTTTTACATTATCTCTCTGCTTCTAACTCTTCTACCTCCCTGTCTCACATTTAAAGGACCTTATGATTACATTGGACCCACCACAGTAATTCAGGATCATCTCCCTATTCCAAGGTCAGCTGATTAGCAACCTTAATTCCCCCTTGCCGTGTAACATTTATCCACAGATCCTGGTTTGAGTGAGAATCTTTGGGGGCCGTTATTTTGCTTGCCACATTCCCATGAAATCTTTCAGGAAAAAAAATGCAAAAAATTTTCATGGTAGACATTATCAAAGTAAACTAGCCAGTCAAATAGAAAAGCTGATTTCATCTGAGGGAGCTGCCCCTTCAGAATGCTCAAATTCTAATGACTTTTTAAAAATCCTCAACACTTATGATCCTGTCTTCACTGAGCCCATAAATGGAGATACACTGTAAATGTTTATGCTTACATTATTTTATACTCACTTCCTTCAGCACCAAACAACAGGAAGGATGAGTTCCATGTCCACACTTAGATCTGACTGATCTCAGGAGTGTAGAAGTCAGAGGGTGCCTATCCCAAACTCCCACCACTGGCCCCACCACTTCCCCTTTGAGAGACCCATGGTTTGGCCACTGGCTTCCTTCTGACCCACCCAGCCTGCTCTTGGCCACACAGTCCTTCCCCGGACCACAAAATGTCCAGAAATCCTCTTCCAACCTCTAAGTCCCAAAAGTAAACAGCTCTTGCCAGAGTTTTCTAAGGGATTTTACCATTAGGAAAACTTAAAACATAAAGTTTTTAAAAATCTTATTTTAATTCAACAATGTTTACTGAGCATCATGTTAAAGACACTTTTCTAAGCACTGGGAATGCAGAAGTGAACAAAACAAGCCAAAATCACTGGTCTCATATGACTTACATTTGGGAAGGAGGCGGCCAATGGAGAGTGACAAGGAACAGGATTATTATCATGTAAGTGCCATGAAGTGCTAGAAAGAGGGTCTAATTCTCAATACAGTAGTAATTGAAAACAACAACCCTTAAATAAAGACTCGAGAGCCAGGTGTGGTGGCTCAAGCCTATAATCCCAGCATTTTGGGAGGCTGAGGTGGGTGAATCACTTGAGCGCAGGAGTTCAAGACCAGCCTGGGCAACACAGTGAGACCCCGCCACTACAAAAAAATAAATATAATTAGCTGAGTGTGGTGGCGCACACCTCTGGTCCCAGCTACTTGATAGGCTGAGGTGCAAGGATTGCTTGAGCCCGGGAGTTCGAGGCTGCAGTGAGCTAGGATTGTGCCACTGTACTCCAGCCTGGGCAATAAAGCAATACTCTGTCTCAAAACAAAACAAAACAAAACATAACAAAAACTCGAAAAGCTTGAGGATTGGATATCAGAGGGGAGACTGTTCCAGACAGAGGGAATGCCAGTGCAAAGGCCCTGAGGTAGAAGCAAACACAGAAAAATTACTAAGTATTAGGGATTTATAGCTTTTTCACTAAAAGAACTAGTCCTGGAATTCATTTAAATGCAAAAGTACTAGCTCCTTATCCTTTTAAAAATTATCTTCTACCACTATCTTCATTTTCTGTCTTAAGGCTCTACCTAGCCCATTTAAATCACCAAAGAGTCTGCATAGGCCATGCTCCACTCAATAACAATAAGGGACAAAGCAGAGTCCTAAGAGAAACTGGAAAGAGTCACTACTGAAGGGCAAAAATGCACAGAAAAGGAGGCTTATGGAAGGCCCACGTTGTCTGCCCCATGGCCTGCCTTCCATCCAGGCAGAATTCCAAATGCAGAAATGGGAGCGATGAGAAGAGATGTTGCTGGGTGCCAGGTCCCTTTCCTCCCACATTCCCTTCTCAGCATCGCTGTTGTCAGACCTTTCCTTATTTCTGCATCTATGTCCAGGTTTGCTGTGTGTCTCCCTCAGGAGAATGTTCACGCCCTGAGAGCAAAGATCTTGCCTGACCTGCTCACCCCCATCACCAAGAGGACTCTGGCCCCATCTAGGCCCTGGGTACCATTATATGCAGGATGTGCTTTCTGAGACCCAGGCCAGGAGCTCTGGTTGCAGGAGACCCATGAAGAAGGAAAAGGTATCAGGCCAGAAGCTGACTCTTTCTCTGGAAAAATTACTGCACTTTCTACATATAACAAGTTTGCTTTTAAAAGGATATACACCTGTTTCTGGACACAGTCCTTTCCAGCCAGCTCAGACCTGGGTTGTGTTGGGACAAAGAACAATCCTCCCCTCCCCCATCCTCCACCACTATCACCACGTGCCTGCCTTTTGTCAATACTTAGGAAACCTTTATCTGAAGGGAGTGCTATCCTCTCCTCACTCAAAGGGAAAATGGTGAAGAGGGGGAGGGAAGGAATAGCAGGAGACATTAAAAAAAACAGAACTGTAATTATTTATGTGATGAAAAGGTTGTTCTCAGGATGCTGTGCAGAGACACGATGTGATGGAACTATTCCCATCACATTAATAATAATAATAAAAAGGCCTTCACCTCCCATGACAAGAAGCTGCAAATCTAAATAATTTTATCTTCTCCTCTGAATATTTCCCAGGATACAACAGTAGCTCTCAGGCAGAGAGAAATTATTCACTGAGCACATTAAAATACTCCCTTTCAAAAATGACTTCAAGATAATATTTGTTGCATGACTTTAGTAATTTCATATATATATACACACACACACACACACACACACATACACACATACATACATATAACTAAAATGCTCAATTTTGTTGATGGAGTAGTTTAAACTTTATACAGCAATTTAATCGAATATAACAGATATAAAAAGATATATGGTTATGCCATGTCTGAAATATCAGGAATATCCATGCACTCAAGCAATGTTTTTAAAGATTTATTCACATAAAGTGCCATAAAATTGACGTACATCTCAATTAACCAGGCACAGAAATATTTTAACTATAGCATAATAAATACTAGTTCACTAAGTTTTCAAACACCTAAGGAATGAAAGTTTATACATCCCCTACAAACAGAAGGACATTCTCTCGTTTAAATGAGCACACTGCTGTCACTGTGTTTCAGAACTCTGTCTTACTTGCAAGTTCGCAAAGTCAACTCAATCAGCATGTTCAGGCACTAAACAAACTCACCAATACTAAAGTGTAAGCCAGGAGGCCATCAAAATTAATTAGATCATTATATTTTAGAGCCTCAGAGGACTTGAGAAAGTAAATGGTTCAACCCTTTCATTTTACAATTGAGAACAGAATTGTTGAACAATTTGCCCAAGGCATGACTAGACCCATATTTTTCACTTACACCAGCCATGCTCTTTAATTTACAATAGGCTATATCTGGTTGATAGACAAAATATTATTTTGATGGGTTGAACAAGGGAAATCAAATTTATAACATTGCTTTAGTGAACATGGAGCTCTCTATAGCTTGACACAGTGCCTTCCAGAAGGTCAGTGCTCAATAAATAATGGATAAAGGTGAGTGAATGAATTAATGAATGAATGGGGTTCTTGAAAAAAAAAAAATACTTGTTTCATGCTGTACTTCCTTCTGGCCATAGGAAAAGCTAGCCAACTTTCCTTTCCATATCTTCCTAGGAACAACCTGGCAAAAAAAACAACCTGGGTAAAAACATCTTTCCTTTTCTGAAGCATGATAGGCAATGGCCATTTAGGGCAGCACTCAATGGTTTTCCCAAAGCTGAGTTATTTGTTTTCTATGTTTAATATGTTTTCAAGGGGACACAAACTCTGTGAGGTGTCCTATCTGATGACAATGGCGATCAGACTTCATCACAAAGTTCTAATAAAATAGTCTGTCCTCTTCCCAACAATATATAATTTTTAAGTTTAGGTATACTGTTAGGTTCATTTCCAGAATAGTCCTACTGGCTTCACAAATAGCTCAACACAAAATCAAAGGAGGCTCTGTTTCTTGGACTTTTGTCTGATTACAAAATAAATAATCTATACTTCTTACCTGTGGCCTCTATCTATTCATATTATGTGGCGTGGTTACTTTTTATTTGCTTAAATCACTACTGTTTCATCAAAATGCCCAACACTTATCATCTGTACTATTCTTGTTGATACTTTACCCCTTAATGTATTTTAATGTTACCTATTTTGTATACATTATCGTCATCCCCCAATGAGATTATAAATTGCTTAGTGTCAGAAGCAATTTCTTAAAATATCACAGAGTAGTCAATAAATCCATGTTATTTTAACCCAGGTTTAATTGTTTGACGCTACTGGGAAAAAATAGCCATGTAAAAGTGTTCTCCAGTGAGGCAGTTTAATTAGAAATTCACTCTTTTTAAAATTGTCTGTATGCATTTAGGAAAGAACACAGTAATGGAAAGGAGCCAAAAAGAAGTTCAGTTAGAAGCTCTTAATGATGAAATAATTTATATAATTGCTAGTTTGATAGATGAAGAAAACATCAAACATATATAATATTTGCATTTCAACATAATGGCTAGCAGACTCACTAATCTACATATCTTTGTATATAGGATGGTGAAATTTAGTTAGGGAAATGTGATGATTATGTGCATTTAAGTAAGTTCATTCAATGATTATTTTACTCAACAAACATTTACTGAGTATCTACTAAATGCCAGCTTAAATGCAAATTATACCAAAATGAGTGAACTGTGGACCCTGCCTTTAACTAGCTCATGATCTTGTGAGAGATGCACATAAAATGCAGATAGATTATGCACAATGACATAAAGATAAACACTAATAAGCCAGACTTGTAAGGAAGCAGGAGGCCAACTATAGAAGAAGGTTCAAGGAATATCCTAGGGAAAGGTCACACCTAAGCTGACTCTTAAAAACAAGTAAGCTTTGACAAAAAGAAGTTGGTTGGCCGTATGAGGAAGGAGAATTTTAAAGGAGACCATAAAAAAAAAAAAAATCGCACGGGGCACAGAGGAAATTACAAGCCATTGAATGTAGTGAGCGATCAAGCCCAGCTTAGGAAGTGCTGGAAGATGATACAAAAGAGTCAGAACATAAACTTGAGTGCAAAGTTGAAGATAATGGGCTTTGTCCCGTGGGCAACAGGAAGCCAATGGCGGGTTTGCAGCATGTGAACCACACAGTCAGATTTTGTTTGGACAGATAACGTTGGGAACGAGTGCAGAACAAAACTCAGAAGGCAAAGCCCAGAAGAAAGGGCACCTGTTAGGAGGTTATTGCTGCCTGTGGAGAAAAAAAGGAGAACCTAAACAAGGGTGGCGGTAGAGAGGTGGAAATCAGAGAAGTTTCCAAATATTTAGTAAGTAAAATCACAGGACTTGATGAAAAATTGTGAGTATGTACTAAAAGGAAGGGGAACATTAAGATTGTGTCTAGATTTCAGGCATAAGTAGATAATGATATCAAGCGATATAGACAGTTTTAGAGTAGAAGACAGTTTAGTTTTAGGGATGTTGGGTACAAGTCTTTGGACCCCAAAAAATGTACACCACTGTCCAAGTGTCAATTTTAAGAAGGGCCTCTCTCATGGACCCCTATTTATTTCAATAAGCTTATAAAAATAATTAGATACCACATAGATAGCACACTTGCCAAACACCCAGATTATGGGAGGATAGAAATGATAACAAATAAATACTTAATAACAAAATCAAGGCCCAAAATGATCCTGACAAACTGAAATATGGATGAACAAAATTCAATTTAATAGGATAACATGAAAAATTCTGCATTATGGGATAAAAAGATATGATTTGACAGCTGGTCATGCAGAAATAAATGAGAATTTTAGTAGCACTTAATTTAGCTATATTACATCTAAAAACTTGAATTTTACTCATAAGAATGTGTAATACATTTTTAACAACATATCTTTCAGATTGAGGGGGGCCACAGAACACTGAGTTCTCTCAAAATGTTTCAGCAGTCATCACAGTGAATGGGGGAGATAAGACATGGACAGATGGGCCTTATTCCTTGTCCTGCAAACTCCCTGCAAGCAGGAAAGATCCTCTTTTACTTATTATACAAAGTGGACTTTGCATAAAATTTCCTTCAAGGAAAGGGTTCCATAGATGTAAAAGTTCTCAGCAAAATACTAACAAACCAAATCCAGCAGCACATCAAAAGGTTAATTCACCACAATCAAGTAGGCTTTATTCCTGGGATGCAAGTTTGATTCAACATACACAAATCAATAAATATGATGTACCACATAAACAGAATTAAGAACAAAAAACCATATGATCATCTCAATAGATAAAATAAAAGCTTTTGATCAAAATCCAACATCCCTTCATAATAAAAAGTCTCAAAAAACTAGGCATCAAAGAAACATACCTCAAAATAACTAGCGCCATTTATGACAAACCCACAAGCCAACATCATGCTGAACAGACAAAAGCTGGAAGCATTCCCCTTGAGAAATGGAACAAGACAAGCCTGCCCACTCTCACCTCTACAAAAGCACTGTACAAAAATCAGTAGCATTTCTACACACCAATAATGTACAAGCTGAGAGCCAAATCAAGAACATAATCCCATTTACAATAGCCATACGCAAAAATAAAACACCTAAGAATACATATAACCAAGAAGGTGAAAGATTTCTACAAGGAGAACTACACTGCTGAAAGAAATCATAGATGACACAAATGGAAAAACATTCCATGCTCATGAATTAGAAGAGCCAATGTCATTAAAATGGTCACAATGCCCAAAGCAATTTAGACTCAATGCCATTTCTGTCTGACATCATTTTTCATAGAATTAGGAAAAAAAAAATTCTAAAATTCATATGAACCAAAATGGAACCCAAATAGCCAAAGCAATCCTAAGAAAAAGAACAAACCTGAAGGTGTCATACTACCTGACTTCAAACTATACTAAAAGGCTAAAGTAACCCAAACAGCATGGCACTGGTACAAAAACAGACCAATGGAACAGATAGAGAACCCAAAAATAAAGCTGCACACCTATAGCCATCTGATCTTTGACAAAATCAGCAAAAATAAGCAATGGGGAAAGAACTCCCTATTCGACACATGGTGCTGGGAAAGCTGGCTTTTACCATATACAAGAATTAACCCAAAATGATTAAAGATTTAAATGTAAAATCTCAAACTGCAAGAATCCTAGAAGACGACCTAGGAAACAGTATTCTGGACATTGGCCTTGGCAAAGAATTTATGGCTAAATCCTCAAAAGCAATTGAAACATAAACAAAACTTGACAAGTGGGACCTAATTAAACTAAAGAGCTTCTGCACACCAAAGAAACTATCAACAGAGTAAACAGACAAGCTACAGAATAGAATATCTGCAAACTATGCATCCAAATGAAAGCCTAACATCTTGAATTATAAGGAACTTAAATCAACAAGAAAAAAAAACAAACAACCCCATTAAGAAGTGGACAAAAGGCCAAGTGCAGTGGCTCACACCTGTAACCCCAGCACTTTGGGAGGTTGAGGCGGGTGGATCACCTGAGGTCAGGAGTTCAAGACCAGCCTGCCCAATATGGTAAAACCCCATCTCTACTAAAAATATAAAAATTAGCTGGGCATGGTGGCAGGCACCTGTAATCTGGCCACTTGGGGGGCTGAGGCATGAGAATCGCTTGAATCTGGGAGGCGGAGGTTGTAGTGAGCCAAGATTGCACAATTGCACTCCAGCCTGGGCTACAAGAGCAAAGCTCTGACTCAAAAAAAAAAAGAAGAAGTGGACAAAGGACATGAATAGACACTCACCAAAACAAACTATATAAGCAGCCAATATGCATATGAAAAATGCCCATCATCACTAATCATTAGAGAAATGCCATCAAAACCACAATGAGATAACTGTCTCACTCTAGTCAGAATGGCTATCATGAAAAGGTAAAAAAAAAAAATCAGGCCCTAATTGAGAGCAGAGGGTGGAAGGAGGGACAGAATCAGAAAAAAAATACCTGTTGCGTACTATGCTTATTAGCTAGGTGATGAAATAATCTGTACACCAAACCCCCGTGACACTTGGTTTACCTACATAACAAACCTGCACATGTACCCTTAAACCTAAAAGTTATAACTTTAAAAATGCAAAATAAATTGCAAAAACAAAAGTCAAAAAATAACACACGTTGTGAGGTTGTGGAAAAAAGGGAATGTTTATACGCTGTTGGTGGGAATGTAAATTAGTTCAGCAACTTTGGAAAGCAGTTGGGAGATTTCTCAAAGGACTAAAAATAGAACTATAATTGAAACCAGTAATCCCATTACTGGGTAGATAACAAAAGGAAAATAAATCCTTCTATCGAAATGACATATGTACTTGTATGTTCATTGCAGGACTATTCACAATAGCAAAGACATGGAATCAACCTAGGTGTCTATCAATGGTGGATTGGGTAAAGAAAATGTAGTACATATAACCCCTGGAAAACAATGCAGCCATAAAAAAGAATGAAATCATGTCCTCTGCAGCAACATGGATGGAGCTGGAAGCCATTATCCTAAGCAAACTAATACCAAAACAGAAAACCATAAACCACTTATTCTCACATATAAGTGGGAGCTGAACATTGAGTATGCATAGACATAAAGATGGGAACAACAGACACTGAGCACTGTAAGAGAAGAGAAGGAGGGAGGAGAGCAAGGGTTGAAAAACTACCTATTGGGTACTATACTTACTACCCAAGTGATGGTTCAGATGTACCCCAAACCATAGCATCAACACAATATACCCCTGTAATAAACCTGCACATGTGCACCTGAATCTAAAATAAAAGGTTTTTTTTTTTTAAAGAAAGAAGGGAAGGGGAAGGGGAAAGGGAAGGGAGGAAAGGAGGAAGGGATGCAGGGAGGAATGGAGGGAGGAATGGAGGGAGGGAGGGGAGGGGGAGGGGAGGGAGTTCCACTTCTAAAACCACTGATTGTGATCCTGGGGTGTAATCATCCCTGCACAAGTCAAACCACATCTTGGACACTTGTGTTTCATTCCATGCATCTCACATTACTATTATTTTTTGAGATGGAGTCTTGTTCTGTTGCCCAGGCTGGAGTGTGGTGGCACGATCTTGGCTCACTGCAACCTCCGCCTCCCGGGTTCAAGCGATTATCATGCCTCAGCCTCCCAAGTAGCTATAATTACAGGTATGCACCACCATGCCCAGCTAATTTGTATATTTTTAGTAGAGATGGGGTTTCACCATGTTGGCCAGGCTGGTCTCAAACTCCTAACCTCAGGTGATCCGCCCACCTCAGCCTCCCAAAGTGCTGGGATTACAGGTGTGAGCCACTGCACCAGGCCCGAACACCCAAAAGTTTATAGTTAGGCTATAACCAGAAGTCAGGGATCCAGAAATCCTTCTCGCAGAGGAATGACTGAAAGAATCAGGATGTTTTCACTGGAGAAAGACCAAAATGAGCATCAATATCTGTCTTCAAATACCTAAAGGATTATCAGATGGAAGAGACATGTCCTCCACGCAGTTCTGCAGATAGCCCCATCAGGAGCAAAGGGTGAAGATTACAGGGAATAGATTATAGGGCAACACAAGAAGGGGCTGGTTCATTTTCAGAGCAATAGAAAGGGCTGTCCTGTGAGAACATGAGCTGCCTCAAGGTGTGCAAGCAACTCTGCCTACTATAGGAGAGAGTATTAGCTTTAAAAGCTTTGTTGTACAATTCTAGAGTATATGACATGCGTAATCTAACGATATTGTCATTCAGTGCCTTATCTGTGGTAGGTTGCCATACTTCCCAAAATTTATTCATTCAACAAGTGTCAAGCATTCATATCATAACAAGAGTATTTTCAAACATGAATAAGGCATAGTCCTAGCCCTCAAGCACCTCACAGTCCAGTCAGGGAGGCAGATTTGTAACACATTATCAGAGTATGTGTAATAAGTACAATGGAGGCAAAGACAAACTTCGGTATCAACCCAGAGGAAGAACACCAGGAGTGGCATTCCCTTTGGACCAAAAGGAAGAAGGACAGGATACCGTCCTTCTCCTGCTGGACCCAAGGTCCTCATAGAAACACACTTCCTTCTGGCACCATCATCTTATTTTCCATCAAAGGTGGACCACCTAGATCAGAGCCTCTTCTCATTTTACTTTATATATCTGATTCACTCTGTGATAGGCACAAACTGGGATAGTTGACCGGCTCAAAGCCAATTCACTTTCTTCTGGTAACAAGCACTGCCCCTGTAACACCGAGGCAGGCATGTGACCCAGCTAATTAGGAATGATTTCCCTGCCACATTAGGTCCAGGAGTGGGCACATGATATTAAGCTGGATCAGTCAGAATCCTTTCCTGTGATTTTTTTCAATCTAAAGCTAAAAGGGAAAGTTCTCTTTACTCTCATGTTCCCAGGCTAAAAGGAAATAATCCAGGAGCTGCCTACAGCTATGTTCCTCTCAAATGAGGGAAGTTTATATAAATAAAGAAGAATGAAGCCAAGGGTCTAGAAGAATTAGAGCTGGATAATGCAAAAAGAATTTTGTGGGTGTCTGTGTCCCTCATTCGAGTTTTTGACGTCTCTGGCTTTGATCTGGTTTTTGACACTCTTTCTTCAATTCTGTAAATTATCTTTTTCAATATTGAAAATCACTTGGAAGAAAACATACATATAATAATATCATTCTGTAAAACAAAACTTGGAAAATATCACACCAATCCAAGCTGGTGTGAGATGTACAAAGATAAAAGAAATTATATGTTTCCATTTGCTCAACTAAGAGCCAACAAGGAGGCAGGCAATGTAATATAGTTAAAATATATATTAAACTCACATCTAGCATTATCTGTAAGGTTAAAAGTAAATATATTTTGAACACTGAGATTAACCAATTAGAAAATCATAAACAACTAGTGTAGCTACTGACTCTACAATAGGTACCAGCTGAAAATCAGCCCTGATTATTTGTTAGATTAGTTTAATTTACCCTAAAAATTAATTATCATCCTTGAATCCTCGGTGGCTTTAAAGAGGTGCATCAGAAAGGAAGAAGAGGCTGGAGTATTAATTGAACACTGAGTTTATTCCAGTTTTTCTGATTACAAGCATCATGCAATTTATCTCCTGCTAACTGAACTGCAGAGTTTTTCCATGGTGTTTTTAACCTAAAATTGAAATTGGTAGACTATTACAAAACATTTGGTCAACAAGGTAAGAATAGGTCTATTCAGCCATATTGCTTTTCAAAGCTGTTTCCACCAGTTAATTTACTTTATGGGCCTAGGTGGTAGAAAATCATTAATGTTATTATTTTGATTACTAGGCATTTTAGAATACATGATTTACAGACTAGGGGACTAGTCAATTTCAAAATCAAAGTAATACAAAAGGGCTAATCAGTGCTCTGTCATCACAGACTGGATCAATAGTACACATTTAATAGCATCACGCTGTGGTCAGAAACAAGAGGTAGCACACACAGAGAAGTAACAGATAAAGCTGGGTAAGACAGCAAATCAATCCCTTAGATGGCTGAGAGTTTAGGCTATCGTAACACTTCTGCTGCCCAAAAGCAGTGGGGCAACTGCGTTTCAATTAAAAGAATGGGAAGAAAATTGAGTATTATAACAAGATAATGGGCTCCTGGCTTGTGCACAACTATTTGTGTAAAGTCAGAATGTCTGTTCACAAAGTGTCTGATACTGATATCAAGGCAATCAGGAACAATGGAAGTAATTTGTGCAGGCTTCCTCGGGTAAAGTCATTTTTTGTTGGTTGTAGGATTCAAGAATTTGTCATTCCCTGCAGTAGAATACAGGCGGAAGTTTTACCTTTGGCTTATAAAGCCCATGACCTTCAGCCACCTGGGGTTAGATATAGAGCTTCATTACAGCTATGCACAGTGTACTATTAACCTAGGTAAACATGTAAAGGAAAAACAATGGCCTTTGTGTTTTACTCTGTAGTTCTCTACAGGCATTTTCAAAACTGTGACCAAAAAAGCTAGAAAGAATGGTGAGTTTTACACTTTTACATTGCTGCATTTTCTACATGGAGCCTCCAGGAGCACAGGACATTTTACACAAATATATTTCACATAATCACGCACTCCTAAAACATGACTATGTTTCAATATTAGGTCTCTTTTGCATGCCACAGTAAAAGGTCCAATCACTCGTTTTCCTAGTATTGTTACAGGAAGGTTTTAACAAAGAATTAAAAATTAAAATATTTGAAGAGAAAATAAGCAGTGACTCATTTTTTAAATACATATATCCTCTAGAATTTTAAGATCATTTCTAAAGTATTCTCCAACTACACAAAACTCTAGGTTGAAAAAAACCACTATTTTTCCATATTCATGAAAAGTTTACTAGAGAGAATATTCTAATGGCTTTTGGCAGTGTTTTAAAAGACTCACAAAGCATTTAGAGAGTAATCTCAAAAGATCTTATTTAGATAAGCCACCTTCCCCAAAGTCCTTCAAACCTGTGATGGTTTACTGTATGTCTTTCCATATTTTAATTGTTTATCCCTAAAGACAGTAGAATATATGAATAGAATATATGAGTGTACTTCATATTTTACTGGCTTTTCAAATGGAAAATACAATATTCTCAAAAAGAAATCAGGCCAGGTGTCGTGGCTCATGCCTATAATTCCAGCACTTTGGGAGGCTGAGGTGGAAGGATCACTTGAGCCCAGGAATTTGAGACCAGCCTGGGCAACATAGCAAGACCCCATCTCTACCAATTTTTTTTAAAACATTAGCCTGCTGTGGTGGTGCATGCCTGTAGTCCCAGCTACCTAGGAGGCAGAGGCAGGAGAATCACTTGAGCCAGGAAGTTGAGGCTGTCATGAGCTATGATTGCACCACTGCACTCCAGCCTAGGTGACAGAGTAAGACCCTCTCTCAAAAAGTAGTCATAATAAATCATCTAAATAATAAACAATTAATTTACTATTATTTAGTGGCACCTGCATTATCTAAGAAGTAAAATCCAATCTCCCTAGACAGGTCATCAGGGCCCTTTGAGCTCTGTGTTTGGCCCCCTTTGATAGCCTCGTGTTATTTCAGCCCATCGCCTGCACTGACTGGCCAGCCCTCCACTCACCACGCCTGCTCATGCCTCCAGCCTAGGTGCATGTAGGTTCCCTGCCTGAAACATCTTCCCTCTGTCTACCTGGAGAAGGTTTATTTCAGCATTCACTCCACTGGCACCTTCGCTGTGAAGTCTTCCCCCCACCTCTCCGTGTCCTCCCACTCCACCCACCGCCAGCCTCTGTGAGAGTATTTACCACAGCACAGATGCCCATATCTAATTCTTCACAGGAGACTGAGCTTGCCGAGGACAGACTGTCACAGAGCACAGGTATAGGCAGGTAGTCAATAAATGCTGAATGAAGACAGGAAGAAAGATGGTTGGGCATGGTGGCTCACGCCTGTAATTCCAGCACCTTGGGAGGCCAAGACGGGCGGATCACTTCAGGCCAGGAGTTCGAGAACAGCCTGGCCAACATAACAAAACCCCATCTCTACTAGAAATACAAAAATTAGCCAGGCGTGGTGGCATGCACCTGTAATCCCAGCTACATAGGAGGCTGAGGCAGGAGAATTGCTTGAAACCAAGAGGCACAAGTTGCAGTGAGCCGAGATCATGCCGATATGCTCCAGCCTGGGAAACAGAGCAAGATCTCATCTCAAAAAAAAAAAGAAAAGGAAAGAAGACACGAACAAAGGAAAAAAGGAAGGAATATATCCCCCTGAGAAGGCACTGGAGACTGCCAGTCAAGACAGCTTGGGAGTCCACCCTCTGAGGTATTTCATCTGTCCAAACACACCAGTGAGACACAAAACAGAAGAGAAAAATTTAAAGGACACTGCCAGACTCAAACAAGCTAAACCTGTCAGTAATCTAAAGCAGAACAGAGAAACAAAATGGTGATCAGAGCTGAAACCCTGGGCTTACAAACATGTTGTCTGGAAAAGGCAAAGATGCAGGAAACCCCTGACCTGCAGATAACAGAGTCTTACTCTCACATGGGATGGATGCCAAAGTCAGGCTGGACATGAGGTTGCACACCTCTGGACAGTCAGACAGAGCACATTTAATCCAGGCTCTGCCACCTGCTAGCCATGTGATTCTGGGTAAAGTACCACATCTGTCTGTGCCTCATGTGGAAGATGAGGCTAAAAGAGTCTTACCTCATGGGGTCATTAGGACTCAATGATTTAATGTGTTTAAAATGCTCGGAATAACACCTGCCATCTTATGAGTGTTAGCTATTGTTATTATTATTATGGCTCTCATTTTTAATAGAATAACAAAACCCCTCTTACCTATTGCTTCAGGATGGCAGCTTATATGGAGCTGAGAGGCTAGTTTGGAAGGAAGGCCCAGACATGACCTGTGCTCACAAGTTGAATTAAATTGTCCCTGGCTACATGGCTGATTGTGCCAACCTTTGGAAATCCTATAGGGCAGGATCCCCATACTCTGAGCTAAGTGTGGTTCTGGCCTTCAGGATCAGACAAGCAAACAGAGGCAACCCCAAACCACAGGAATGGGAATGGGGGTTGAGTGAACAGGGAAGAGAGATAGGGAGAGAGATGAACAAACATGAGGGTCTACAGATAAAACACATTATGTCTCTTTACCATCTGATCTGCTTCACGATTTTGGTTAATATTTCCTGCTAGTCCCAATGCCTGTTTTTCATTTCAGAATTTAAATCTTCAATGCACATTAATAAGGTTTATTAAGTAGCATCCAGCTAAAGACTACTCACCTCCTAACCAACATACACACTACCACCCAAAAGATCTCTAAACAGACAAGCAGTTTCTGTGTTAGAAGCAAACAGTTGCCATGAACAGAAAATTCTCAATCTAGAAGGTAAAATCCAGAAGACTTCAAAATAAATAGACTATGCAGCGACTCATACTTAAAAATCTACTTCTAAAGGAAAGTTAAGAAATAGTGACCTTCCGGGTTTGCTTCTAACAGTTCAAATGAAAATAGGACTATAAAACGATATGGAACCAAGAAGCCTAATCAAAAGATTTTTCTTCAAAAAAGTATGTGATTCATTTCAAAATACATCAGGGATGGTGGGAAAAGGACAGAAAACGTACCCACTGCAAAATTACCTGAGATGGGTAGAAATCACCCTGACCTTTCAACCACAAGGGAAGCTCACACAGCTGCCTCTGGGGCCTAAGACTCTCCTTCATTTGATCTGGCTGGGTAAATGTCACGGTGTTCAGTGAGAAAAACAAATTCTGCATCTGGAAGGCAAGGGAAGAACTGCCCTTGGGCAAGAACATGCAGTTGGTCTCCACCACCTCCCAGACCTGCTCTCTGTGCTTTCTCCTACTTTTCCTCTCCATTCCCCACCTTAAAGGCCACTGCCCTTTGTCTCCCTCCCCTAGAGCTTGTCAGCTCCCCCGGGGTGCCCAAGCCTGACTTTCCCTGGCAGTGGTCTGTGTTCCACAACATTCTTTCCTCCACGTGAAAACTCTGACAAAATTTCTCAATGCAAATCTTATGTAGCTGAAATGTAAAGTAGCATAATGGATTGAGGTGACACAGACCCTCTCCTGCTACAAATACCCAGAAATGCAAACAAAATGTGAACTCAAGATTTTTATGTGGCTGGACGTGGTGGCTCACATCTGTAATCCCAGCACATTGGGAGGCCGAGGTGGGCACATCACTCAAAGCCAGGAGTTCAAGACCAGCCTGACCAACATGGTGAAACCCTGACTCTCCTAAAAATACAAAAATTAGCTGGGTGTGGTGGTTGCTCCTGTAATCCCAGCTACTCAGGTGGTTGAGGCATGAGAATCACTTGAACCCGGGAGATAGAGGTTGCAGTGAGCTGAGATCATGCCACTGCACTCCAGCCTTGGCGACAGAGGGAAACTCCATCTCAGAAAGTTTTATTCATAGCTGAGCTCAAAAGAAAGGGCAATCTCAGTGCTTCAAGAGGAAATGGACAGAAACTTAGGTTCGAGCGGCTGGGAGCTAGGATTTTAAGGTCCACAAGTGGAGTGTTGGAACCCAGATCCCAGCATAAAACCGGGACCATTCCAGGGGTTCCAAATGCCTGAAAAATGCCAGCTGTCCACTAGACCAGAAAGTAGAAAGAAAGCTTGGCATCTCTCTGGAGTCTTTGAGAAATCAAAACTTCAACCATGTACTGTGAGAAAGGCTGTAAGATCTGTTTATACTAGTCAAGTGGTCAAGAAAACTCCAGCCAAGACATTAACCATAAAACTGGTCCCAAGCCAGAAAGTTCCCATGGCCTCACCTGAAGCAAATGAAAAATACTCTGAAGGGATGTTACCTTACCCTAGACACACAAGACTGTCTTAGCAAAACAAACAAGACTTTCAGTTGAAGATTAGATTTACATATGATGTGCAGACACAACAAAGAGAATTAGCATTTAGAGAACAGTAGAAAGAACAATTTTAAAAGAGATTACTAAAAAGTGCATCAAAATGATTAGAGAGATCAAAGACAACAGAAACAATACTGAAAGAAAACAACAGTATAAACAAAAACTGGCAAATTTGAAAAAGGGTCAACTAGAACTACTAGAAATGAAAAATATTGTCATTGAAATTAAAAATTCAATGGAAGGACTAAATACCAAATGGACAGATTAAATAGCTAATCCCAGCTGTAGAGAATATTATTAGTGATCTGAGAGGATAGATTTTTTATTTATTTTTATTTTTATTTATTTATTTTTTTGAGACAGAGCCTCACTCTGTTGCCCAGGCTGGAGTGCACTGGCACACTGCAACCTCCACCTCCTGGGTTCAAGGGATTACAGGTATAAGCCACCGCGCCCGGCCTGGAGGATACATTTAAGAAAATCACCAAAAGGCAACAGACAAAAGAGATAAAAACAAACAAACAAATAAACATGAGAGATCAAATCCCATCAAGCCGAATTCTGCAAGCTGAATATTTTTCCATAAGATAGGTATAAATCATGAAATGATATACTATGTTTACTCTTCAAGGGTTATTTTTATTTTTAAAAAATGTCTATTATTCCAAATGACTAGATCTTTAGTGGTAAAATTTTAGAGAAAATAAAATAAATTCCCCAATCCATTTAAATTGTACGCCATCTTAGATGGTATTCACTTAATGAACCTCATTGTAAGATCTGTTTTAGATAAAGACAAGTCTTTTTCTTTTTCTTTTTTTTTTTTTTTTTTTTTTTTTGAGATGGAGTCTCGCTCTGTCACCTAGGCTGGAGTTCAGTGGCGTGATCTCAGCTCACTACAACCACTGCCTCCCAGGTTCAAGCGATTCTCCTGCCTCAGCCTCCGGAGTAGCTGGGATTACAGGCGTCAGCCACAACGCCCAGCTACTTTTTGTATTTTTAGTAGAGACAGGGTTTCACCATGTTGGCCAGGTTGGTCTTGAACTCCTGACCTCAGGTGATCTGCCCGCCTCAACCTCCCAAAGTGCTGGGATTACAGGCATGAGCCACCGTGCCTGGCCCTGATAATGACATGTCTTAACTTGGTAAATGGGAAAGACAGAGGGTTGTTGTTTTAATTAACTCTTGTGTTTCTAATATCCACATACGAGCTTCCTCTTGTTTTGCTTCATGAAGCATATATAACTAAGTAAAGAAGAACTGTTGTGAAATGAGTCCCATTTTCTCACTACTTTTCATTGTAAAATCAGAAGTATATACCCACAGAAAAAGGTAACCCCAAAAGAGATGAAAACATCCTGTAAAGCAGTTTGCTAAGACTCAGGCTGGTCTTAACATATATAAAGGGAGACAACTACTGCTATGTTTTGAGGAATCCCCAAAGACCACATGAAAATATCTCCAGCCAGTACCCACCACTTGGAATTCCAGTAAAGTTATCCAATCAAAGGACTGCTTGAGCCCAGGAGTTTGAGGCTGCAGTGTAGCGGTTAAGGTAGTTTGATTTAAGCATCTGGGGACTGAGCTATGATCATGCTACTGCACTTCAGCCTCAGTGATAGAGCAAGACCTTGTTTTCTTGGATATATATATACATATTTAACTATTTTTATATATATATATAAAATCACAGCAAATACCCATAACTTGGGGGAAGACTTAATTAAAAGACATTATTATTTGGAACTTAGTGCAACTGAACTTACTGTAGGCTTTTCAACATGTAATTGTATTGGGAGGGTAAGGAACAAGAAATGGTTTGAGGGCCCTAGTCATCTAGAGATGGAGTACACTGAAGATAGGGTAGGCTAAGAAGGGAAGAACATATTGAGAATAAGAAATACTCCAAACAAACTTTCTGAATAAAACACCATTCAGTCACTCACAGATATATGCCGAGCTCCTTTCAATTCAAATAAGGATTGGTTATATATCTTTATCACGCACATGAAGAAACGTTGAAAGGGGAGCAGTTTGGAATATGGGTATAGCAACAGAGTATGGAGGCAGAGCACTATATTTTGAAACTATGTTTCTTCATAGCTGTGTACTCTTAAAAATGTTCTTGGCCATGTGTGGTGGCTCACGCCTTTAATTCCAGCACTTTGGGAGGCTGAAGCGGGTGGATCACCTGAGGTCAGGAGTTCAAGATCAGCCTGGCCAACATGGTGAAACCCTGTCTCTACTAAAAATACAAAAAATTAGCTGGGTATGGTGGCGGATGCCTGTAATCCCAGCTTCTCAGGAGGCTGAGGCAGGAGAATCACTTGAACACGGGAGGCAGAAGTTGCAGTGAGCCAAGATTGCACCATTGCACTCCAGCCTGGGCAACAAGAACAAAACTCCATCTCAAAAATATTAAAAAACAAAAATAAAAAAAGAATGTTCTAACGTTCTTTAACTGCTCTTCAGCTCAGTTTCTGCATCTGTAGATTGGAATAAAATACCTAAAATTGTTGTGGGCATTAAATGAAAATATGCTGTGAAGTTCTTAGTAGACAGCCACCAACAAATGTAGCCACCATTATTACCACAGGACACCATACGGTGCAGTGCGGGGGAGCAGTTGTTTCAAACACTAACTTCTTCACTTACCAGATCTAGACCTTCACATACAAGTTACATGGTCTGAACCTCTTCAAGCCCCGATTCCTTGTCTGTAAAACTGAGATAGTAGCTGCTTCATGGCACTGTTAAGAAAATTAAATTATACAACATGCACAAAGAACTCAATATACTGCCTGGCACACAGGATGTCCTTAATCAGTGGTAGTATTAGTATTGGTAGTATTAGTATTAGTATCATTAGTATCATTTTGTGGCACAATTTCCTGAAGACCAGTTTTGCTGGCAGGATATACGTGGTTAAGCAAAGGTAAGACCTTTGGAATAGTAAGATACTAAGAGGCGAATTTAATTTGTAATTCCCTCGAGGGCAGAAACATCTGTTTACTACATGCCACGTACTCCACCTGTTAATTGATGACTTACCCAGATGAAAAAATGCACTGACCTACCTCATATAAAACATACAACAAATAAAAATGACTATAAACATTTTCAAAATATTAACTCCTGCATAAATATTAAATTAAAAATGGAGCTCAATAGGGAATCACTAATAAGATGTTTGAAAATATAAAGCATCTGTTTTCACATTATGCCAATTAACCTAATGCCCTTATTCCTTTAAAACCATAACTACCAATTACCAATGCCCCATCCATCCATCCAGTGAGCAGCTTTAGTTTCTTTTTTGCATTTAATAATTTTAGGTATTTGTTTTCTAAATGAAATACCAAGTGTCAGGTGACCATAATTTCCAAGGTTCCTTCTACTTTGATTTCTGTTATTCTTATTTAATATATTAAAACTCTTAAAAATAAGCCGCTCATTCTAAAGTGACTCACTTAATACCTGATGACTCCCTAAACAAAGGAATTAGAGTGAAAGGCTCTGCTTTATAATTCTATTTTAAAAGTTAATGTGAGCTGATTGTTTTTAATACTTCCATAATTAAAAATATACTACAATCATAGCTCTGTGGAGATGGGTTTGACTTGCTGAAACCCATTTAACTAGTATTAATTGCTAAAATTCTATTTGGGAATCTGATAGTTTGAGTCCCATGTAAGAAGACAAGTCTCTATTCACTGATACCTTTTTAAAATTCAATTGAAAAATTCAATACACTTTCTCTTCTAACATTTTAAAATAGCAAAGCCCCAGCTTTGCTCACAGCTGTGCTGCTATGATATACAGTAATGTAGCTTTTGATAATTTCAGAAGTTTCAAGATAAGGCAGCGATGCATTGGTTGCACAAAACGCCTATATTTAGGTTTCTATCTCCTTATACTCTTATGTGTATTTTATCTAAGCCTAATCCAACCGACAGTGTTAAATTAAAAAATAAAAACATTAAGAGATGGGGAGTAAAGACAGATTTAGTTGTAATCATTGTGAATTATTTTGAAAACCACATCTCCTAACAGCATTTCTCAGGAATATCATACCCTCAGCACTGTGTTTGGGGATAGTAGATCCTCTACAAAGCCTTGTCGAGTGAGTGTGGTCCCTCCCTGACTCCATTCCTCTTTATAATAGCCATATTGAAGAAGCAATATTATTTGAGTTGTAAATTTAAAGTTAAAGCTTTTCTTCACTGTTTCAGAAGGGAATCACTGATTGTAGTCTAATAGAATGAAATATATTGCTCACTTTAAGAATGGCTGCCAGGTAGCAATGACTGAACATAGTAATGGACTCATCAATTAGGCACTGACGAGAGCAGTATGAGCTTTCAGCACAATTGCAATTTGAGAGGTTTAATTAGTAGGCTCAAGTCCTTTTTGATTTTTTACCCGGGTCCCGGCAGCCTCCCTCCCCCATCCTCTGATCCTTCTCATCATCTCTCACTGGACTGAGTCAGAGGTAGGCAGTGAGTGGTAGAAGACAATTGGCAAGAGCCTCCAGGCAAGTTGGAATCTATCAAACCAGAGGTGAGTACAAATCGGTAACCTAAAAGCACCAGGCTAAAATCACATGTCAACACCAGGTTGCAGGGCCAAAGGAGAAGAGAATGGGGCCAAAAATAAGCAGAAGGTGGCCTGGGTGCTCCGCCTGTCATAGGCTCTCATCTGTGGCCAGTAATCACGGCTGGCTAAAACAGAGCACTAGGGTGGGCCTGCTGTGCTTAAACGACAAGGATCCTACAGAGGTAAAAATGTTGCAAATGTTATACACTTCTTCCTTATGGCAATGAAAAATATGTTCTGAACATACATATATTCTAAGCATTCAATTTCTAAAAGCATGTTGTCCCTTCTAGTGCTATAAGGCAAAAGTTACTGATGGTAACATTATAATATACACAATCTGCATGCACAAATATATTTATAAAATATGTGAACAATTCTAAAAGACAGACTGCTTTAGAAGAACAGAAATAATACAAATTATTCTGCAAAGTGTCATTTTCCAACTTATATCCTAATCCTTACACCTACCCTATTAATTCAAGAAAAAAAAAACAGAAAATATAAATCATACCCCTAAAGCACTCCTACACCAGGCACCAAAATTACATAGCATGATGATGCAAAATTATGGCACTTTCAAACAGCATTTGAGAGTGTGTCACAAGCGATGAAAAATGTAATTTATTTCTACTGACAGATATTAATTGCTCTGTGTTAGAAAATTTTTGAACCATTACTGATAAGCAAAAATGGTAACATAAACGCCTTGAAAACAACTGCAAGGAAAGAGGTATAGTCTAATCATAAAACCTCCCATAGCATAAGGAAAGGCAATTTCTCAAACAGGACATCTATTATTAAAATTTGTAAATTGTTGCTATGACACAGTAGGAAGAAGCTTAGATGTGAAGTCGCTTCCAGCAGGTCTAAAGTGTTATTAATCTCCAATAGCACTGGCTAATTGGAGTTTAGAATTCTCTCCTGTTTCCTAGCAAATCGCCTTGGTTGAGGCAAAACTGGACAGTTTCAGGGAAACCTTCAAAACAGGAGGATACATGAAGAATAGCTTACTCCTTTAAAAGTGAACCCCAAATGGCGCAAATGAATTTCACTTGCGGTTTGAGAGCTTGCTGTGCTTTTCCTTATTAGTGCCATTATTATTGTTAATCGATTTTGGTCTGTTACTTTAGAGATTATAAGTTTGGACAGCAATGTTAGGTTACCTTGGCTTCCACAGCTGGTATGGCTAGCCCTAATTCCTCACAAACCTCCTGAAATTCTGCTATCTCAGAGAGAACTCTGCGGGAGCCCTTCCATACACCATCTTGACACCTCCTGACACCTGTGCTCTTTTCAGTTGCAAAGTCTGCCTAAGCTAAATCTCACCTCTGCACCATGGCTTCAGCTCTCTGGTCTTGAGCACATTCTGACACCTGTGTCTGAATTCTGCTCTGCCTCCCTGTGTCTCTATTTCTATCCACAGCACTGTTGGTCTCTTAAAAACCTAGGATGGATTTCTTAAGCATTATAAGTAAATCAACTCCCTTCTCCTGATTCTGTATGCATCTGTTATCTTTCTATGCACATTATAATCTCAAATCACATAATTTTTCCAGGATTTTACTGGACTCTTTCCAATTATATTCTGTATACAACCATCAGATAATTTTCCCAAAAATGTTACATTCACCACATCAAATCCCTGTGCACATATTCATCATCTCCAATGCCTTGCCTCTGTAGCTGCAGAATGCTGTCTAAATGTAATAGCTTGGCATTTAAGGCTCCTTATGACCTAGTCCCAGCCTACCTCTATGGACCAGGCCACTACAGCTTTGCACACTAACATCGTCCTCTCCAGCCAAAGTAATTTATGAAATACAAACACAAAGTAGTTAAGCTTTCCTGCCTCTGGATTTTTATTCTGGCAAATTCCCTATTTCCCATCTTTTGATTTCAGACCAAATACCAAGTTCCCTACAAAGCCATTCCAGCCCATAGTGACTGTCCCTTCTTCTACCCTACAACACACATATAGTTCATATTATATACTTCCTTGTACTACTGTTAAATCTGTATATTTAACTATACTATAATTTCCAGCCAGATCACAAGCCCCTTGAGTGAACAATGTCAGGAATTTCTAAAGTCCCACAACATGTGCTAATGAATGCCTGCTGATGGAGCTGATTGGCTCCTTTAACAAATAAGGTCTAAAGGACACAAAGACCATGCTGACCTGCTGAGCAAAGCCACAGAACAAAAGGGAAAAAGGGCGATGATTGAAACCAGAATTTTAAGGGGAAGACAGCCAAATGAAATCATGTGAAAACATGTATGGATCAAAAAGATGCTAGATCAAAAGAGGAAGCTCTGGTAAAAGCAAGCAAGAGGGCAAAGAGATTTAATGAGCAAGAAAGTAGAAAGAGAATGGTGAGGGGAGGATGAGCCTAGAGCCATCTCAAAGCCAAAGTACAAAATCAAAGAAATCTGACCTAATTGACAAATACACTGACACAGCACTCAGCAGTGATAACACAAAAACATTCTTCAAGTACCTCTGGAATTGTTACCAAATTTCACCCTATGCTGAGCCATAATGCAAGTCTCAACAATACAAAGAGACTAAAATTATTTATGTTCACTCACCACAGTGGAATTAAGCTAGAAATCAACAACAAAAGGAACACCAGAAAATGTCAAACTGTTTTGAAATTAAGTAAGGCCATTCTAAATAACCCGGGGTCAAAGAAAAAAATGACATGGGAAATTTCAAAACATTTTACATAAATAATGAAAATAAGACAAATCAAAACATGTTGGATGCAGCTAAAGCTGTGATAAGAGGGAAATTCGTGGGCTTAAATATAATATTAGGAAAAAAACAAGGGCTAAAAATTGATGCTCTATCCATTTCCAGAAGATAGAAAAAGAGTAAGTTAAACTCAAAGAAAGCTGAAGAAAGGAAATAAATATAAGGGTAGAGATTAAATGAAAAATAAAACGAATGTACAATAGAGAAAAATCTAAGTCAAAAGCTAAACTAATTATAAAAAAAGAAAGCATAAAATACTAATGTGAGAATAAAAATAGTACATTATTATAGATCCTACAGGCATTTTCTTTTAAAAGAAGATATAAGGAATACCTTTACACAAATAAATTTTAAAATTTAAGTGAAATGAACTTTACCAACATAATGTATCAAAACTGATGCTGGAAAAAATGTAAATACAGTCATGGATCACTTAACAGGGATCTGATCTGAGAAATGCATTGTTAGGCAACTTCATTGTTGTGTCAATATCACTGAGTGCACTTACACAAACTTAGAAGGAATAGCCTATTACACACCTAGGGTGTGTGCTATAGCCTATTGCTCCTACACTACAAACCTATACAGCATGCTACTATACTGAGTACTGTAGGCAACTATAACACAATGGTAACTACTTGTGCTTCTAAACATAGAAAAAGTACAGTAAAAAAAAATGGTATAAAAGATTTAAAATGGTTATCTATATAGAGCATTTACCATGAATGGAGCTTGCAGGACTAGAAGTTGCTCTGGGTGAGTCAGTGAGTCAGTGGTGAGTGAAGGTGAAGTCCTAGGACATTACTGTAGACTTTATAAATGCTGTATACTTAGGCTACACTAAATTTATTAAAATCACTTGTTTCTTCAATCATAAATTAACCTCAGCTTACTGTAACTTTATATTAAAACTTTTTAATTTTTTAACTTGACTCTTTCATAACAAAGCACAAACACATTGTACAGCTGTACAAAAATCTTTTCTTTATATTCCTATTCTATAAGCTTTTTCTATTTAAGTTTTGTTTAATTTTTAAACCTTTTCGTTAAAAACTAAGACACAAACACACACATTAGCCGAGGCCTACACAAGGGCTGGATCATCAACATCACTGTCCCAGTGGAAGGTCTTCAGAGGCAATAATGCAACTGGAGCTATCATCTCCTATGATAATAATGCCCTCTTTTGGATACCTCCTGAAACACCTACCTGAGACTGTTCTACCTATAACTTTTATAAGTAGGAATACAGTCTAAAATAACAATAAAAATATAGCATAGTAAATAAACAAGTAATAGAGTTATCTATTATAATTTTCAAGTATTAGGTACTATTCTTAATTATTTGTGCTTTTATATGACTGGCAGCACAATAAATTTGTTTATTGTTTATACAATCACCACAAACACATGACTAATGACTAATGCATTGTGCTATGACATTATGATGGCTACAACATCACTAGGCCATAGAAATTTTTCATCTCCATTGTAATCTTATTGGGCCACTGTCATATATGTGATCATTAACCAAAAGATTGTTATGTAGCACATGGCTGCATAGTACATCCCAAACTTAACAATGATTTTATTTATAATTTTTTTACAATGAAGTGAAAGTGACAGGCATTCAGTGCACTCCTCAACTTGATAGGCTAAGTCAGACCTGAAATTAAAACCATCACGTAACAAAAACTCCAGGTCTAAATGGCTACATCAGTCAGATATCAAAAAAATAAAATATCACAGCCAATTTATTCCAGAAATGCAAGGTTAGTTTGATATCCCAAAAATCAATGTAATTCATACTATAAAAAAAAATCATTTTGACAGATACAGAAAGGGCATTAATACTCAATATTTTAAAGATTGATCTATAGATTTAATTCAGTCCCAATCATAATCCCAGCAAGTGTTTTGGAGGAAATTGGGAAATTAGGAAGTTGATTCTAAAATGTATATGAAATAAAAAGGACCAGAATAAAGAAAGAAATCTTAAAGAAGAACTGAATATGCTGAAGGATTTATACCACCTGGTATCAAGACATAAGGATGATAAAGCTAAAATAATTAAGGCAGTGCAGTACAAAGATAGACAACAGACCAAGGGAAAGGTATAGAGAGAACAGAAACTGATTCACATATACATAAATATCTAAGTTAAGACGAAGGTGACACCACAATGCAGAGGGAGTATTGTGGCATTTTCAACAAATTGTACAGCATCAACTAGATATTCACATGGAGAAAAACTAATCTTGACTTCACACCATGCATAAAAACCAATTCCAGACAGATTGTAACTTTAACAGTAGAAGGTAAAATAAGTTTATATCCAAGTCATAGCACTGAAAAAAAAAAAAGGAAAACAAGCTTCCAGAAGAAAACATAGGAAAAACATTAATCCTAAAGGAAAAGTTAATAAATTATACTTTGTTAAGATTAAAGACTTCTGTCCTACACAAAAAAGTCATTCAGAAAGTGATGACAAGCCACAGAATGGAAAAAGATATTTTTGATACATATATTCAATAAAGGAATCACAAATAAAGAACTCTTACAAATCAATATGAAAAAGGCAAACAATACAACAGAAAAATGGACATGAGACTTGAATAGGAGCTTTACTAAAAAGCACCTCGGAATGGCCAAAAGATACATGAAAAAGTATTCAAATTCTCATTATTCATCAGGAAATGGAAATTAAAACCACAGTGAGATGCCACTACTCATCTGCTAGAATGAGTATTGGTGAGGCTGTACAGCAACTTGAATTTTCATACATGGCTTTCAGGAGTGTGAACTAGTATGACCTCTTTGGAACAGTGTTTGTCAGTATCTACTGAAGATGAAATATGCAAATCATGTGGCCCAGCAATTCAACAGAAATACACATGCTGACTAGAGGAAAATCGAAAGAACATTTATAATAGCACTACTCAATCAAGCCCCAAACTGGAAACAAGACAAAACTCCATCAACTGGGGACTGCACAAAGTAGGATACAGTCATACATGGAATCCCATGCTGCTATATAAGAATAACAAACTATTGTTATGGTCAACAAAATAGAAGAATAACTTCCAGTAAAAGAAACCAAGCATAAAAGGTTACAACATAGTATGTGGTTTTATTTTTAAAAGTTTAAAACAAGAAAAACTAGTTTATGAAGATAGAAGTCAGAATCAAGGTTTTCTTCCTGGGGTGATATCTAGACTAAAGATGCAGAGGGAGGGGCTTCTCAGATGCTGGACATTTTTTTTTTTTTTTTTATCTGACTGTTGATTACATTAGGTCTATTTCATCTGTGGACATTCATAAAAATACTTATGATTTAAGCACTCTTTTGTATGTACATTATATATCAACAAAAAGCTCATTTTTATGTTATTTTCTTAAAATTTTTAATTTTTCTAATTTTATTCTTTACAGAGGTAGTCAAGTTAAAAAGCTTATTTTTTAAATGTGCCCCTGTTGCGTGTGTGTGTGTCCGTGTAAACAGCTGGATGCTCAGATGAGAAGACTCTCCAAATGCTGGGTATTTCTGCTAGTTGGAGCCAAACAGAATACAGCACATGAAAAAAATAAACATGTAAAAGAAACATTCATCAGAAAGCTAACAATTGTCCCTTTATAAAAACGTGTTTGGGAGGCCACTATTTAAAGTTATGCCCCATCATATAATGTGAGAAATTAGAAATGTAAATAACCTTTAGTCCAAAGTGGCTTTTAAATCCTCTAATAATGGAAAATCCGATATCATGTAGACAGCACTACACCAAGAATAATTTTACATTATAAATTGAGGAAAATTCATCAACTCAGTTTGCTTTTAATAGCTTCCATTTTTTACTGGCATCTTCCTAAGGCTGTTATCTTGGCAGCACAGTGCACCAGTTCTGGGGCCACTCAACCACGTTGACTTTTTAATAAAATTATAACAAGATTAATTTTTCAGTTTTCTCTACACAGAGCCATATATTGCACCTAAGCTCTAATATTGATTTCTTAAGTCAAATAAATGGTCTTTTCTCTAACCTATTACTTCTCCTTGCATTTAAATAAAATGCCTCTGCTTACACAGATATATATCTACTTTGCCTCAACATTGTGGCAGAGGCCTTGTTAATCTCTGTGCCACTGGAAAATACTTGATTAGCAAATCTGATTTAATCAAGTTAACCTTAAGAAATATCATCATAAATAACTGGAATGCCTAACCTTCAAATAAAAACATGGCAAAAAGTACACAATGTGTGAAAAAATTCAGTCATTCTCTCATCAAGCTCTTCAGAGAGCTTTGTGTTATAAACCAAGCCAGATGATGGGCTCACAAAGATGAAAAAGACAATAATAAGCAGGAGTCCTGGCTCTCAAAGAGTTCACGCACCAGTGGAGAGAAAGGGCATGAAAACAACCTGTTCAATTACAACACCTGCTGTTGTAATACACCTGCTGTAAAGTTGTGTCCCACTAGGAGGCAGAGCAAAGAAAAAGCTCAACTCTGGGAGTCTCAGAACAGATCTTATAGAAGAGATGATGCCACTGTTAGTCTTAAAGAGAATAAAGTTATGGGTATTCTAGACAGCTGCAAAGAGACATACAAAAGACACGCGATCGAGAAACTCTAAAATGTTTTATATGTAGGGAGGCTTGTGGAAGACGCCTGAAGTTGGGGAAAAAAAAAAAAGGCCATGAAAGTGACAAGCTTCTAAAGAAATTTCATCAGAAAAGTTTTGTGTTTTTAGAGCACTCTGGCAGAGCTGTGATGTACAGATAGGGAGGGAGCTTGGAGACCATCTGGAAAAAAGGCTGCAGTAGTCTGCATTAAAAATAAGGAGCTTAAATCAAGGATGGTCAGGAAGGACCAGATTCAAGAGACTCTGAGAAAGTAGAATCAATGAAAATTAGCTCTGATTGAGTGTGAAGAATGAGGCATGGAAAAATCTAGGATGACTCTAAAGTTAACTGGATTAAAGTGGTGTAAGAGGAGACACGGAGGGGATTAGAAAGGAATCAGGCATGGACTGCTAACCTCCTGAAGTAGTGTGTTCAGAGTGGGTTCCTTCGGGTGGGTTCGTGGTCTCGCTGACTTCAAAAATGACGCCACTGACCTTCACAGTGAGTATTACAGCTCCTAAAGGTGGTGCGGACCCAAAGAGGGAGCAGCAGCAAGATTTATTGTGAAGAGCAAAAGAAAAACCCTTCCACAGCGTGCAAGTGGACCCAAGTGGGTTGCTGCTGCTGGCTGGGGGCGGGGGGTGGCCAGCTTTTATTCCCTTATTTGTCCCCGCCCACATCCTGCTGATTGATCCATTTTACAGAGCACTGATTGGTCCACTTTACAAACATCTAGCTAGCCACAGAGAGCTGATTGGTGCACTTTTACAGAGTGCTAATTGGCGCATTTTACAAACCTCTGGCTAGCCACAGAGCACTGATTGGTGCATTTTACAATCCTAGCTACAGAGTGCTGCTGATTGGTGCATTTTGCAATCCTCTTGTAAGACAGAAAAGTTCTCCAAGTCCCCACCCGACCCAGAAGTCCAGCTGGCTTCACCTCTCCGTAGCACCACAATATGGAAACTACTGTCAACAAATGTGAACCTCAGAGAGCCAATCCTTCAAGTTGAATCCTGAGTCACTCACTGGGTCTAAATTTAAAATAGAGCCAAGTAGCCCTTTGCTGACTAGAGGTCACACACATAACTCTGAGCCCTCAGAAAATCCACATTTCTGTTCAACTTTGGGACTCTCAGAGTCACTTGAACCAACCAATCAGAGCTCACCTGCCTCAACCAATCAGGGCTCAGCTGTACCAATCAATAGGAGCTAAGCAAGTTTGAATCCTTCATTTGCATAAATGAACCTGGGCAGGAACTTGTGCTATAAAACCTGAACCCTCCCTTTGTTCTCTAGAACACATCTTCATTGTGCACTAAAGGCTGCAATCTCCTTGGTTTGCAAACTGTTCACAGGAATAGTCTTTCCTCGAAATTCCTTTTCAGAGAACTTTTGTTCATATTATGAACTCCTCTCCTCTTCCCCCTTTCCACTAGCGTGGGTCACACTCAGATTTCTAGCTGGGTGATATCCAAAGATACAAGACATGTGAAAAAAAAACAGCATGTAGGGGGAATCCAAAGCTCGGAGAATTTTTTAATTTGTGCATGTAGGATGTACGTGACAAATCAAGGTAAAAATTTCAAGTAGTCAGAAATATGGGCCTTAATGTAAGAAGAAATTTGTTTCCAGGCTCAGATCTATAAAGAGGCCGTTGAGAATGTGTCAAGGGCCTTTTAGTGAGGGATACATAATTACGAAAAATGAAAGTTTTGTTGTTTACTAAGTGATGGTCTTTAGAGTAAATAGTGATATTCGCAGTCACCATTATGATTTTTAGAAGAGTGCATGGCCACTTTTAAGCTAATGTGAAAAAGTATATGAAAATAACATTATAAGGTTAAACTAGCACGGAAACATCAAAAAGAAAACAAAAACAGCAATTCTCTATTGTCCAAGAAGCAAATTTCTGAACAATCTCTCCCCTTCCCTGTTCATATTAAATTAAATTGTTTTTCCAATTTGAAGGATTAATTAACATTTAACTACTCTTGGTTTAAAATGCATTAGAGATTTAAATGCTGAAACTGGTCCTGGTTTTATTTTCTTCTTTTTTTCAAAATTCTATGCCTAGAACTTTCTCTCTCAAATAAATATCAATTCCCAGTCTCAGCAGTCAGATTTAACCTCTCTCCCCTGTGCTCTCAAAGCCTTGCTTGGTTACTCTATTCTGCTACTTGTAATATCCTACCTTGACTTAGAAACACTTCTGAGTCTCCAACTCAGTAAGTTTCATGAGAAGAAAACAAACCACAGTGTTTTCCCATTTTTATGCCTCTCCTCTCAGTACTCACCATGTTGACAATAAAATTCAGTGGAGCTTAGGAGTAAAGAGAGTAACCTAGAGGCTAACTGGTGTTAAAGAGAATTGATGCTTAAGGTTATTTTTAGTTTTTTAAATTTTTATTAGAATAAGAAATGATTCTGTCTGCCCAACTAACTTTTTTCTTCCCTCTCTCCTTCTACTCCTTTCTAATCCTACTGATCTTCCTTAAACTTTTTCATCATCTTCCAAGAAACTTCAGCTTTTGGCTTCAGACCAGAGTGGCAACTGAGTCTTGGGAGGGGGAGGACACAAAGCTATAAGGGACAGCTAACTAGGAAAGCATGAATTATTAATGGGTTGCCGGTTCCCACCTCTCATCTCTAGGCTCTCTCATTTCTGGTACTAAAGTTCCTCATCTCTGACTTGGAGACCAGTCCAGACTAATTCGTATCTCCTTACATAGATACTGCCTCTTTTGGCACTTTCTACTTTACAAAAGTGTTTTCTCAGTCATAATGTTTCATTATTATAAAAATGCTAAATAACCATCATCATGCTTCTAAATTATAACCTCAGGGTGAATGCAGGAATAAAGTCTAAAGAGAATTTGATTATTCTCCCAACTAATTTCTAAAAATTAAACAGGCAGCTTGCCTCACAGTTGAACAGCTGCCTTATATCCATCTAGCTACTAAAGAAGCTTTATTTCTCTGTCCCTTCTGTCTGAGGCTTGCTCAGAAAATAAAAATTTCTAAGATGTGAACTCATCCATCTAAAAGTTATAGAGTGCTGTACTAATTAGGTCTGGAACTCTGTTTTAACTAGCAAACCTTACCAAATTGAAAATATAATAAATCTCAACCATGCTGGGATAAAAAGTGCCAGAGAAAATATGGAGACCATTTGTCAATGATGGTGCTCAATGGTTCAAGTTTTTGTCCTGGGAGGCTACTCTTCTTGACTCCCAGAACAATGACAGCCCACACTGCTTATTCCAATATTGGATTGAATTATTGAGAACTCTGGTACCAATGTGGGGTAAATGACAGAATTCTTTTATTTAAGAGAAACAGTCATTGTTCCCTTTTGCTCCTAATACATTCTTTGTCTAGTCTGACATGGGAACTGTCTATGCTTTTAATTGAATCTTTTAAACAATTCTGCAGTTACAGAAGAATAGTAATTCATTTTAAGATTGCAAAATTTTCACCTCATACAAAAAGAGCAATTTTAGAATTCTCAGCTAACATCTTCTCCATATCCTTCATTAAGTACATTTTAAATCCATTTTCTTGCTTTTTTTTTTTTTTTGGTGTTCAACTACTCTGCAGAATGTCTCTACCTTTGTTTCTGATCTGAGATGTCAGTGCTTTTTTTTGTTGCTACTAATGTTATGCACATAAGGTTTGTAACTTCTTAGCCCAAGCCAAAGTTCTATGGCAGCTTTGGTGGACAGTTCTCATATGGTTTGAGGTCTTTCTACCTCAAGTTCCTGAGTTTCTCTGCCTGAATCTCTTCTCTGGCCAGAGAAGCATGTTCAGCCTGAGTATGGGATGGGCTGGAGTGCCAGGGAGGTAATTCTCCAAGTAAAACCCTCAAGCAACAAAGGGCAGTAATTGGGAGACAGACATCCCAGTTTCCTTGATCCTGCATGGGACAATTCTAAGGTGTGTTTCATGGGCTCTGAGAGGGTCCCAGCAGGACTGAGTGCAGTTGCCCACAGGAGTAACTTTTTCAATAATATCCTTCCTTATTGACTTTTCTCATCCTTATGTCTTACCTGCCCCTAATTTCCGAGGTCAATTCCCAAATGAATTACTTGCACCCAAGTCCTTTTCTCAGCTCGTCATCTACTAAGCATAGCTTTTGGTGAAACCCAAATTAAGATAAACAGGCATCAGATATCTTAACAGCTGCAATGAACATAAACAATCAATGAAGTAGCCCATTCAAAATTCCAGTTGAAAAGTATCTCCAACCAAAAATTCTATGTCAGGAAATGAGGTGGAGCAAGACGACCAAATAAAACCCTCCAGCAATCACTGTCCACCCCCCAACAGGAATGCCAAATTGAACAGCTATCCACACGAGAAAGCCCCTTCATAAAAAACAAATATCAGGTAAGCAATCACAGTGCCTGGTTTTAACAGCGTATCAAGGAGAAAGGCACTGAAGATGGTAGGAAAGACAGTCTTGAATTGCCTACACCACCCCACCCCCGTCCCCCAGCAGCAGCCTCGTGACACCGAGAGAGAATCTGTGTGCTTAGGGGAGGGAGAGCACAGTAATTGTGAGACTTTGCATTGTAACTCACTGCTGCCTTGTCACAGCAGAAAGCAACATGGGGCAGAATTCAGCCAGTGCCCATGGAGGGAACATTTAGACCAGCCCCAGCCAGAGGGAAACTGTCCCATCCTAGCAGTCAGAACCTGAGTTCAAACTAGCCCCATCACTGAGGGCTAAAGTGCCAGAGCACTTAAATAAACTTGATAAACTTAAATAAACTTGAAAGACAGTCTAGGCCACAAAGAGTGCAACTCCTGGGAAAGCCCTGGTGCTGCGCTGCCCTTGGAGCCAGTGGACTTGGGGTGCACACAAATTAGTGAGACACCAGCCAGGGTGGCTAAGGGAGTGCTTGTGCCACCCCTCCCCCAACCCCAAGCAGTACAGCTCGCAGCTTTGGGAGAGATTCCTTCTTTCTGCTACAGGAGAGGAGGAGGAGGAGTAAAGAAGACTGTCTTGCAACTTGTACACCAGCTCAGCCACAGTAGGATAGGGTGCCAGGCAGAGCCCTGATGCACTCATCCAGGCCCTAGCTCCCAGATGACATTTCCAGACACACCCAGGGCCAGAAGGGAACCCACCTTGGGCCAGCAGGGAGAAAAGCTTATTGCCTTGAAGGGAAGGACATGGGTCTGGCTGGGTTCACCAACTGCTGACTGAACAGCCCCTGGGCCTTGGGTGAACATCAGCAATAGCCAGGCAGTGGTCACTGTGGGCCTTAGGCAAGACCCAGTGTTGCCCTGGCTTTAGGTCTGATCCAGTGCAGTCCCAGTGGTGGTGGCCATATGGGCTCTTGTGTCACCCCTGCCCCAGGATCCAGGGAGCTCAGTATGGAGAGAGACTCCATTTGTTTGCAGGAAGGCAAGAGAAGGGGAAAAGAGTCTCTGCCTGGTAATGCAGGGAATTCTCTTGGATCTTACCCCAGATCACCAAGACAGTGCTTCCACGCATCTGCCAAGAGTCACAGCATTACTCGGCTTGAGGTGCCCCCTAATGCAGATGCAGCTGCAGTAACCAAAGACTTAGATTACAACACACAACACACTTGGAATACCTAGAAAGCCTTCTCAAGAAAGATGGGTACAAACAAGCCAAGACTGTGAAGACCACAACAAATATCTAACCGTTCAATGCTCGGACATCAACAAACATCCAAAGCATCGAGACCATCCCGAGAAACATGACCTCACCAAATAAACTAAATAAGGCACCAGTGACAATCCCAGAGTGATACAGATACTTGACCTTTCAGAGAATTCAAAATACCTGTTTTGAGCAAGCCCAATGAAATTCAAGATAACAGAGGAGGAAGTCAGAATCCTATGAGATAAATTTAACAAGACTGAAATTTTTAAATCAAGCATAAATTCTAGAGCTGAAAACTTCATTTGACATACTGAAGAAGGCATCAAAGTCGCTCAATAGCAGAAATGATCAAGCAGAAAAAAAATAATTAGCTTGAAGACAAGTTATTCGAAAATACACCCTCAGAGGAGACAAACAAAAAAGAATTTAAAAAGAATGAAACAAATTTACAAGAACTAGACAATAGCCGCTAAAGGGCAAATCTAAGAGTTATTGGCCTTAAAGAAGAGGGAGAGAGAGAAACAGGAGTAGAAAGTTTACTCAAAGACTAATAACAGAGAAATTCCCAAACTTAAAGAAAGATATCAATATTCACGTACAAGAGGGTTATAGAACACCAAGCAGATTTAACCCAAATAAGACAACCTCAAGACATTTAATAATCCAACTCCCAAAGGTC
The DNA here is from genome assembly GCF_000001405.40 of Homo sapiens. Lineage (NCBI taxonomy): Eukaryota > Metazoa > Chordata > Mammalia > Primates > Hominidae > Homo > Homo sapiens. The sequence continues at coordinate 24,263,957 of NC_000006.12, forward strand.
AAGGATAAAGAAAATGTCCTAAAAGCAGCAAGAGAAAAGAAACAGCAAATACATACAAAGAAGCTCAAATACATCTGGTAGCAGATTTCTCATTGCCAACCTGACAGACCAAGAGAGAGTGGCATGACATATTTAAAGTGAAGAAAAAAAAACTTTTATCCTAGAAAAGTATATCCAGCAAAAGTATCTTTCAAACATGAAGGAGAAATGCTTTCCCAGACAAACAAAAGCTGAGGGATTTTATCAATACCAGACCTATCTTACAAGAAATGCTAAACGTAGTTCTTCAATCAGAAAGAAAAGGACATTAATAAGCATTAAGCAATCACCTGAAGGTACAAAATTCACTGGTAATAGTAAGTAGGCAAACACAGAATATTATACCACTGTAATTGTGATGTGTAAACTGGTAATATCTTCAGTTGAAATATTAAAATGTGAACCTATTAAAAATAACTACAAAAACTTTTCAAGACAGTATAACAAATTATAAATAGAAATAATATGTTTAAAAGTTGGATGAGGTTAAACTGTAGAGTTTTTATTAATTTTCTCTTTCCTTGTTTGTTTTTGCAATTAGTGCTAAGTTGTCATTTGTTTAAAATAATCGGTTTTATAAGATAGTATTTGCAAGCCTCATGGTAACCTCAAGTCAAAAAAAAACTACAACAGATATACAAAAAAACAAAAAGCAATAAATTAAAACATACCACCAGAGAAAATTGTCTTCACTAAAAGGAAGACAGAAGAGAAGAGAAGATCCAAAACAACCAGAAAACAACAAAATGGCAAGAGTAAGCCCTTACGTATCAATAATAAGATTAAATGTAAACAGATTAAACTCTACTATCAATAGACAAAGAGTGGCCGAATGGATTAAAAAAAAAAAGAGACCTGACAATCTGTTACCTACAAGAAACACACTTCACCTATAAAGACACACACAAACTGAAAATAAAGGGATACAAAAAGATATTCCATGCAGATGGAAACCATAAAAGAGCAAAAATAGCTATACTTATATCAGACAAAATGGAATTCAAGACAAAAACTCTAAAGAGAGGCCAAGTGTGATGGCTCACACCTGTAATCCCAGCACTGTGGGAGACCAAGGTGGGCAGATCACTTGAGCCCAGGAGTTCAAGACCAGCCTGGGCAACATAGTGAAACCTCATCTCTACAACAAAAAAGAAAAAAAGAAAACTATAAAGGGAGACAGAGAAGGTCATTATATAATGATAAAGGGGTTAATTCAGCAAGAGGATGTAAGAATTGAAAATACATACTCATCCAATACTGAAGCACCCAGATATAAAAAGCAAATATTATTAAAGAGAGCAATAGACCCCAATACAGTAATAGCTGAAGACTTCAACACCCCCACTTTCATTATTGGACATATCATCCAGACAGAAAATTAACAAAGAAACACTGGACTTATTATGCACAACAGACTAAATGGACCTAATAGACATATACAGCTTTATCCAACAGCTGCAGAACACACGTTCTTCTCACCACATGGATCATTCTCAAGGATAGATCATATGTTAGATCACAAAACAAGTTTTAAAAAAACTCAAAAAAAATTGAAAACATATCAAGTATCTTCTCTGACACAATGAAATAAAACTAGAAATCAGTAACAAGAACTCTGGAAACTGTACAAGTACATGGAAACTAAATAATATGCTCCTAAATGACCAATGGGTCAATGGGTAAATCAAGAAGAAAATTAAGGAATTTCTGCAAACAAATGAAAATGGAAACATGACATAAAATGTATGGGATATAGCGAAGGCAGTACTAAGAGGAAAGTTGATAGATGTAAGTGCCTACATCAAAAAAGTAAAAAAAAAAAAATTCATATACCATAATGATGTATCTTAACTAGAAAAGCAAGAGCAAACCCAATCCAAAATTAAAAGAAATAACAACAGAGCAGAAATAAATGAAATTGAAACAAAAAATACAAAAGATCAATGAAATAAATAGTGGAAAAAAAAATAAAATTGACAAATTTTTAGCCAGACTAATAAAAAAAGACCAATGCAACAGAACAGAGAACCCAGAAATAAATCCATACACCTACAATAAATTCATTTTTGACAAAGGTGACAAGAACATACACTGGGGAAAGGACAGTCTCTTCAATAAATGGTGCTGGGAAAACTGGATATCCATATGCAAAAGAATGAAATTGGACCCCGATATCTCACCATATACAAAAATAAAATCAAAATGGATTAAAGATTTAAATTTAAAACCTCAAACTATGAAGCCACTACAAGAAAACATTGGGGAAACTCCCAGGACATTGGTCTGGGCAAAGATTTCTTGAGTAATACCCCATAAGCACAAGATTATGGGATCACATAAAGTTAAAAAGCTTCTACACAGCAAAGGAAACAAAGTGAAGAGACAACCCACAGAATAGAAGAAAATATTTGCAAACTACCCATCTGACAAGGAATTAATAATCAGAATATATAAGGAGCTAAAACAACTCAATAGGGAAAAAATCTAATACTCTAATTTAAAAATGGGCAAAACACCTGAATAGACATCTCTCAAAAGATGACACAGAAATAGCAAAAAAGTATATAAAAAGATGCTCAACATTATTGATCATTAGAGAAAAGCAAATGAACACTACAATTGAGACATCATCTCAACCCAGTTATTTTATTCGGAAGACAGACAATAAGGGATGCTGGCAAAGATGTAGAGAAAAGGGAATACTTGTATACTGTTGATGGGAATGTAAATTAGCATAGCAGAACAGTATGGAGGTTCCTCAAAAAACTAAAAATAGAACTACCATATGATCCAGTAATCCCACTGCTAGGGATATACCCAAAAGAAAGGAAATCAGTATATCAAAGAGATATCTGCACTCCATGTTTATTGCAGCACTATTCACAGTAGACATGATTTGGGAGAAAGCTACGTGCTCATCAACAGATGAATGAATAAAGAAAACGTGGTATAGACACACCCAGAGTATTATCAACCCATAAAAAAAGAATGAGATACTGTCATTTCCATCAACATGGATGGAACTGGAGGTCATTATGTTAAGTGAAATAATCCAGGCACAAAGACAAACTTTGCATGTTCTCATTCATTTGTGGAAGCTAAAAAGTAAAACAATTAAACTCACGAAGATACAGAGTAGAATGGTGGTGACCAGAGGCTGGGAAGGGTAGTGAGGGTGAGGAGTGGAGATGGTTAATGGGTACAAAAATATAGTTAGATACAATGAATAAGAGCTTTTGTTTGTCAACAGGGTGATTATAGTAAACAATAATTTATTGTACATTATTAAATAACTAAAAGGGTATAATTGGAGTGTTTGTAACAAAAAGAAATGATAAATGCTTGAGGTTATAGATACCCCATTTACTCTAACGTGATTATTATGAATTATATGCCTGTATCGAAATATCTCATGTATCCCATAAATATATATACCTACTATGTGCCCATGAAAATTAAAAATAAAACAAAACAAAAATTCTATGTCCATCCAAACTGAAAGTTAAATGTAAAAGTATGAAAATATTTTCAGACTTGCTGGGTCTCAAAAAATAATGACCATTTCTCTAGCCATTCTCCAGAAATTACTGGAGGATATGTCCTGCCAAAATGGAGTCAACCAAGAAATAAGTATACAAAAGCCCCTGGAAATGGGATCTCCACAGAAAAGACACAAAAGCAATTTTCATAATGACAGTAAGGGAAAATGCAAGATAACATCTGTGCCACAAGCCAAGAGAACAACCTTTGCAGGCTGGAACCAAAGGTCTGAGGACTCCACAAGGGAACCCTTGCACTGTACACTTAAAGTGCTCAGTCTAGTCCCTGGCACAGAGTAAGCACCCAGAAAATGTCCACTGTCCATGCTAGCTACTGATCTGATCAGAATCACACAAAAAGATGTCTGACTTAATTTTCATCAGAAATTCCCCAAGCCCTACAATGATCAGGTAATGTGTGGAAGCAGTATGCCTATTTGAGTACCCCAACGCTTCTCAAGTTGTGCTCTAAAGAACAATAATCCCACCAGATGCTCCTCAGTAATAGGGATCCAAAGCAAGTAAAAGCGTGGAATACGTCCATACTAAAGGCTCTGAGAAATCCTGTAGCAGAGACAATGACTTAACTTTGTATCATCCAACATTTCCCAAATTTGTAGTTGAACATGAAACTCATTACCAGAAGCATATATTAAAAGTACATGAAATTGGCCAGGCGCGGTGACTCACGCCTGTAATTCCGGCACTTTGGGAGGCTGAGGCAGATGGATCAGCTGAGATCAGAAGTTCGAGACCAGCCTAGCCAACATGGCGAAGTCCCATCTCTACTAAAAATACAAAAATTAGCTGGATGTGGTGGCGCATGCCTGTAATCCCAGCTACTCAGGAAGCTAAGGCACGATAATTGCTTGAACCTGGGAGGCAGAGGTTGCAGTAAGCTGAGATCAGGCCATTGCACTACAGCCTGGGTGACAGAGTCAGACTCTGTCTCAAAAGAAACAAACAAACATACAAAAAGTGCGTGAAACTACTGCTCAATGGAACCCAACTTAGGAAATGACAGTAAACGCCCTGGGTAAGAGCCTTCAGCTTAACACCATCCAGAAGCTCTTGTCGCCCAGGTTGGAATACAGTGGTGCAATCTCAGCTCACTGCAACCCCTGCCTCCTGGGTTCAAGCAATTCTCATGCCTTAGCCTCCCAAGTAGCTGAGACTACAGGCATGCGACACTATGCCCGGCTAATTTTTGTATTTTTAGTAGAGACAGGGTTTCACCATGCTGGCCAGGCTGGTCTTGAACCCCCGACCTCAGGTGATCCACCCATCTCGGCCTCCCAAAGTGCTGGGATTACAGGCATGAGCCACTGTGCCAGGCCACTTTATTATGTAATTTTAAAGGAAATAAAATCTTGCCCAGTTTCAAAGAAACAATTTGGTATTATCATCCAATTGTATAAAATAAGAATAAATGGGTAGCTTTAAACCTACAAAGCTCAAAGGTATTTTACAGATATTTTATCTTTATCTCCACTGTGATAGCACACTGCATGGTGATTTGCAATAAAGGTTATATCTTATTTTGAAAATAACTAGGGCAATAGAGAAGAATAAAAATAGAGTTCATATACAAAATAGGCCACAGACTACAAAGGAGTCCCAGGGTATCACATAAGTGAGGAAATACTCCTTCCCTGTCTCATAGTGCCAAGCAGTATTTAGTAATTGTCCCAGACATTGGACTAAATACATTTAAGTAGAAATGGCCTATGTTCTTTAGTAGTGTGCTGGTACTTTCTATAAGGACAAAATTAATACAGAGGTCTAAGAAATGACTCAATACCCAGAAGGAAAAAATGTCAATGCTTGCAACATAATTTGGCATTTAGGGATAGTGAATAAAGTCTGGTCATTGAAAGGGAAAAGGTAAATTGCATCTACTTAACCAAGGAAAATTTATTGATAAAGATATAATTATGACTATTGGAAGAAAATGTGTAAGTACTGAGCAATTAGAACAAAGAAGAGAAAATGAAATACTCTGGTGATTAGCAAGGGGTGGAGTACATGGTAGGGACTCAATAAATGTTCACTGAAAAATGAAAGTAGTGACCTAGGAAAGGGGATGGGGTTCCTAAGTCTAGAAAGTCATGAAACATGGGGAAGGAAATTCAGACACAGAGAAAGGCTTGGGTTGCAGAGCTTAAGTCCTAGAATGTTTAAGTAACTGTTTTAAAAAAGGGGATTTGATCATTTGATACAGAAACTAGAGGTCAGCCCCCAAAATATCTACCTTCTTCAAGGTCCCTAAACCCTAGAAAAGAGGGTCTAAATGCTGAAGGCAGTCCCCAGCTAAGATGTGTCAAAATAGAGAAGACCCATTATTACATCAGACTGCTAAAGAGAAAAACGGCTTGTTAGTAATGACTAACTCCGACCACCTAGAAAATAGAAGGGATGAAAATCAATCATCCCCATTTAAAAAGTTAATATGAAATAGTGGAGAGTAGAAGAAGAAACAAACAGGAACTCCCCAAAATCTCCCAGCTAAGCTTCAGGGTCTGCTGTGATACATCAACATTTTTATCACTGAAGGAAGACAGGTCAAAACACACACACGAGAGCTTCCCTCACTTGTCCCTCCACCTCCCCTTTCAAACAGTCACACAGGCACATCCACCTCTTAACCAGCAGCTATGTGTCAGTCTGGCAATTTCCAGAAATCACTAACCATTGATAGATCTTTGACTCTGGGCAAACTGGTTTCTCCTCTTTTCCCCCTCATTCACTAAGCTAGGAAAATGCTGTTTATCCATTCTAAGTATTTGTAAATGAAGCTTACAAAATATCAGATTAGAATGCACCATCAAGATGTTCTAAAGCATGGGTATCAGGAGTGTGCCATTACTCAATGCTTACAGTTTGCAGCCTTTAATTTCAATTGTCACCATAATATAGGTATAATTGACCTACATGCACACACACACATATATATCAACAAATACTGACCCTGTGCTGACTACTCTGTGCGGAATGCTCTGAACATTTATCTGTGTCCTTTACATGTGACCTATGGTCCAGGATCTGCTGATATTCTAAAGGACCGGGCCCTTTCCAGGTTTTATATCACCCCAGGCCTGACAAGGAAAACAGGGAGTTGAAGAGGGAGAAAGGGTAATAAACCCTATGGCTACATCTTCCTCCTCCCTCCACCCTGTCACCCTCTATGATAGGCATCTCACCAACATTCATGACATCAGACACCTCCCTAACCAAGCCCCCATGTGGCCCTTCCTCAGATTCCAGGATGAAATGCTCAGAGTGACCCAATTTCAGCTTCTTTCAGAAAAGCAGATAAATCATGCTTCAGTCTTTGGTATGCCAGAAACTCACCACTGGGGCGGATGCATATTTTATCTGTAGTAAGCTACAGAAAGGTTCAGACCTGGCAGGGCACAGTGGCTTACACCTGTAATCCCAGCACATTGGGAGGCCAAGGCAGGCAGATCACTTGAGCTTAGGAGTTTGAGACCAGCCTGGGCAACATGGTGAAACCCCGTCTCTATAAAAATACAAAAATTAGCCTTGTGTGGTGGCACCTGCCTGTAGTCCCAGCTACGTGGGAGGATCACTTGAGCCCAGGAGGTCAAGGCTGCAGTGAGCCAAGATGGTGCCACTGTACTCCAGCCTGGGTGACAGAGTGAGACACTCCCTCAAAAAAAAAAAAAAAAAAGAGAGAGAGAGAGAGAAAGAAAGAAAAAAAAGAAAAAAAGAGAAAGGTTCAACCTGACCTTGCAGGCAGCAGAATTAAGAAAAGGCTGTGAAACTTGTCAGAGCCCCTGGTAAGGCAAGAAGCAAAGAGGCCCTGCTTAGAAGTAATGGGTAGCATCTATGAAAAGGGAGGCAGGCAAGCCAAACTCTGGAGCTGGGGAAGAAATAAAGATGTGACAATCCCAAACTAATCCTCCTGCAGAGGATCACGCTAATAGAAGAACCTCCGCCCACACCTCAGTGTCCCCACCCGAGTAACTCCAGGTCTGGCTCCTCCAGCTCTGCATTCCTCTCAGACCCAAACCCAGATGGATCCCTGACCTGGAGGCTCTGGCCTACACCAGTAATTCAACAGAGGGCAGTTCTGCATCCTACGACAGCAGGGTAACATGAGTTCTTGGCATTCTAAAGTGGAGCTCCTCATTTGTTTTCCCACTGGAAACACCATTGTACACAGTGGGCAACCTACACAGCATCGGCAGCACAATGCAATAATTAAGATGAATTATGGCTTACATAGAATTTTATGGGGCGCTTGTATGGAAAATGTGATCTGAGTATCAAAATACCTATTTAAAATGAATTTCCGGAATGAAATCTTCCAAAGTTTTGAAAATACCTCTGTAATTCAACACCTCACAAATTTTTCCTTTTGAAAACAAAAAGCGTCTTCAAACTCAACCCTGGGCTACATGAAAAAATAACCCCCAAAAGAATTTACTGCAGAAGTCTCAACCCTATATCAGCTATGAAAGAATGCTTCCCTCATGGCTTCTCTCTATATAGTGAACAAAGTGTTTAAGAGGGCAGGATATAAAAAGAATCCTTTTCGAAAAAGGGCTAGTATTTTACTCCACTCAAATTGAGCCATACGTCTTACTAGTATTCAGCCCACTTTTAATTTTTCAGTCTCTCAGTACTAAAGTAGATAGCAAAGTACACATTTTGAAACTAACTTTTATTAATAGAGTTTAAATTCACAATAAACCTCAAGAAAATTACTAAGACCTCTCGCTGTACTAGAAATTTGTGGCACAATATATCATTCCAATAAGTGGATCATGAAGGTGTGAAAAAATGCTGATCTTAAGAATTTTTATCATACTAGTACTTGATGTATAAAATCTGACCCATATATCCCACAGTACACATTGCCATTGAGATGGGAAGTTGTGATCCACCAAGGGATAGAAAACCTGTATTTCCCTGTCATTGATTCCAGAATTTACAAGGAACTCAAAGAATTCAACAACAAAAAATAATGACAGCCCCATTAAAAAGTGGGCAAAGGACATCAATAGACATTTTTCAAAAGAAGACATAAAAATGGCCAACAAGCATTTGAAAAAATGCTCAATGTCACTAATCATCACAGAAATGCAAATTAAAACCACAGTGAGATATCAGCTTACACCAGTCAGAATGGCTGTTCTGAAAAAGTCAAAAAACAACAGATGTTAGCAAGGATGCAGAGAAAGGGCAATACCAATACACTGTGGGTGGGAATGTACATTAGTACAGTCTCCATGGAAAACAGCATGCAGATTCCTCAAAGACTGAAAATAGAATTTTCATTCTATCCAACAATTTCATTACTGGATATCAAAAGAAAACAAATCATTATACCAAAAAGACACCTGCACTTGTATTTTTATCACAGCACTATTCACAACAGCAAAGATATGGAATCAACCTAAGTGTCCATCAATGGATAACTGGAAAAAGAAAATGTGTGTATAAAGACATACACACACACACACACACACACACTTTGTGGGTATGTGTATATAGATGTAGATATACACATACATATAAACACACACAGTAAAATACTATTCAGTCATAAAAATGAAATCATGTCTTTTGCAGCAATGTGGATGGGACTGGAGGCCATTATCCTAACAAATAACTCAGAAATGTAAAGTCAAATGGCACAAGTTCTTACATATTAGTGAGAGCTAAATAATGCGTACACATGAGAGAGGGTAGAATGACAGACACTGGAGACTCGGAAAGGCGGAAGGGTGGGAGCAGGAAGAGGTATGAGAAATTACATCATGGGGACAATTTACATTATTCAAGTTATGGTTACACTAAAAGCCTGGACTTCACCATGACACAATACATCCATGTAACAAAATTGCACTTGTATCCCTTAAATTTACACAAATTAAGAAAAAAAGAAAACCTGTATTTCTGGTATAGGGTGAATGTGGTGGCAAGAGACACCAATGAATCATAAATCTTACCTTAGCTTATTAAACAACACTAGTGTGCCACTTGGTGATGTCACCTTGGTGCCTTCTTACATATTTGCTTCCCAGATTTGATATCCCTTAGGAGGTAACACGTGAGAGAGCACATTTTCCTCATGTGCTTCCGGTTTTGTCTTCAGAGTCTCTTGTTACTGGGAACCATGCAAGTGCCTGGGTTGATTCATGGCTGAACCAAAGAAGCTCAAGTTTCAATGCCTCATAACTCTGAGGATGAATTGCAGTAACGCTTCATGCTTGGGGCGATGCAGGCAAACCATGTGCAGGTTGTAGCTATTAAGAAATTCAAGAGCATGACTGCTCAAGGGCAGTCACCCAACAAGGTCATAATATTCAGACATCCTTCTGCCGGCACCACACCTGCTCCCAATCAGTCATCAGGAGTCTAAAAATCACAAGTTTCATGGAAACTATCACAGAACCACACTGGGAATAAACCAGGATTTGCATCAAGAAGAATACTGGCCCATGTGTGGGCACACAGGCGTGCCCACTCACCCAAAGTGAAAGAGAGCCACATCCATCAAAAGAATACAACTCTTATTTTTGCCTTTTTAATGCTTTGCCTTGAAAACGTACTTACAATTATCAATACAATGTAAGTCAAAGAGACCAGGCCATTTTCTCTGCAGCCCTTTCAATATTCCTACAGAGACCTAAATTCACTATACTTCTTGCGTTCACAAGGGTTCTAAAAGCACTACATTTTTTCATGTACCAAATATTAACAATACCAATTGATATGATCAATCATCCAAAATGCTATTTCAAAACAATCATCGTTACTGTTTTGGTCATAGTGGAGAATATAGCTAGTTGCCAGCCTCTAAAGCATATCTCAAGGCACTGCAACTCAAGTGGAAAGTGTAACAAAAACATGTGCTGGCCAGTTAAGCTGGTATTTAAATGCAACACTAAAAATGCATTTCACACCCAACTTCATCAATCACCAACCAATCCTACTTTGCATCTTGGCTACCAAAAGAAAATGAGATTTGTTTCCCTGAAGAAATATGTCACTGCTCTGCTTGAATTATTAAGCTTTACTATTACAGGGAGAAACAGAGTCAAAAAAAAAAAAAAAAAAAAAAAAGAAGAAAAGAAAAGAAAAAAGGAACAAAATTAGACCCAGGTTGCCATCTACAGACTGATAGAAGCATTGCACATTCATACAGCATTTGGTAACTGAATCAGTAAATATCAGATATTTTTAAAAAATAACGAAAAAATATGTGACTACAATTTTAATTATTAAAAAATCAAGATAACCTATGAAGTCTCTTTTTTTCTAATTCAAATGAAAATACTATATAGGTAAAGAACACTAGATCAAACATTTGCACAAGTTAACATATGCTAGAAAATAATCATAGCTATTCACCCTAACCCTAAAATTTATCACTTTGAAATAAAACTAAATAGCTTATTTAATATCAAATTTAAAATACATTGTAAGTAGAAAAAGCCATGTAAATTTTATCTCTAAAACCAAATTTTTGCATTTTTTTACATTATTATGAGTTCTTACACCCTTCACTTTCATTTTGCTTCAAATTCTTATTGCTTTTACCTTTATGAGGAATAAGAGCCCTCTTGAAACATGAGTATTCAAAAGCACGTACTTGGTTCTAATTACTAAAATATATGACATTAAAGTAAAAAGCAACTTCAATAATAAATGAATATGAAGGCTGAATTAAAGAGAGAAATGGAGAGGGACTTTTGATATTATAATCTGGAAAATTTCTGTAGTCAAAGACATCTGCAGGGAGATCCCATTAAGAACCAAATTGCTCAATTTTCAGTAGTATGGACTTAAGCTAATATGCTTAAAGTTATCAAGTGATGGTTTAATCTAGTGAACTGCACAAAATCCTTTTTCATTTTTCCTGGAAAAAAATTGTCTTTGGAAGCCAAGATTCATTTTCCAGGTTATATGTTCTTTCTATCCAAATGAAAAGATACAAAATGCTTCTAGATCAGTGGTACAAGCCAGTTAGTGAAGGAAAAAAAAATTCATTCCCTAAAACCTTCCTTTAAAAGACACCAGCAGCGTTTCCTGTAACAATGAGATCCAGCAATTTAAAACCTATAATCTGCACATTATAAAACCACATTGGAAAATATAGACTTAAAATGGGCTACTGTCTAAAACAACTGCAAAATTCTCTAAAGAAAAAAATAAAAGAACAGGAAGGCTTATACCTTTTCTTTTCAAAATACTATTTGCTTCAATAATAAACACTTTTTTTTATCTTCATGCCCACCAACACAAATGTTGTTAAAAACTACTGTGAATTTCTACAAAAGCAAAAATGCCAATAATTCAATTTTTTTTTTTTTTTTTTTTTTAGGCAGGGTCTAATTCTGTCACCCAGGCTGGAGTGCAGTGACACGATCATGGCTCACTGCAGCCTCAGCCGCCTGGGCTCAAGTGTTCCTCCCACCTTAGCCTCTCAAGTAGCTAGGACTACAGGTGCATGCCACTGTGCCCCACTAATTTTTTTTATTTGTTTTGTAGAAACGGGTTTTGGCTATGTTGCCCAGGCTGGTCTCAAACTCAAGCAATCCGACTACCCACCTTGGCCTCTCAAAGTGCTGGGATCACAAGCGTGAGCCACTGTACCAGCCAATAATTCAACTTTTTAATGAAGGTTACTTTCCTATGAACAAGGGATATGTTAATACAGCCTCTTGTGTTCTCAAGTTTTTACAAATGAGATAACCTGAAAAGATGATCATTCTCTTTCTTCCAGGTGACAACTACTTAATTTAAAGACTTTTTAAAAATATACTGGAAGTAAGGATTGGGATTTTCATAGGCTAACAAGAACCTCACAGAAAAGAAGCAAATAACATCTTATAAAAGGCTTTTAACAAAAAAAAAAAAATGAAAAGTTTAAGGTGGATCCTGTTTCATGATGGGTATTAAAGTATTACAGAATTAACTATTTTTAAACTTCCATCATTCATTCACTCAACATAATTATTAAGTGCCTCAGACCTGTGCCAGTTGTTGGAAATAAGAAAAAACTAGTAGGACATAGCCCAAGGCTTTGGGGGCCTCACAATCTAGTATCTATTAATTTTTTAAAGCCTCTCTTATTTTTAGTGTTCAAGGTAGGGTATGTTCTTAGGGCTAATTTCTTTTCTTTGATTCTTGTCACACAATAGGCACTCGGTAAATATTTGTTGACTGTATTTCACCCTAGCCTCCTTGTTTGCTACTCACGGGAAAGGACTGTACAAATTTCAAGATAATCAAAACTTTAAAAAGAAATCTTCATAAGAACCCACATTTTTCAGATAGATAATAGAGCTAAAGAAAAAAAAAAAGTTAAATGAGCTGCCCAAGGTCAATGGCAGAGCTGGGACGAGAATCTAGGACTCCTGACTTCCAGCTAGTCTCGATCATTTAGGTCTTTGATGATTTAGACCCCTCCACTTCTCTGTGCAACTGGTTCACCCATTTCGCCTGTTCTTTTAACCTAGCCTCACGTGTCTTTGTTCTGACTCTTTAATCATTTGTGCAGCTTCCTCTAAACTCTCACAGGAGTTCAAACTGTCTCCTCAGCTGTGAAGCTCATATTAGCTCTAATTCTAATGTAACTCTTCATATCGACTTTGAAATAAGCTGGAGCTCCCAGGTGGAAGGTAAGGCTTTGCCCATTAATCTGAAACCTGATCCCATCAGTCCTCTTCCTGGAACCCCTCACAGTCCCACGGGTGGGGTGTGGTGGGGTGGGGTGTGTGAGGGGATCTCAGGGCAAGAGGAGCAGGAGTCATTCCACTGGTCTGCTTCCCAGCCAGCCATTCCCACCCCAGCGTCACTCCACTCTGAGAACACACTGGGAATAAAACCAAAAGTCGCCCCTCTTACAAAACCCTAACATCAAAGTTAACAATTTTCATTACATACTTCCTTAGTCTACCACACTTTTATCTCATACCAGTGAAATCTTGGACTAATGCAATTTTTTATTTTTATTTTATACCATCTCTCACCTGCTAGTGCAAGATGAAACTACATCTAATTTTGCTGAATAGGTTATTGTTTACTGATAAAATGTTATGTCTATTTAGTGTTCTCTTGGTTATCAGTATAATTAACAAAATGACTTTTCAGTAAAGATGATCTTTGACTAATAAATCATAATGAATGTGGGCAAGGGTTACAGACACACAAATAAGAGACCAATATCATAGTAGTTGTAGGTAAAAATATTAATCAAGCAATATCAGTGGGAGCAGAGGATGAAAAAAACATACTTTTAAAATAAGACTACCACAAAATATATTTGATCTCAAAATAAGTGTCCTCATGGCACAACATCTAATTACAAATAAAAACCAAGCATAAAAACAGCAGCATCTCTCATATACAAATACAATTTTCTTTGAAAACTCTCATATATGAAAATAAGGAATATCTTCTGTGGGCCCAGAGAAACAATGGATCTATTTAAGAATTAAAATTGTATCACAGCCTTAAGATAATAATAACACACTTACCACTATTTGGAATGGTTTCTTGTGAATTCTTTAATTTTACATTTTGTTTCAATTTCGTCAGTTTTTCTGAATTCACGTCTTCTTTTTTCCCTTTCCTCTTCAGGGGCTGAGGAGATGAGTTGTCACTGGATCCAACTGTTGACTTAGAGTGGCGATCATTTCCCTAAATGGCAAAGTATTAGACCCTTATTATTAGCTAATGAACTCTCAAAAACATTCCCAGTAAATACATGTCATTAACTACTGGTAAGCAGGGCAGGGGCAGGGAGGTGTATTGTCCTGGTTCTGCAACTGTCTATCTTTATACATTAACTCCAAATGTATCTTCCTGGAGGCAAAAGGGTCTAGGAGAGGAAGGAGGATAAAAATAATAGCTAACAATCATTGGGTTCTTAATATGTACCAGGTATTCTATAAAATTGTATTCACTCAATCCTCATGCTAGCCCTAGTTACTAGCTCACTAGCCTCATGCTAGTGAGATAGACACTACTATTACCACGTCACTGTAGAGATCAGCAAGTGGGGTTTAGAGGATAAATCTTGTGTAAGATCCTGTAGCCAGTCAGGGGCAGAGCAGCTGCCTCCAAAACCACTGTAAATCCACTGCCTTAACAATCCTCTCACTCCTGCACCTTTCTGCAGAACCAGCCAGTGTCTATTGGATGAGAAATGGTGACTTCCCCTACAGTGATCAATTAATCTACAAATACCTTCGTAACAAGTTGTCGCTATGGGTGTATAGATGTCATCCTACAAGCAGCCATACACTCTGCTTGTAGAAATTCTCCAATATTAACGAGTCTGTTGGTGACCACCATGGTCTCTAAGAATCGCAAATCCAGAGCCACACACAGACTCAAGAGGCTCACGACCACATGTCCCCACTTGTTCCTGAGGGAGCTGCGCAGCTGCTTGCCCCTACTCCCACAAGGCAGCCTGGGTGATCACACCTTCCATGGTTATCTCTGGTCCCCATGTGTCTCTCACAATGAAGACCCTGTGGCTGCCAAAAGTGGGCTCCTCCACACAAAAGGGAGGTTGAGTTTCGGTGGCTTTTATCACTGGCCCAGTACAGCTCCTGGGGAGCCACATAGCAGCCACTACATTGGGGGCTACTGCAAGGAACAGCTGTGCTGATACTGAGCCACTGCTACAGCAAGAAACTCCCTCTTGCCAGGCATGGTAGCTCCAGCCTGTAGTCCCAGCTACCTAGGAGGCAGAGGTGGGAGGATCATTTGAGGTCAGGAGTTTGAGGCCAGCCTAAGCATAGTCCCAGCTACCTAGGGGGCAAAGGTGGGAGGATCACTGGAGGTCAGGAGTTTGAGGCCAGACTAAGCAACATAGCAGGACCCTCCATCTCTAAAATTAACAATTAAAAAAATCAGCCTGGCGTGCTGGTACATGCCTGTAGCCCCAGCTACTCAAGAGGCTGACACAGGAGGATCACTTGAACCCATGAGTTTGAGATTGCAGTGTGCTGTGATCACACCACTGTACTCCAGCCTGGGCAACAAAGTGAGACCCCATCTCTAACAAAAAGAAAAAAGAGAAAAAGAACAAGAAACTCCCTTACTAAGGCAGCCTTGGCTCTCAGATGCTCAGGTGCTAAACTTACCTGAGAGTATGTGGTGAGAGGCTGCAGGTAGTGGAAAGAATGCAAGTTTTAGAAACCCCAGATACATGGCTGAGAGCTACTGCTCTGCCACTGAACACAGGGACCATGCCTTAACTAACTCTTAATTTCTCTAAGCCTCAGTTTCCTCATCATTTGAGTGGAGTTAATGTACTTGCCTTTAGGTCTAGCATGAGGATGCAATGATAAGGCTTATGGAGTGACTAGTACAGTGCGTGATGTATGGTGTTTGTTTAATAAGTATTAGAATGCTGTCTTCAAGAGCAGAGAGTTAATATTTTTCTTAAAAATCATATCAAACTCACACCGTATTGAGTGTAATCTTTATGCAACATCTGTACTATGCTTGTGTCTGAAAGTAAATGTAGTAATATTAAATAAACAAATCTGCCTAGAAAACTATTATAACTGTTCATTTTAAGCATTTATATATTCAGTCATCCAGAAGCATTTAAATGGATTTAGCCATCATCCAATTAGGAATGGAAAAATTCACAGCCTTACAAATGAAGTTATTTATGCTATTTTGTCATAGCCTACAAGTAAATGAATTATGCATAGGTTTATTAACAGTATGAAAACTTGTCCAAATCTATAACACTTTTTGTGTAATTTAATTTCCTATTCCAACTGCAATTTAAACATACAGTTTCCATTTAATTATTATGGTCACTGCAACCAGGGGTTTTTTTTTTTTTTCTTTTCTTTGAGGATTCTTTCTTGAGAAACTTAAGCTCTGCCATAAACTGTCTGGCAGAAGAAATATACGATTATAGCAGAAGTTCCAAAAGCATCAGCCAAGTCTCATAGTCCCTTTTATTCTCAATGGAGTCTTTCATCCCAAGATTTTAAAATTTTATTTATTTTTTTTTAGATGGAATCTCACTCTGTCATCCAGGCTGGAGTAAAGTGGTGCAATCTCGGCTCACTGCAACCTCCGCCACCTAGGTTCAAGAGATTCTCCTACCTCAGCCTCCCAAGTAGCTGGGATTATAGGTGCACACCACCACACCCAGGTAAATTTTTTTGAATTTTTAGTAGAGACAGGGTTTCACCATGTTGACCAGGCTGATCTTGAACTCCTGACCTCAGGTGATCCACCCACCTCAGCCTCCCAAAGTGCTGGGATTTACATGTGTGAGCCACTGCACATGGTCGATTTTAAAAATTTAAAAGCTTTAGATGAGAAGATCAACCTTTCACACGCCGTTAGCAAGCTTACTAGAATGTTCTGAGATGCTGTTGAACTTGCAAGGACTGGAATGGAACCCAATGAATGGGAAACCCTGTAGCTCAGCAGGATCATTTTCTGCAGTTCTCTGGGGAAAGCATTACTCACAAAGGGGCACGACAAGGGAGACGCAGAAGCCCCACTCTGGAGTGCGTGTCTTTCTAAGTCACCACTCTTGTTTATGAATAGACAGGAAAGTTCCGATTTATCAAATTTCTGATAAAGACACTCGAAAAAGGGTAATTTTGGAGTATCAAGAAAGACTAATTGATTCAAATCACTACATAATGCATAGATTTTGCAGTTGACACTCATGCATTCAATTATTGAGTAATAACTACTTTCCAGGAACTTTGTGAGTAAAAAGTAAACTAAACTAAGACAGGAAAGAATTGTTTTGTAATTAGAAAATTTAAAATAATTGAAATGCTTTTTTTTTTTTTAAAGATAGGCTCTTGCTATGTTCCCCAGGCTGGCCTCAAATTCCTGGACTCAAGCAATCCTCCTACCTCAGCCTCCTCAATAGCTGGGATTACAAGCATGTGTCACTGCACCCAGCTAAATGCTTTTAAGAAAAAAAAAAAAAAAAAAAAAAGGAGGGTGAAGGGGGAGAAGAGAAAAAAGTTGATTCATCTAAAGTGTTCATGTGAAAATACATAATACACTATATATATAAATTATATACACATATAATTCATATATTTGTTTTACACAATTACATAAATTATACATAGTTAGAGAGGGGAAAGGACAAAGGGAGAGAGGGAGCTTTTTCTTTCTGTAAGGCTTCCACATGTGACTTGTAACTCAAATACATAGATAGTCATTGCTATTGGCAGAGCATAAGAGATAGGGGAGTTTTGCTATCTCATACAGCTATCCCAGAAATAAAACGATATCACTGGGTGTCCCTTACATGCTACATATACATTAACACAAATACTTAACAAATTTATAGATAAGTATTATTATCACCATTTTATAGATAAATAAATTAACTTTCTAAGGGTCTGATTTTTCTACTACACTGAAACTTTCTAATGTCCAAAGCACTAAAAACTCCTATTACATAGTATGGTTCCCTAAAACAGCCATCCCAGAAGTAACAAATTATGGCTTTTTCTCAAAGTGGAAGAAATCAAGAAGCAGCCTAATTTGACAGGGTGTCCTATGCAAAAACTAGACCCCTTGAGATACTCCAACCACTGTCCTGCCCTTTGTCTCACATGCATATCAGTATATCCAAAAGGAATACCAAATCTCTGGCTCAAACAAACAAAAAGCCTAAAACAGCCTCCAATCATCCCTCACTCTACCAAGATTGGGATATTTTTTGTTTTGTTTTTTTTTGAGACTCTCACCCTACTGCCCAGGCTAGAGTGCAGTGGTGCTATCTTGGCTCACTGCAACCTCCGCCTCCCAGGTTCAAGTGATTCTCTTGCCTCAGCCTCCTGATTAGCTGGGATTACAGGCACCCGCCACCACACCTGGCTAATTTTTGTATTTTTAGTAGAGAAGGGG
Organism: Homo sapiens; assembly: GCF_000001405.40. Classification (NCBI taxonomy): domain Eukaryota; kingdom Metazoa; phylum Chordata; class Mammalia; order Primates; family Hominidae; genus Homo; species Homo sapiens. The sequence goes on from NC_000006.12 coordinate 24,282,436, forward strand.
TTTCACCATGTTGGCCAGGCTGCTCTCAAACTCCTGACCTCAAATGATCCTCCCCACTTGGCATCCCAAAGTGCTGGGATTACAGGCGTGAGCCACCACACCTGGCCAAGATTGGGATACTTCTTAAACAGTTCCCTAGGCTCTTTCCAACTAGATCCAACCAACTCAGGTTTTTTTCATTAGCATAAAAACTCATTTCCAGTCCCCATGAAAATGTGCCAAAAACATATAGACCAAAAAACATCAAATTTAAAATAATTTCGTGAGAGGTTTGCCTCAGTGAGCAGCCTTCACGATGTATTTCATGGGTGCACCCAGAGACATTATAAGCTGGGGGTGGGGGGTAGGGACTAGACGGGGACTGCACCTGACATTTCTCTCATCTGCATATCTGGTGATGACAAGAGTAAGAAGCCCTTTTACCTATACCAGCCTCAGTTTCCCCCATGGCAAAATGGAGTTTTGGAGTATAAGGAATTCATCTTAATATGTGTATAACTTGCTTCACAGTGACATTGTGATACTTGAATAATAACGAAATTTTTTTGTCAAAACCGTAGAAATCATAATATTTGATCCTGTAAACTACTGACCATAAGATGTATAAGCCAAATGGTAATAAGGACAACAAAAGATCATTTAGTCGTTGGCTTTCACTTTCAAATACTTTCCTAATTTTTTCGTCTTTTCCGATAGAGGGTGCTATGATTCTACATGGTGTCACCTTGTCACTAGAAAACAGCCTTCTGCAGATGGGTTTATTCTTCAAGCTCAGCGAATTTAAGATAATTTATTTACATCTTCCTTTTGTTTTTAAGGCTAGAATCACAACTTAAAATTTTTCTCAACATGCTAATTTCTGTGACTCCCGCAGCACTGAGGCTATAAAAGGAATGACTTCTGGTCTGTCTTGCTTTGCACAAGGCATTCCCCAGGCTCCCTGACCAACTCAGTTACGCACCAGCAGGGGTCCCTGTGTACACTATGGCAGCTGCTTTCTCTCTTTCTCTCTCAAGCTCTACCAGTCCCTCATCCACACTCCCTTCTATATGCAAAAGAGCAATTCCTAGAAAGCCATGTAGGGAAAAATAAATTTCTAAAACTCTAGTTCTGTGTCCCCTTTGATTTGCATCATGAATTTAGGGTGCTTTCCCCATGGATTTTGCAGTGGTTCCTACAGCCAGAAGCTAAGCTCTCCCCACACAGTCCCCTTCACTCACACCCCTCCTCGCAGTGCCAGGCAGCTAATGATCTATAAAATGCATGCATTCTCCTGGGAACCAATTCATTAAAGGAAAGGAGTAAATTAATCCTGTTAAAAATCGAGCTTGTGACTTTGGATTTACTGGCATAGGAAGTTCTGTGTGGCTCAATGCCAAACATTCACACACTGCCTAAGCCGAGTTTGTGAGAACCTACCAGGCACTGGGCACTGTGCCAGGGGTTATTCTCCTCTACTCAAACGTGACCTCCTGAAAGAGGCCTTTCCAACCACCCAGCTGAAATAGCACCCTCTCTCACTTCCTCTTCCCATGTCTTCATGTATTTTTATTCATGTTTATCCCTGGTGTATATCACACGTATTGTGCATTTGTTTCTGGAATGTAACCTCCGTGCATTTAGTACTTCAGAATCTCTGGGCCCTGAAGCACCAGAACAGTCCCAGGACATCATATGAACTCAATAAATAGTTGTTGGATCAGCGAATCAGTCAATGACAATATACTCAAAGAAGAGTTATAATAGATGTCCGCCCCCACTGCGGCCACCTAGCGGACTCACCTATATCACATACCTGTACGTGTCCCACTGCCTCCTGCTTCTATTCTTGCCCCAAACCATTTCTCTAGAGATACCACAGCCAGAATGAGCACTTAAAAATGTAAAGCAGGCCAGGCGTGGTGGCTCACGCCTCTCATCCCAACACTTTGAGAGGCCGAGGCAGGTGGATCATGAGGTCAGGAGTTCAAGACCAGCCTTGCCAAGATGGTGAAACCCCGTCTCTACTAAAAAAAAAAATACAAAAATTAGCCAGGCATGGTGGCGGGCGCCTGTAATCCCAGCTACTCGGGAGGCTGAGGCAGGGAATTGCTTGAACCCGTGGGGCAGAGGTTGCAGTGAGCCGAGATCATGCCACTGCACTCCAGCCTGGGCAACAGAGTGAGACTCTGTCTCAAAAAAAAAAAAAAAAAAATTTTTTTTGAAGCAAATTATATCACTCCCTCCCTATAACCCTCAAATGGCACCCCATCAAGAAATAAAATCCAAACTCTTTGCATGCCTATATGATTGAGCCCTGCCTGCCTCTCCGATTTCATTCACGGCCTTCTTTCTGCCCTCCTCACATGCCAGGCTCTTTAGCAAGGGCCTGTGTGACTTTGTTTCCTCTGCCTTGGATGCTCTTCTTCCCCGGCCTCATCCCTGGCACAATTGGCTGTGTTAGATATCATTAAGGTCTCAGTTTCAGACAATTTTATATAAATCAATGCCCTGCTACATTTTATTTTCCCCATAGCATTTATCACCATTTGAAACTATTTGTACATTTGTTTACTAGTTGATCGTCTGTCTACTCCCATTCATCCCATCCATACCCTCCCCCCCACACACACATACATGCACACACACACACTAGAATGAAAGCACCATAAATCTAAGTCCTCATCTATCTACCACTATACGCTCAGTGCCTACAGTTCCTGGCACTTAGTAGGAGCTCAGTGAGTATGTTTGGAATGGATGACGGATGGAGTGGATGAATACAGGGTGCTACGGGAACACTGTGGAAAGAGGGACAAACTCTGCTATCATTTTATTTTTCTAAGTCATAGCATGGAACTACGTTTGACAACTTTGCTTTCTATGGGATGCAAATATACCTTATAACTGAGTCTTTGCTTAACGTCACTTCCTCCATGAGGCCTCCCCTGACACACCTATCTAAATGTGTTTTTCTTTTATTGTCTTTCATATTACTGTGCACTTTTCTTTCATTTTTATACTTCATAAGTATCCATTGATTAATGGAATCGCTTGTTTCACTTTTGTCTACTCAAGTAGACCACGAGTATCAGAGAGAGCATCAGATCTTTGCGCTCATTGCTGTATCCCTGGGGCTTACTACTGTGCCATACACCTGGAAAATTCAATCATCAGATGAATTGATGTGATGACATTGATGTATCACAGTATTCACAGCACAGTCTAAAAAACTTACAAATGAGCAAGAAATAAAAATTGCATGTGTGTACCTACACATGCATTTTAAAGCAGGAAATGCTCTACACATTTTTAATTAAAATTTTAGTTTTTCAAATTTCAGAATACTAAACATATCATTCCAAAGTTCAGTCACTGTGAATACAAAGAGTTGGGTCATGACTTTGGTCCTGACATCGACTTTCCCTGTGACTTGGGATCAATTTATTGATCAATTTATTCAATTACAATCGGTCTCTGTAATCATTCCTCTAGCTGCACTGTGAGAATTAATAAGCTAATATCTATACAGTACACAGAAGGGATTCTGCTACAAAGTCCTAAAGAAAAACAAAAAAAGCAAAATACAATTTCCAATCCCTAAATTCATGAGTTTTATTTAGCTTTATAGTTGCTCTGATATTGTTTTCACCTCCTGAAATATTCTTCTCACTCCTCTTTGACCCCGCACCTGTGAAGTTAGGTTGCCTCAAGCCTGGGCCCTCTGTAATTCTCACCGCACCATCTTCCTCTAGGAGCCCCTCATCCATTCTCTCACTTGGCAGCACCAGTGAGACCTGCTCTGTTCAAGCTGTGCTGGGTGATGAAGTACCACAGTGATGCTACGTCTGCTGTTCAACTAGGACCATTACATGGTTGTTCAAATCTACAACTCAGGCCAGGTGCGGTGGCTCACACATGTAATCCTAACACTTTGCGAGGCCAAGGCAGGCCGATCGCTGGAGCCCAGGACTTTGAGAACAGCCTGGGCAACAAGGTGAAACTCTGTCTCCACAAAAAACACAAAAATTAGCCAGGCATGGTGGCACATGCCTGGAGTCCCAGCTACTCAGGAGACTGAGGTGAGAGGATCGCTTGAGCCTGGGAGGTCAAGGCTACAGTAAACCATGATCATGCCACTGTACACCACCCTGGGTGACAGAGTGAGACCCTGTCTCAAAAAAAAAAAAAAAACCACCTGCAACTGCAGCTTCAGTCCTGATGTCCTTGGCAGGCCTCAGCTCTGCCATTTACAACTGCTTGCAGCACACTTTCAACTAAGTTTCCTGATGATACTTCCAACTCAACATGTTTGAAATTACGTAGGTCATTCTTTGCCCTGGCTGCCTTCTTCTTGGCCATAGAACTACCATTTTCTCAAATTCCAAGCTTAAAAACCTCAGTTATCTTTGGCCCCAATTTCTCCATTAACCCCTTGTATCCAATCATCACACAAATCCTTTGTTCCTTGGTTTCTTCCAGAATAATCATCACTTCCTGCTGCCTCTACCACCTCCCCAGTCTAGGCTCCTTTCCCCTCATACCAAGATAGTTGCAACTGCCTTACAACCATCGACTTATCTATGGCTTCTCACCACGTGAAGTCTTCCTCCATGTAAAAGATCTGATGCTCCCAAAATGGACTCAGATTAATATTCTCACCTCTCAGAAGCCCTTGTGGGCTGCCCTCTATTCAAGGACAAACACTAGACTCTTCATTCTGCTATTCAAGGTCATGTAATAACTGTCACCACCTACCATGTCAGGCACATCAGCCCCCACACCAAAAAGGACCATCTGTTCCAGTCAGCCTAAGGGACTCATTGTCCCGGGGCTCGGGAGCAGGAGCTCTGAGCTGGCTGTGTGGATGCAATTCCTCCCCTCCTCCCCTGCCATTTGCTCAGTAGGAGCCTTTGTTTGTATTGTATTGTATTTTATGTTATTTTGTTTCATTTTTTTGAGACAGGGTCTCACTCTGTTGCCCAGGCTGAAGTGCAGTGGGGCAATCTCTGCTCACTGCAACCTCTGCCTTCAATGGGAGCCTTTGAACCTGTCACTTCTACTCTGTGTACTTCCTTTTTTCATTCCTTTTTAAATGTAGATGACAAAGATGCCTGCCTTGTGGGGTGAGGTTAAATAAATCACTACTGTAAAGAGCTTGGCATAGTGTTGAGCCCACAAGGGCCCGGTAAATGTCAGCCAGCGTGACTGCTTCTTCGCATGCCCACGTCTGCCCCAACCATCTCACCCTCCCTTGGATCTGAAGGTCCTCTCCCCTCATCTACCTTTTTCTGAATTTTAAACAGTTTCAAAGGCAGAGCTCAAATTCAACTTCCTCTGTGGACTGCTGCCATTGTACATTCAGTCCTTCCCTCCCTCTCATGGTCACCAATCTCTAGATATTTGATGTTTAGCATTAGCTTGTTTGTTGCCTTTTTAAGCTATCTTCTTTATTTCAAGTAGATTGTAAGTTGCTTGAGGGCAAGAGCTCTATTGATTTTTATTTTATTTTTGTCATAATAGTATAAGAGTCTCAGCTAATGAGTTCTTAATATCTGTTATGCTGAGTTCGGCACTACTTATGTACACAAAATTATTTGTCTTTCTTTCAAGAATTTCACATGATATAACCAAAAAAAAGGAGGGATCTAAATCATTAGGAGACAATATCATTGCCTAGAAATCATTTACTTTACAAAATACCAAAATAAGAATGTTGCTTAATTAATTCAGGGTGTGGGTGGAAGATGTCAAATCAGTTCTGATCACAACTTGTCGGGCAATTCAACCAAAAGGGAAGAAAGAGAAGCCTCAGCCAGGAAGAACTGCCAAGGCAACGCTCTGGCATGACATGGAGCTCACCCCATCAGGGAGCGCAGACTGAAAACACAAGAAGGTTAGGAAATTACCTACTAAATGCTGTCGTTACTCCCACAGAGTAGGTATTTAATAAATGTTTGCTGAATTAACAAACCATGAATAAATGATAAATGGAAAAGATTCAGATGGCAAACTAAATACCTAGAACAATTCTCAATCTTTTCAAGGAATATTAATGAGGATTATACCCCTTTTCTCAGCGAAACTTCCCTTTTAGTCTTCGTTAAAGATAGAAACCAAGACTGGATGATCATTGATGTGACCTACTACAATGGTTCTTACAGTTTAAAGTATTATTGCCAAGATTTTAAGTGCAATATAAATTATGTCAGGTGTATATACAAGGAAAAAATTTTAAAATACATATTCTAAAAAATGTTAGCTCTGTTTAGGACCATAAGTGTAACATTAAAGTTCTAGTGCTGTTTCACATAATTGGTTATACACCACGAAGCGGCTAAGTTTTATCTCTTGGAACTTAATTGAAGCCCAAAGGACAGTCTCTTTGTATCATATAAAAATATAGAACATCAACGAGGAAAGCATCTGATACTTACACTCCCTTTAGACTTTCTGGATCCTACAATAGGAGGTAGTGAAGAAGCTTTCTGACTGTGGAAACAAATTGCAATTTAGAAATCTGAATGTTGTTTACAAATAATGTACAATGCAAGATAATTATCATCCCCACCTGGAAGTCAACTGTTTACTGCTGTGTTTCACAAAAGGTAGATAACATACACTTTAACACATACTTTCCCAATTTCACAAAGATCATAACATTTCCAAATTCCATCCCAAAAGATTTGTAATGTTTTCCTGTATAATATTTTAATCAATGCTTACAAGTAAACTTTTAGTATCACCTGAAATTTGTATAGCATTTTTATCCAGATCCCAAAGTGTCCTATTTGCATTTCAAAAAATCATTTCCAAATGTGAATAATGATTTTTCCAGACTGAGTTAAAAACAAATTTCCTTCGTTTCTATGATGTCTTCTATGTCTACCTCTGATAGGAGAGCAGAGGTAAAACACTGGCATTTGCATTCAGGTAGTTTTTAAACAAGTCGTCCTCACCAAAAAGTTAAAAATTATTTTAGGCTGTAAGAATAAGTTGTTTTGTTGATATCTGTATTATTAGGAAAAGACCCATCTTGAAACCCAACTGAATCTCTCCAAAAATAGAAGGACACATATATAAAAAAAATTCTTATTAATTGTATGAGAAAGGCCAACGTGAGTTACAGTTTTCTTATTACCATCAGGTACACACTGTTGATCACAGCAGGTTAACCTAGGGCTGCTTAGCAAAGATGGCTAAAGATTTGATTTCATGGATGGGTAAGGTTGGTTAGCGATAAGTCAGCTGGTAAATAATTCAAAGGTGCTAGAAAACCATGTGCTCTTGCATAGTTCAAACACCACCCCTGAAATTCCACTTCATCTATTACTTATTTAGAAGCTCTTGGCCAGCCTCTCCATCAAGTTACACAAATTGTGAATTAATTGCAAACACACTGGTGATATTCTGCTCTACTTCTGCGGACGACAACCAAAAAAAATTTTTTTTTGCAATGGCAAGGTGGCCACAGAATCTCTGGGAAAAGCAACAGAGATGGATCCCTGGGCACCATGAGCAAGCCGAGAGATCCTGCAGCATGGGCCAGAGCTCTTCTTTTTTTTTTTTTTTTTTTTTTTTTTTTTTTTTTTTTTTTGAGACGGAGTCTCGCTCTGTCGCCCAGGCTGGAGTGCAGTGGCGGGATCTCAGCTCACTGCAAGCTCCGCCTCCCGGGTTCACGCCATTCTCCTGCCTCAGCCTCCCAAGTAGCTGGGACTACAGGCGCCCGCCACTACGCCCGGCTAATTTTTTGTATTTTTAGTAGAGACGGGGTTTCACCGTTTTAGCCGGGATGGTCTCGATCTCCTGACCTCGTGATCCGCCCGCCTCGGCCTCCCAGAGTGCTGGGATTACAGGCGTGAGCCACCGCGCCCGGCCCAGAGCTCTTCTTGAGTGACTCCGCAGTGTATCTCCTAGGCTGAAATAAAGCATCTTTCACAAATATATGACATTTCATGGAGAAAAACTGTTTACGGTATATTGTAATTAAAAATATAATCCTTAAAATTTTACATGAATTAACTGTACACCCATCCTCTCTATTTGCATAAGTGGGATTATGTTGTTTTTATATTTTACAGTTATTATTAAAACAAGTATAAAATATTATGAGTTTTTTAACACTCTTGGATGTTTCTATCCAAACCAACTGAAAAGTTATTTGGTCTAGCAACTATTAAGACACAAAAACTTCTAATAATGTTTGCTGTAGAGAAGCTCATTGCCCTGTATCTTCTTCACAATAATAAATTTTTGCATTTACTTATAAATTTCATGCATGCTAAAAAAAAACCATGTAGTCTTTCATAACTTCCCAGAAATTATATTTTTGTTCAATAGCTTTCAGTCTCCCATCATGGCAATAAAAACAAAGATCAATGTATACCATATATGCTTTCCATTCTAAGTAATAAATAAGATTATCAATTACATAAAATATAATGGTGGTCAGCAAAAGACCCAATGCTATTTCAAGTGGTAACTAAAGCATGAGGAGTGGTAAGGAGTAAGACTTACCCAAAAGGCCTTCTCATCGTTGACTTGTCAAAAAGTAACTCACTGTAAGGCAGTTTCTTAAACTTATCTCTGCCAACAGCCACATAAAACTGCCCATTCTCCAACTCTGCTCCACTCTCAACAAGTTTTCCTTCTAAAGTATAAAGCCTGTCGAAAATATGAACACCAACAATTAGAATTTTAACCAACATTTAAAGAATTGCTTAAGATTACAAAGTATTCTGGATGTCAAAAAAATTAAAATTACATAGTAAATAAAAACATTCTGTACTTAATTTAGCTCATTTGTTACTATCCTCATTATTGCATTATAGATGCCTCAAAGTTATCAGATTCCACTAAATACTAATGTTATAATGCAGATACAATGACTATCTTGCTGTACAGGGTTTCACCCCAGTGAGTCTGATGATCTGGCATAAGGATCCCTATTGCTGCCATATTAAAATTTTAGAGGAGAAAAATTAACTTGTACAGATCACAGTGCTTTAAATAAAGCTCTGTTTCCATTGAACATTGATTCTTCTATTTATATTTTGTTAATACTTTTTTTTTTTTTTTTTTTTTTTTTTGAGACGGAGTCTCGCTCTGTCGCCCAGGCTGGAGTGCAGTGGCAGGATCTCGGCTCACTGCAAGCTCCGCCTCCCGGGTTCATGCCATTCTCCTGCCTCAGCCTCCCAAGTAGCTGGGACTACAGGCGCCCGCCACTACGCCCGGCTAATTTTTTGTATTTTTAGTAGAGACCGGGTTTCACCGTTTTAGCCGGGATGGTCTCGATCTCCTGACCTCGTGATCCGCCCGCCTCGGCCTCCCAAAGTGCTGGGATTACAGGCATGAGCCACCGCGCCCGGCCTTGTTAATACTTTTAAATTTTATTTTCTTAGCATATTCATCAGGCTGGCAAGCTTCTGACCACATTCTGTGTAAGAACAGCCCTCAACCAAAATATTACATACAAACACACAGAGAACCGGGTCAGGAACAATGGGGTGAGAGGGCAGGAGGTAAAAGAACCCATTGCCAGTGTTAATGATGCAGAACTGCATAGCATTTGTGCTTCTTTCTTTTTTTTTGCCGTCCCTACTAAGCAAAACAAGAGTGAACATTATATCTTCCCAGAATCGAGCAGTTTCACAGTAACCTTCCTTTACTGTAAAACTGCTGCTACGAGCTACAATTAATATGTTACTTATTAAAAGAACAGTCATAATTTTACCAGATGATTTTAAATGTCCACAAAAATTTTTTTAAAGAACAGGAAAATAAGTATTAGAAAACTAAACCAGAAAGACAGTGCATATTTTTTAAGGTTATAAGCAAGAGCTATTAATAAATGGAAGGATTTCAGTATCATCAAAAAGCTTTCTGTCTTCCTATATTACATAATAAGATTAAATGTCATTTACAGACGCAAAAAAAAAAACCCATTGACCTGTCAGCTTGTTTCCTGATGACATAAATGGCCATATCATACAGAACCATGAAATACAATGAAAATAGCCACCAATAGCCACCAACATTCCTGAAATGTATTTGTGTTTTTAGTTAGTATACAGATGGTAAAGTCTCTTTCTTTATAACATTGTACCTCTACTCCTAACAAGTCTAAATATCAACACTTAACCCAGAATTCTATGTTTTTTGCCTTAACTTAAGCTGGACATGGTGGCCTATGCCTATAGTTCCAGCTACTTGGAAGGCTAAGGCAAGAGGATCGCTTGAGCCCAGGAGTTCAAGACCAGCCTGGGCAACATAGTAAGACGCTATCTCAAAAAACACTTGACCAGGGTTTCTGAATACTGGCATTATTGACATTTTGGACCAGATAATTCTTTGCTGGAAAGGTGAGTAGGCTGCCCTGTACATTGTAAGATGTTTATTAGCAGCACCTTTGGCCTCCACCCACTAAACAGTAGCAGTAGCCACCCCATCCCCAGTTGGGACTACCAAAAATGGTTTCAGGCACTGCCAAATGTCCCCAAGGGGCAAAATCATACCTGCTTGAGAGCCAATGGCCTATATCCAAGCACTATTTTTCTACTTTTCTTCAAAATAGTTATATCTCAATCAGTAGTAATTTCATAGCTAGAAATTAAAAACCAGCATAGCTGTGGACTCTGGAAACAGCCAAGATTTGACTTGTTTCCTCTGCAGGTAAGTAAAACGCAGTGAATAAATTCTTTTTGTTAATAGAGACAAGGTTTTGCTATGTTGCCCAGGTTGGTCTCGAACTCCTGGGCTCAAGTGATCCTCCCAAGGTGCTGGGATTACAGACGTGAGCCACCACACCTGGCCCAGCACTGAATAAATTCTAATTCATGATTTTAGCCTTCTTTTATATAACTGTTGTTGCTCTACTTTCTTCTTTTGCTACAAACACAAGAAACATAAAAAGCAAGTTCAGTAAATTTTTATGGGATGCTTTTTATATATGAATATACTGATGCATAGGGAGGGGCCAACCATAAGATTTATTAACGTTAAAGGAAAACGGTCATATCCCAAGAGAGCAGCAACCAAATCTCTCATATCTGCCATTACATTAAGAATTTCACCTATCCTAAATATATACGCACCCAACACAGGAGCACCCAGATTCATAAAGCAAGTTCTTAGAAATCCACAAAGAGACTTAGACTCCCACATAATAGTGGGAAACTTCAACACTCCACTGACAGTATTAGATAGATCATAAAAGCAGAAAATTAGCAAAGATATTCAGGACCTGAACTCAACCTTGGACAAAATGGATGTGATAAACCTCTATGGAACTCTCTATCCCAAAACAGAATATACATTTTTCTTATTGCCACATGGCACATACCCTAAAATTAACCACAAAACCAAACATAAAACAATCCTCAGAAAATGTAAAAGAATCAAAATCATACCAAACACACCCTCAGATCGCAGCACAATAAAAATAGAAACCAAGACTTTAAAAATTGCTCAAAACCATGCAATTACATGGAAATTAAAAAACTTGCTCCTGAGTGACTTTGGGGTAAATAATAAAATTAAGGCAGAAATCAAGAAGTTCTTTGAAACTGAGAACAAAAATACAACATACCAGAATCTCTGAGACATAGCTAAGGCTGTGTTAAGAGGAAAATTTATAGCACTAAATGCCCACATCAAAAAGTTGCCTGGGCATGGTGTCTTATGCCTATAATCCCAGCACTTGGGAGGCTGAGCCGGGCAGATTGTCTGAGCTCAGGAGTTTGAGGCCAGCCTGGGCAACATAGTGAAACCCCGTCTCTACAAAAAATACAAAAAAATTAGCTGGGTATGGTGGCACACTCCTGTAGTTCCAGCTGCTTGGCTGAGGTGGGAGGATCGCTTGAGCCCAGGAGGTTGAGGCTGCAATGAACAGAGATCATGCCACTGCACTTTAGCCTGGGCAACAGAGTGAGACCCTGTCTCCAAAAAAAAAGTTAGAAAGATCTCAAATGAACAACCTAATAACACAACTAAAAGAACTAAAGCAGCAAGAACAAACCAACTCCAGAGCTAGCAGAAGACAAGAAATAACCAAAATCAGAGGTGAACTGAAGGAGATCGAGACATGAAAAACTATTCAAAAGATCAATGGATCCAGGAGTTGGTTTTTAAAAAAAAATTAATAAGATACATAGGCCACCGGCTGAATTAATAAAGGAGAAAAGAGAGAAGATCCAAATGAACACAATTAGGAACGACAAATGGGATGTTACCACTGACCCTACAGAAATAAAAATAACCATCAGAAACTACTATGAACACCTCTATGCACACACTAGAAAACCTGAAAGGGATGGATAAATTCCTGGACACATACACCCTCCCAAGACTGAACCAGGAAGAAATTTATTCCCTGAATAAACCAATAACAAACTCTTAAAATTGAATCCGTAATGAATAGCCTACCGATCAAAAAAAGCCTCGGACCAGACAGATTCACAGTCGAATTCTACCAGATGTACAAAATGTGGTACCATTTCTAGTGAAACTATTCCAAAAAATTGAGGAGGAGGAACTCCTCCTCAACTTGTTCTATGAGGCCAGCATCATCCTGATACCCAAACCTGGCAGAGACACAACAAAAAAGAAAGCTTCACGCCAAGTTTGTTGTCCTTGATGAACATCAATACAAAAGTCCTCAACAAAATACTTGCAAACTGAATCCAGCAGTACCTCAAAAAGCTAATCCACCATGATCAAATAGGCTTTATCCCTGGGATGCAAGGTTCATTCAACATATGCAAATCAATAAACGTGATTCACCACATAAACAGAACTTAAAACAAAAACCATATGATTATCTCAATAGATGCAGAAAAGGCTTTCGATAAAATTCAACATCCCTTCAAGTTAAAAACTCTCAATAAACTAGGTATTGAAGGAACATAAAATAATAAGAGCCATCTATGAGAAACCCACAGCTAACATCACACGGAATGGGCAAAAACTGGAAGCATTCCCCTTGAAAACCAGCAGAAGAAAGAGATGCCTTCTCTCGCCACTCCTATTCAACATAGTATTGGAAGCCCTTCCTAGGGCAGTCATCAGGCAAGACAAAGAATTAAAGGGCATCCAAATAGGAAAAGATGAAGTCCAAACTATCCCTGTTTGCAGATGACATGATTCTATATCTAGAAAATCTCACAGTCTCGGCCCAAAAGCTCTTTCAGCTGAGAAATAACTTCAGAAAAGTTTCAGGATACAAAATCAATGTACAAAAATCAGTAGCATTCCTATACTCCAACAACACCCAAGCTGAGCACCATATCAGGAGCACATTTTCATAATTGGCACAAAAAATAAAATAAAATATCTAGGACTACAGCTAACCAGGCGGGTAAAAGATCTCTACAATGAGAACTACAAAACACTGCCTAAAGAAATCAGAGATGACACAAACAAACAGGAAAAAACAGCCCATGGTCATGGATAGGAAGAATTAGTATCATGAAAATGGCCATATACTGCCCAAAGCAATTTACAGATTCAATATTACTGCTATCAAACTACCATTAACATTCTTCACAGAACTAGAAAAAACTATTTTAAAATTTAAATGGAACCAAAAAAGAACCTAAATAGCCAACACAATCCTAAGCAAAAAGAACAAAGCTGGAGCCATCCTGTTACCCAACTTCAAACTATGTTACATGGATTCAGTAACCAAAACAGCATGGTATTGGGACAAAAACAGACAATGTAGACCAACGGAACCAAATAGAGACCCCAGAAATAACACAGTACACCTACTTCCATCTGTTCTTCGACAAAACTAACAAAAACAAGCAATGGGGAAAGGAGTCCCTATTCAATAAATGGTGCTGGGATAACTGGCTAGCCAGATACAGATGACTGAAATTGAACTCCTTCCTTATACCATACACAAAAATCAACTCAAAATGGATTAAAGACTTAAACATAAAACGCAAAACTATAAAAGCCCTGGAAGACAACCTAGGCAATACCATCCTGGGCAAAGGAACTGGTAAAGATTTCATGACAAAGACACCAAAAGCAATCAAAACAAAAGCAAAAATTTACCAATTGGGAAACTTAAGAGCTTCTGCACATCAAAAGAAACTATCAACAGAGTAAACAGATAAACTACAGAATGGGAGAAACTTTTGCAAACTATGCATCTGACAAAGGTCTAATATCCAGCATCTATAAGGAACTTAAACTTACAAGAAAAAAAACAACCCCATTAAAAAGTGGGCAAAGGACATGAACAGACACTTTTCAAAAGAAGACATACTTGCAGCCAACAAGCATATGAAAAAGAGCTCAATATCACTTATCACTAGAGAAATGCAAACAAAAAGCACAATGATACACCATCTCATGCCAGTCAAAATGGTTATTATTAAAAAGTCAAAAAATAATAGATGCTGGAAAAGCTGCAGAGAAAAGAGAATGCTTATACACTACTGGCAGAGTGTAAACTAGTTCAATCATTGTGGAAAGCAGTGTGGCAATTCCTCAGAGAGCTAAAAACAGAACTACCGTTTGACCCAGCAATCCCATTACTGGGTATACACCCAAAAGAATATAAATCATTCTACCATAAAGACCCATGCACACATATGTTCATTGCAGCACTATTCACAGTAGCAAAGAAAAGGAATTAAACTAAATGTCCATCAGTGGTAGACTGGATAAAGAAAAAGTGGTACATATACACCATGGAATACTATGCAGCCATAAAAAAGGGTCAGATCATGTCCTTTGCAGGAACATGGAAAGAGCTGGAGGCCATCATCCTTTACAAACTAACACAGGAACAGAAAACCTCACACCACATGTCCTCACTTACAAGGGGGAGATAAATGAGGACACATGCGCACAAAGAGAAGAACAACAGGCACTGGGGCCTACTTGAGGGTAGAGGGTGGGAGGAGAGAGAGGAACAGTAAAAGTAACTATTGGGTACTAGGCTTAGTACCTGGGTGACAAAATAATCTGTACAACAAACTACCGTGACACAAGTTTACCTATGCAACTAACCTGCACATGTACCCGTGAACCTAAAATACAAGTTTAAAAAAAAAGAAGTTTCTCTAAGTATTCAAGTGTTTGAGCAACATAACTATACTTTCATTTCTATATTTTTACTTGAATATATTTTATTTCTGTGTGTAAATTTTTTCATATTAATATATGTATGAATAGGTATATCTGGCTGTGAAATTACCTGTATATACCTTTGTGTCCTTTTTATTACTTATAGGGTGGATTTACATTTATGTATATGTCAAATGTCAAAATTATATATGTAAAAAAAATTGTAATTATTGAGATCTGCCTTTACTTATGACACCAAAATAAAATCCAACAAAATCAAAGGTTTAAATAAAATTTTAAAATACAAGGAGAAAACATAGGAGAATATTCTTATAATCTTGGAGTAAGGAAGATCTAAACAAGTCATAAAACGTAGTGATTATAAAGATTGAAAATTAGACTGCATTAAAATTTAAGATATTTGTATGAAAAAAGAAATGTAAAGAAAATGCAAACTGGAAGTGTACTTAAAACATATCAGAAAAGGCCAATTTCCCCAATATGTCTAGAGCAGTGGTCCCCAACTTTTTTAGCACCAGGAACTGGTTTTGCGGAAGATAATTTCTCCACAGACGGAGTGGGGGACGGGATGGTTATGAGATGACATTGTTCCACCTCAAATCATCAGGAATTAGATTCTCATAAGGAACACACAACCTAGATACCTCGCATGCACAGTTCACAATAGGCTTCATGCTCCTATGAGAATCTAATGCTGCTGCTGATCTGACAGGGGGTGGAGTGCAGGCGGTGATGCTCGCCTGCCACTCACCTCCTGCTGTGCAGTCGGGTTCCTAACAGGCCACGGAATGGTACCAGTCCATGGCCTGGGGGTTGGGGAACCCTGGAGAGTGCCTATAAATCAATAAGATAAACGTGCAAAGGCCATGACAGACAGTTCAGATACAATGGATATAAATATGTGGCATTTACTTACAGAGTACCTTGGTCATTTAGAACACAGGCTCTGGAGCCGGAATGCCTACTAGGCTTGAATCCCAGCCCTGCTACTCAGTATCTCCATAACCCTGGGCAAATAATTTTCCTGCTCTATGTCTCACATCTCATGTCTATTAAAAGAGAATAGAAACACTACCTACCTCATAGGGTCGCTCAGTTAATTAAGTCAAAAATATAAAGCACTGAGAATAATGCCTGACACATAAGAAATAGTCAATAGATGATGTTGTATATTAAATAAAAATCCCAAAACAATGAAATACTATTTTCACGCAACATGAGTGAAAAGACTAAATGTTAGTTTTACTAGACAGGTAACAGTATGACAAACAGGCCCGTTCATAGACTTCCGGTGAAAATATAAATTAGAATAAACTCTTTGGAAGGCAATTGGCAGTATCTATCAAAATGTTAAAGGCATTTGAAACTTAATACAACAATTCAACTTCTAGACTTTTATATCCTGATAAACTTTGCTTATACAAAAAGACATGTACATGTAATAGCAAAAGATTAGAAATGACCTAAATATCCATCAAACCCAAAGGAAAATAAATCATTCTACCAAAAAGAAGCATGCACTGGTACGTTCACTGCCGTGCTATTCACAATAGCAAAGATGTGGAATCAGTCTAGGTGCTCCATCAATGGTGGGCTGGATAAAGAAAATATGGTGTATATACACCATGGAATACTACGCAGCCAGGAAAATACTGAAATCCTGTCCTTTGCAGCAATATGGATGCAGCTGGAGGCCATAATCCTAAGCAAATTAATGCAGGAACAGAAAACCAAATACTACTTATTCTCACTAGTAAGTGGGAGCTTAAATATTGGGTACAGATGGACATAAAAATAGGAACAGTAGATACTGTTGACTGCTAGAGAGGGGAGGGAAATAGAGTGAAAAACTACTTATTGGGTACTATGCTCACTTCCTGGGTGACAACATCTGTACCCGAAATCTCAGCATCATGCAATATACCCATGTAACAAACCTGCAAATGTATTCCCTGAACCTAAAATAAACAAATGAAATTATAAAAAAGAGGTAACTGGTCTAAAAAATTAAGTTGGGAACACTCATTCTATTTTATAAAATGAGATGTTGCCCAACTAAAAATTTCTTAATGAAAAAATTAGGATTTGGAATACTTTGTGTTAAAATAGAATACTTTGGGCCAGTCGCAGTGGCTCACACCTGTAATCCTAGCACTTTGGGAGGCCAAGGCGGGTGGATTGCTTGAGGTCAGGAGTTTGAAACTAGCCTGGCCAACATGGTGAAACCCAGTTTCTACGAAAAAAAATTTTTTTTAATTAGATGGGCATGGTGGCAGGCGCCTGTAATCCCAGCTGTTTGAGAGGCTGAGGCAGGAGAATCACTTGAACCCAGGAGGTGGAGGTTGCAGTGAGCCAAGATCCCACCATTGCACTCCAGTCTGGGCAACAAGAGTGAAACTCCATCTCAAAAAAAAATAAAAATAAAAATAAATAAAATACTTTGTAGTCATTAAAAATAATAAAATAGAGGTATCTGTGCTGATAAGAATAATCTCTAAGATTTATTATAGGAAAAAATCAAGGGGGTGTTTGTATACATGTATTTATTTATTTATACATATGTATGCATTTCCATTTAATGTTTTTAAAAAGTGGTCCAGGTACAGTGGCTCACACCTGTAATCCCAGCACTTTGGGAGGCCAAGGCGGGCGGATTGCTTGACCCCAGGAGTTCAAGACCAGCTTGGGCAACATGACAAAATCTAATCTCTACAAAAAAGAAAAAAAAAACAAAAGCTAGACGTTGTGGTGCATGCTACTTGGGAGGTTGAGGTAAGAGTATCAATTGAGTCTGCACAATCGAGGCTGCAGTGAGCTGAGATCACACCATTGCACTCCAGCCTGGGTGACACAGCGAGACCCTGTCTCAAAAAAATGAAATTAAAAATTAAAAATGTATATGCTTGCACATGCATAGAATATTTCCGGGATGATGCTGAAAAGTACTAGGGAGAAGGACTGGACATGCCTAAGATAGGAGAAATGCTCTTTACTTATATCGTATTTGAATTTTTTGCCACATGTAAAGTATTCCTTTCAATTAAAACACCTAATTATATTTAAAATCTCAATGACTATGAGACTGTGGATATTAATATGTGTAAATATACAAACATTAATCTGCATACACATTTACCTGAAAGACGTAATATGCAATCATTTGAGAACTATTTTATCACGTGTGTATGAAAACACAAACACTTGAAACAGTGTACTCTGCTAAAGCAGTATATACATATACATACTTTTAATATGTTGTGCACATGTATATGTTATTTGTAACCCTCCCATCTGACGGAAAATAAATGTCAGCCTCCATCAAGGGATAATTTCATAGGCTTCACAATTTAAATCTATGATGTTAATCTTCACTTAAATGTTGGAACCTGAAAAAAATGCTTTTGACTTCTTACATTTAGACAACCCCACTAAATTATTCTTTCTATGCCTCCTCTTTAAATGCACTAATACTTCCTGATATCTGATTTTTACCCTAGGCAAATAGTTTAAACTATCAAATAATCATAAATGACCCCTTTAAAAAAAAAAAACGGACAATTAAGAGTTAAGAGGCTGGGCCGGGCTTGGTGGCTCAAGCCTGTAATCCCAGGACTTTGGGAGGCCAAGGCGGGCGGATCACGAGGTCAGGAGATCGAGCCCATCCTGGCTAACATGGAGAAACCCCGTCTCTACTAAAAATACAAAAAATTAGCCGGGCGTGGTGGTGGGCGCCTGTGGTCCCAGCTACTCGGGAGGCTGAGGCAGGAGAATGGCGTGAACCCGGGAGGCGGAGCTTGCAGTGAGCTGAGATCGTGCCACTGCACACCAGCCTGGGCGACAGAGCAAGGCTCCATCTCAAAAAAAAAAAAAAAAAAAAAAAGTTAAGGGGCTGGCTCTTTCAAAAAATCCTTCTCAACTAAAGTTATGTTTGCCTAGTCACTCTAAATCAAAGAATAAAAATCGTTAATATTTGTAGATGTGCTACTATGTGCCAATGACTGTTTTAAGCTCTGTATGTGGATTACCTCATTTTAAACAACGCTATGAGGTATATCTCCATTCTACAGATAAAGAAACTGAGGCATACGGGGCCTAACTGGGGAGCCAAAATTCAAATCCACAGACCAGTGACTCCGGAGCCTCCTGAGAATATCTTCAACAATTCAAAAACTCCTCCACTTACAAGATTGTTTTGACATACCTGTGAACAGCCCCGCTCCTCAGAGTGATTTTTTCTGTGACCATTTGTAGTACATGATCCCACTGATTCAAGGTTTTTCTGGGGATAAGGAGGCGAGAAGCTGGGTTTATGAGGTCTCCATTTGCAATCAAGCTGGAAAACAGGGGGCAAACCTTCTGAAACAGTTATGCCTTGAAAACTACAACACAAATTCCAAACCAAAAGGAAACCACCAAGCCAATTTTAACTTGAAGTATAAAGGGTTTCAACTTACAAGATAGTGCACGGCTCCTGAAGCGGTTTTCTAAAGCGAGCTGACACGTTGATCCTGCTATGGATTACTGGTTTTACCTTTAAAAGCAAAGGAAAAAAAATATAAACCACTAAGCTTATATTAGCTTTTTTTTTCCTATGAGGAAAATCTACAGTTTCTAGGGAACTGCCTGAGACTTCCTGTGCCTTTGTTAAAACCTTGCTTTTCTCAGCATTTCTGTAAACTCTGAGCTCACCCTTTAGCAATATTATAAGCCCTTAACAAAGCTCTCAAGAAAAGAAAGGAAAATTTCCCTTAAGCCCTAGGCACACTGCTCATGATCTGTGGAAAAAAAAAAAAAACAGAAATCATTTTCTGTTACGAAAATATTAAGATAATTTTTAAACAATGCATTCTGAAAAACAACAAAATAATCCTATAAAATCTTGAGCTCTGAAGTGCTGTGCCTGCAGCCCAA